>NC_000021.9:38604065-38914020 GCF_000001405.40 Homo sapiens | reverse complement strand
TTGTGGCGTGCGTGGTTTGTTGTGTGTGTGTTGTGTTGTATATTGTATGTTATGTGGTGTGTGTAAGTTGTCTGTAGTGTGTGTTGTGTATTGTGTGTTGTATATGTGTTGTGTATTGTGTCTAGTATATTGTGCTTGTTTGTAGTGTGTGTTGTATATTGTGTGTGGTCTGTTGTGTGTGTTGTGTGTATGTGTTGTATGTTGTTTGTGTTGTCTGTTGTGTTTGTGTTGTATGTGTTGTGTGTTGTATTTGTGTTGTATGTGTTGTGTGTGTTGTCTTTTGTCTGTTGTGTGCATGTGTTGTGTGTTGTGCGCAGTGCATGTTCGCCCTCCCTCCCTGGCAGCAGGGCTACCTGGCTGCGGTGCTCACTGCCCTGGGCGGTGGGCGGAGCGGTCCCTGGTGGGAGGGGACAGGGCTCTCCCGCAGGTGACTCCTGCAGCCTGAACTTTTGTTCTGGGAAGGCCACCCACGCTCCCCGCTCCCCGGCAGGCCGCCAGAGCCAGGGCCGCACGCCCACGCGGGAATCAGCCAGGCCGACATGAAAGCAATGCGCTTCCAAACTGGCAGAGGATTTAATTTTTTTTTTTTTCTTTCTCAAACAGCCCCAGTTGCTTCTCTTCTCCACGGTGATTTCTGCATACTTTATCCAAACCCCCTCCCCACCGCTGTTCAGTTTCTGGCTCCTCTTCCTGCCCGTGCTCTGAGGCCAGCTGGGGGCCTCCCAGGTGACTCCTGCTGCTGCTGTCACTGGACCCTGACGCTGTGCCGCACCCGAATTCCTCCGAATGGAGCCTTGGCCAGAGCAAGGCGTGCCGTGTAGAGGAGCGGATCTGAGCCTGGCAGGAGATCGCTAAAACCTTTGCCCTTCACACAAACGCGGAAGCACGGGGCGGGTGCTGAAGAGCCAAGCAAGTGTCCCCCATTTCCTTCCAAGGCAGAGCAGCAGCCCAGGGAGGCCCAGTTTCCATCGCGGCAGAAGGGCAGAAGAGTGGGGGAGGTCCCAGGACCACAGCCCAGGGGACACTCAGGATGCGCCAGGAAGGACATGGCAGACAGGCCCTTTAGGTGGAAAAGCAACCCTCAGCTGCCCAGAGAGCGGCCCCTCCAGGCCCTCCCCGCCGTCTGCAAAGCTCTTCAGCTGGGAGAGGAGGAAAGGGTTTGTTCTTGACCTCCTTCCTTTCCTTTCTTCTCCACTGTCCACCAGAGAGCAGGAAGACAGGCTGATGCTCTTGTTAAAGATGAAGGCATAATTCACATGCCATAAAATTCACCATTTTAACCATTTTAAGGTGCACAGTTCAGTGGTTTTGAGTGCATTACATTGTTGGGCAACCATCAGCATGGTCTAATTCCAAAACATTTCTGTCACTCCAAAAAGAAATCTTGTACCCATTAGCAGTCACTCCCCATTTCCCCCTACCCCCCAGCCCCCCGGCACCCACGAAGGTGCTTTCTCTGTTTCGAGGGATCTTCCTATTGTGGCAAATCCTCTGAATGGAATCATACAATATGTGGTCTTCTGCCACTGGCTTCTTTCACTGACCATAATTTTTCAAGGTTCACCCACGTTGTAGCATGCGTCAGCGCTTCATTCCTTTCCATGGCTGGACTGTATTTCATTGTATGTCTGGACCACATTCTGTTTCTCTAGTCATCAGTTGATTACTTACTTTTCAGGGCCCACTTAGCCTTTCTTCCCAAGGGCAGGGGCTCTGTTGTCCACTGTTTTGGAGTCTTCCAGCAGACTTGATGGAGTGTACCAGTGGTTTCCTTGCTGGGCAAATAACCAGAGGGTCCCTGGGTACGGGAATCTCTGAGTCCTGATCTTTGGCTCTGCTGCAGACCAGGTCACTGTATGATCTTTTAGCAGCCTCTTTACCTCACCTGGCCTCAGTTTCTTCATCTGAAAAATGAAGGGCTTGAAGCAGATGGTCTCTAACACTTCTCCTGGCCCAACACTTTAAGATGTTTCAGCAAAGCAGTGAAGAAGCAGCCTTCTGTGACCTTTCTGAACAAGGCAGAGGAAAGCAAGCTGTAGGCTGACATAGTTAGGTGATTCCATAACAAAATTGCGCTGTAAACAATCATCTGGATCAATCGACAGAAGGCACTTGCAACAGGTTCCCAGATGACAGAAAACTATAGGAATGACAGGGAAGGAATGATGGGGCAGATTAAAATGGAGAAATTTAACAGGGACAAATGTAAAAGTCGGACATTTTGCTCCAAAGTTCAACAGAACAGCTACCTGCTTTGTTGGATATGTTCAGGCAGTGTCCTTTATAAGAGTTTGATTGACTCTAAATGAATCTCATTATGAGTCACCATTGGGACAGGCTGCCAAAAGGCCAATGTGACTTCAGATTAAATCAATAGAGGTCTACTGGCTGAAACAAGGGAGGTGACATTATTGAGTCCATCCCTGGTGTATGTAGCTGCTACCCTCTGAGAAGGAGGCCCCCAATAGGAAAAGCCAGAGGGAGGATGGATAAGACATGAAGAGCTCTAGAACCATGGTTTGGTAGTAGGAGGGGCTCAGGGTTTGGGTCTTTAAAAGATAAGACAGAGAGTGCTGTTCACATCTGTGAAGGAACATGGCATGAGAAGGGGAGTTGACTTCCACCATGGGGACCTGCAGGGTGACTGGGGCTGGAAGATGATCAATTGTGACCCAGGACCAGGAAGAACTTCGCAGCAACAAAAGTCACAGGAAATGGAAAAAACTCCTGGTGAAGAACACAGACAGACACGGGGCTCCACTCATTAGGGGCGTGACTGGGGAGACCAAGTCACGACTTCGAGGGTCCTTTTCATCTTTGAAATAAAATGAATTGTGCTTAGATGGGGTGGGGCAGGGAGGTAGGGAAGCACCAATCACAGAAGAGTCGTAGGTACCTGGGATCAGCCTTCACTGGGTCCTGCCAGCAAAAGAATAGCTGCCCCTGCCCCAGTTTAGAGTTTAAATGCAAACTCTAAATGTTTAGTACCTGAAACTCCCAGAGGTAAATTACTTTCTGAGGCAATTGTGCATTCATCTGAGGCAATCAGCTATCTCTAAATCCACCTAAGCCCTCATTTGAATCAGATCGGGTGATTCACAGCAATTTGATGTCACTTTGAAAGCTGGTTTGTTGCCAAAACACCAGCCTGGTGCCCTTGATGACAGCCAGGCACAGGGCTGGGTTCTGCCTGGAATTGAAGAGGCTGGTGGGTGGGGGCGTCTTTGGCACCTTAAGAATTTTGAGAGGAGAGAAGGGAGCCCTGTGGCTGCTTTATGGTGTTAGGTCTGTAAACTGCCTAATTTAGCACAAATGCCTTTCTTCATCCAGGTAGCCTCGGGCTTTCTTCCACAAGCGAAGTGTGTGGCCAGTGAGTCAGATGACCTGCTCCTTCTGGAGATGGCTGGTGCCATTCTCAATGTCAGTGGTCGCTTCTTACAGATCCCGATAGATTCAGGCCTCAGGTAGCCAAACAGGGCATCCCATGGCCCCGGCCAGGTTCTGTAGAGGCAAATGTTCAAAAGGGAGTGGCTCTGACACCATTGTCCATGCTCCTCCCTGCCTTGCTTGAGCGACAAGTGTGGCTGCTTTTAGGAAGTGGGGCTTGCTTTGGGAGAACTGCCTCTCGAAGGACTCACACCTATAATTCCCTGTTGTTGTCTCTGGAAGTCTGCAGCTGCCTGGTCCTTAGGGTGAAAAGCAGCTGGGGAAGCTGGAGCCACACATTCCAAAGGGCTTCAGGGACAAAAGCACCCTGAATTTAGGAAACAAAAGACAGGTGGAGGAGGAAGCATCCAGCAACCCCCTTGTAATCTCAAAAACTGACTCACGCCGGTGCCGGCCATAGGGCTGCCACGGTATATGGCTCAAGGAAGCCCAGGCTCTCCTGGGAGGTTCTAGCCATTGTTGAGCCTGTGAAGGAAATGTGTCAGGCCAGCCCTTCCTCACTTTCTTGATTTAGCAGGCTGGAGCTAGCTGTAAATGCTGATCAATTCCAGTTGCCAGACTGGAGCTGTAGCAGCGACCTGGGTGATCTCAGAGCCCCATCCCCTCATCTGTCACGGGAGAACTTGGCCCCGGAGCACACTCCAGATATCTCGCTCAGAATGCAGTTCTGAGCATCAAACACACAGTTCATGTTCCTGACTCTGTTGGCTTTGGGACACTCTATTGGCTTTGGGACACTTTCAGGATGTTCTTGCAAGCTACTCACTGTGGGCCTCAGAGTCTGACCTGTCCAGAACTGCTGGTCTGCAAGGGGGCCTGTTCTTGGGGGTTCCTGGGGACCCCCACCCCAGGGACCACCCAGTGGTTGAGGGAGGGAGAATTGGTCATGAACTATGGATGATGCCAGCACAATATCAGATGTCATCACCCCGCATGGCCTAGGTACTCGCCTAAACAGACATCAGCACAGAATTTTGGGTGAGGGGGTCTTCCTGACCACGCTTTCACTCCTCAGAAACCTCTACTGCCTGGTGCTCCTTCCTCAACTTGTCCCAGAAACAGTGGCGTCAACTAAAGAGAAAGCGGGAAGGCAGGTACCTTCGGCAGGGATCTGGCGTTGGAACCTCTGCCCCGAACGTTGAAGCGCTGCTGTCACAATCACCTCATTCTGTCCCAGGACTTCCTCCTCAGCCTTTCCCCAGTCCATTTCTGAGCTTTGTGCCCTGTTCCCACCTCCCATAGCCTTTTCCCTCCTGCTGAGATAGGAGAACCGCCAGGAATGTAAACTCAATCTTCTCCTCTGGGGACTCTATGCTGCCTGCTACCAACAGCAGGCATCCCAGGATGTGGGATTTTCAGTGCTGAAACCAGGACAGTGATTCTCAAACTTTTTTTGATCCCAGGTTTCTCTGAAAATCTGAAGGCCATGGGCCCTCTCTCCAGCACAGCCTCCATAAGCCCAGACACATGCCATTGTGCATGCAATTCCAGGGGTGCTGGGATCCCCTTCCCAATCAAAGAGAGGACTTAGGGACCCATGGACCTGTCCAGAGACCTAGGCTGAAGATGGTAGCATGTAGGGAGGGGAGGTTGATGCCATGGTTAATTGCATAAGCTCTGGAAGGAGACTGGCCATGCTGCCTAGCCAAGCGCTCCCACTATACAGCTGAGAACCCTTGGACAAGTTTCCTAACCTCCCCAAGCCTCCCTTTCTGCATCTATAAAACAGGAAGCACATCTGTTTCATGGGGCATAAAAGACTTAATAATGACACATAGTGTGAAATACAGTGTCTGGCAGAACAACATCATGCATGCACTCGCCTGTTCAAAACATGCACTGAGCTGCCACGTGCCAAGGCCTGTCTTGGGCTAGAGATCCCCTTTGGGAACAAGACAGAGTCCTTGCCTTCTGAGTACTTACATTTTAGTGGGTTAAGGCTGTAGGGGCCACAGGCTCTTGACCCCTAAAGTTCTGCTGAGAGGCATAAGGCAGATGGATTAATGGGAGAAAAGGCATAAAACTTATTTAACGTGTATGCACAGAAGCCTTCAGAATGAAGCCCCAACTTCCCAATGAGTTACAGAAACTTATGTACCATTGTGGGGTTACAGAACGTATGGGGGTTTGGATTCCGGTAAAACAGGTTATGGGAATGGGAAGAAGAGGAATTCGATTGAGGGGCAATAAATGATTGCCAGGGAGAATGATTGGATGGGAGAACAGAAATAACCTTGTAAGTAGCTTTCTTTGGAATTCAGATGATACTTGGAGTCTTCTCGGGTCAGGTCACACCTTGGTCTTCTTTTCTGCCATAGATAAGAAGATAAGTGGGAAGGGGAAGAAAGAATAATTGCTCTCCTTGGAAGGTCTGGATCTTAGGCAGATAAAGAAACTTCAGCTTCTTTGGGAAAGACGGTGTGTATAGGGGAAGGTCAGAGAGACCTTGAGGCTTCCTCAATTCGACATGTTAAAACCCTCTATTTTGGGGTATTGGTTTCTGAGTCTCAACAAGGCTAAATCAATAGTAATTGTTATGATTACTTGTTATTTATTGTTGGTGGTTTGATTTGGAACTCAGGACAACATTCACTTTCAGGTCCTACTTAGTAGCCCGTTTCCCATCAGCATGATCCTCTGCAGGGCCGACAGATGGGGAACTTTTTGATAAAAGGGAGAAGGCTCCTTTCACCCCTTATCAAAACATTGTAGTAGCTTCGGTGCTTAAGTGTCATCATTTTCGTTCTCGCTGATATTTTAAAGAAGCCAATTTGAGTGCCCATCCTCACATTTCTATTGAAGAGTTTTCACTTCTTTCTTTCAATAAATTATTTAGTCCTCCTATGGACTGTTGCTGAACTGTGATTTTTACAAGCAAACCATTCTTACTTGTCATGAGTTAGCAAGGAGATCTTAAATGGGACCAGTGTAGACAGGAGACCTGTGTTACTGAGGCACGAAATAAACGTTCCGGCTGCCATTCATGCAATTTCAGTTTAGAGTCTCAATTTTCTGCATCTTTATCCATATTCTGGTTCAGTTTTTCTGCACAACCCCTGAAGGGAATGTGGTCGCCTGGGAGCACAACTCCCAGATCCCAGTTTTGAGTGTGGGAGCTCCAGAAGTCAGCAGGCAGGCGGGGCTGGCCCAGTGACAGGAGGGGTGCTGGAAAGGGCTTTGGCTTCCAGGCCTGGGCCCCGCCTTTGCTGACGTTGGAGCCCTGGAGCAGGGCTGCTGACGTGTGCACTGCCTGGGCTGGCTGTTTACTAGACTGTTTGTTAAGGGCTGCACTTCCAGTAAAACCTGAGAACACACCGTGACATCCTCATTTACAGCACTGAGTGTGTCACTCGGGCAGCACGTGGGCCAAGAAAGGGAGAGTCTAGGAAAGGTGAGATTAGCTGGCTGTGGGGTAAATCACCTGACACGAAGAGCCCGGGGTTAACCAATCACCGTGGGAGGGCTGCCCTGGAGCACACAGCAGGCTGCACTTGGGAAAAGTCCATTTGAACAAGAATTTCTTCTTGAGAAGGTCTGAGTAGCCAAGGGACCTTGATCTAGGAGTAGGAACTGGTCTCAGGTCACTGATTGCCAGGGTGGCCTGGGCAAATCGTTTCTCCTCTTGGGGGCTCTGGGTCCCCACCTGTGCAGTGAGGGCATGCATGCTCTGATGCCTTCATGAGTGGCAGCACGGCACCATGTTAGGCACGGGGGCTTCTGGGCCTAGTCCTTTGTCTTCCTGGCCATGGGGAAGTGGAAAAGGCCTTACCCCACCAAGATGCGTCTTCCCAAGTAAGCGGGGCATTTATGCACCCAGGACCGCTCAGGGCTACGGTGGGGTTTTGTGTGATGAGGCACATAGATATCTCAGCAGAATGGCAGACGCGGTGGGGCGCGGTGGCTCACGCCTGTAATCCCAGCACTTTGGGAGGCCGAGGCGGGCGGATCATGAGGTCAGGAGATTGAGACCATCCTGGCTAACATGGTGAAACCCTGTCTCTACTAAAAATACAAAAATTAGCCGGGCGTGGTAGCGGGCGCCTGTAGTCCCAGCTACTCGGGAGGCTGAGGCAGGAGAATGGCGTGAACCCGGGAGGTGGAGCTTGCAGGGAGCCGAGATCGCGCCACTGCACTCCAGCCTGGGCGACAGAGCAAGACTTCGTCTCAAAAAAAAAAAAAAAAAAAAAAAAGGGCAGACAGCTAGGGAGGGCCAGCACAGAAGCTCTTAGCGGTACAGGCCACCAGTGAGCATTTGTGGGGGCTTTGTGGATAACCAGAGCTGTGTGCGGGGTAGGGGGCTTCCGTGGCGCCTTCCTTCAAACATTTGGTTACCTGTGGTCTCATAACAAAAGGCCACCGGCTCTCTTCCTCCCTCCTGATGGAAGTTATCCAAATCCATTTTGCTAGGTCTCCAAAACATAATCACTTTATTTGAAAGCGTTTCCCTAAGGGAAAGATCAAGCTGTCCATTTGGGGTGAAAGAGAACAACAATAATAACAATAAATTTCTCTCCACCCAGTACTGTGGACTTGCAGCATTTTCCAGTGTGTTACCGCCTGGAGTTGCCTCTGACATCCCCATAGCGGGGGAAGACAAGAAAACTGAGGCTCACAGAGGTTGCCAAAGGCCACATGGATAATGAGGGTCAGAGAGGTTGTTAAAGGACTGCAGCTGGTTCTAAATCCAGTGTCTTTCCAAAGCAAAACGATATAGCTTATAGCTCGCTCTTCAAAACCTGAAAAAAACACAAAGAGGTTTGTGAGTTGTCTTCCCACGCTCCCGTGTGGTTGATTGAGAAGCGGTAAACCCAAACAGGATAGGTGTGCTTTCTCGGGGGGGGGTAGGGGAGATGGGGTGGGGGGGTGCGGGGGGTGGGGGTGTGCGGGAGGTGGGAGGGGAGGGGTGCTTATCATCAACATGGCCACCCCCACATATCCCCATGTGTGTAGAACATCATGGTGCCCTGTATTTGCATATTAAAAGACTAGGGTGGGAGGGCCAGTTTTTTCTGCAGGCTACGTGAGTGACATGCCTGGTGGAACCAATCCCCTGAGCCCTATGCAAATCAGACATCACCTCCTCCAGCCTATTTATATAAGCAGCCACTTTTCCGTGGCACAGGGGGTCTTCTCTCTTGGCTTTGGAGCTCCCCATTCCTCTGTGTCTGTAACAGGGGAGCTTCTTCCTTCTTTCTTCTCCCTTCTTTCTTGCCTGTTAAACTCTCTGCTTCTTAAAACCACTCCATGTATGTCCAGGTCATTTTATCTAATTTGGAGACGGAGAACCCTGGTGTTCCTCTGCTCATCAGAGCCGTCTCACCTGCAAGGGCCAGGATCCAGCACTAGGGCTGCCCTTTATGTTCATGCAGCCTCCACTAGGAAGATCCTCCTTAGCTGCCACCTGCTGTAAAGGGATCTATCTATCTATCTGTCTATCTATCTATCTATCTATCTTTCTATCTACCTGTCGAGAGAGAGAGAGGTTTATTATAAGGAATTGACTCATGTGATTATGGAGGCTGAGAAGTTCCACAGTCTGCTGTCTGCAAGCTGGAGACCCAGGAAGGCTGCTGGTGCCGTTCCAGTTTGATTCTGAAGGCCTGAGAACCAGAACTGATGGTATGAGTTCTAGTCCAAGTCCACAGAAATGAAACTGGAGAACCAAAGGTGTAAGTCGCAGTCTGAGGGCAGGAGAACACAATAACCCAGCTCAAGCAATTAGGCAGAGAGAAAGAATTTTCTCTCCCTCCACTTTTTGTTGTTGTTGTTCTACTGAGGCCTTCAATGGATTGAAGGAGTTCCACTCATTAAGTCAATTAACTTCTGAAGTCTATTATTGTCATTGCCTCCCCAGGTAGGGGAAATGAGAAGCCTGGGGATATGGCTTACAGTGAAGTGTGGCTGGTCCTTTTTTATTCTCTTGGCCAGGCTCCTTCCCTCTGCCAAGTTGCAGGTGGTCCAGGTGTTTGCTTCCAGATGTTTAGCAAACATCTGGTGGAAGGCAAAGAAGGAAAGATTGCTTAGGGGGACTCTTGCTCCCGTTCCTACCTGCATCTTCTGAGAGGTCTTCCCCCTTTACATTCACCTCAGCTCAACATTGGAATCCCTGCTCTTTCACTGCACACACTGACCACCCACTGCAGGCTGGGGGTCCTAGAGGATTTCACGTGCTAGGCTGTCCCAAATAGAGGAGGTCCTGCTACAGCACCGGCACCATTAGTCCTTTCTGGGCCGTGCTCTGTGAGCCCTTGAGAGGACAAGAAACCAATGTCAAAGCCATGGAATGATCCCATTCAATTCTCATCAAGGAATAGAGAAGACATAAAATTCAGCAAATGGAGGAGGTAAATTTGCTTATTAAAGGTATTTGTGATGAGTGGAGTAGACATAAACACACACACACACACACACACACACACACACACAGCTGAGCTTTAACTGGAAATTACCGAGCAAAAAAGGGCAGGACAGCACCACGTGAGAGGGAGGCCAGTGGCACAGAGGGCTTTGTCCTGACACGCACACAGGTAACAGGACCTCGGGAGGGAAGAGGTCGCTGGGACAAGTCCTGTCAGGCTGCGGGGAGCCCTTCCCGGACACTGCTGGCTCCTGGAACTGACTTGCCTCCTCACGCACACGTAGGCAGCTTATCTCGGGTTTTGTTTTGGCTTCAAAATCTTTTAATCTCCCAGGATCGTTTGAGTAGATCAGCCCCTATTTTTATTCTTGGATAGAGAAGTGAATCAGAAACGCAGCCAACTTCATTGGACTTGTGGAGGCCTGTCCCCGAGCACCAAATTCCTTGCAGCTTCAAGCAGGTTGACAGAGCTGAGACTGAAATAAAAACACCAACAGGATTAGGCCTGTTCCTGACTGTGGAGTTTGGTGCATAGTAGGCATTCAGGAAGTATTTGTTGAAAACAAATATCAAGGAATCCTATTAATTCCAGGTGACTTTCTCTATGCAGTGGGTACCGCACAGAGTGTGGAACACAAGGCAATGGCAGCCAATAGATTGTTTTCTGAATTGGCAGGGCCCTCTGCCTGTAATTTTACCAAAGCAAAAATATTTATGGGTGTGGCTACACACAGTGGCACTTTCTAGGCTTCATGCAGGCTTGAAAACCTTCATTTTCCTTTCCTTATACGCGGCCACCGCATTTACCCTCCACCTTCTTTCTGAGGGAAGCCCCAGGAAATGTAGGTGCCCTGTGGAGCCTACAGGCCCTTTCAGTGTTCCTGATGCTTATGAAAATCCATTCTGGAATTTGTGGAAATGGGAGTTTGGATTGTCCTGAATGCCTTAGTCTGGGAGCTGGGGAGTTTCCAGAAACCAGCAGGTTGTTTTGTGGTGAGACTGTTTCGTATTAAGCTGTCAACGCTTCCCCACGATGAAGGCTAGAGGGTTAGAATGCTGGTAAGAAAAGATCAGGGGTAATGTGTTCTGAGTGGGGACAAAGACACAGTGACTGGCGTTCTGGGTACCTGGATCAATGTATTGAGCTTGACACGATCCCAGAGGTCCTGTGGGGAATAGTCTCAAAGAGGGGTTGGCTATGATTATGGTGAAACACAAGCCTGCTGTGTTCCCCTTGATTAATGGTCCTACCTAAACCACAGGCAGCCACTTTGTGGGTTGACTGATGACCTACAAGAGGCCATGGGGTAAGAGCCCTAAGCGTGGACCATGGTAATTAGCAAGTATGGTCACATTCTTCCTCCTGGAGACATGGATGGAGTCAGTCAGATGGTACAAGAAGAGAAAAAAGAAAATGCCTAGAGAGAAGCAGAAATCAATAGACAGTAGGAGATCCATACCAATGGGAGTGCCATAGTGAAGATCCAAGAATTCCTGATGTTAATGGGGCAACAAGCCAACAAGGAGCCCAGAGCCAGCTTCAGTCCTGAACAACCTCCCAAGTCTATCCTCTATGGAGCCTGTAATACATTAGGTTCTGTCCTACCCCTGTATACCTTATTACTAGATGGCTCCTTAAATAAATCATAAAACCCCAGTTCTTAAGATGACACGAATGTGCCTATTCCTTTCAAATGAGACGAACCCATGTATTTACCATACATGAAAAACTAATGCCAATGGCATAATCCCACGTAACTTTTCTGATTGATTGGGGTCCAGGTTCACTAAAAGAGTCACTCAAAAGCTTTCTAATCTATTTCCTTACTTGTTGGCTGGGTAAGTGTTACATTTGGGAAATAGAAGAAGAAGGTGATTAGAGGATAGAGCTGGGGCCATTGGCCTCGTGTAGGCACAATTCTTCACAGCTTTCACAGGATAGGAAAATGTAGGGTTAAGGGCTGCTTTCCAAATCGTTTTCCCCTGTTTGCCATTGCAGCTTTTCCAGACCACTTAATTTGATTTTCAGTGTTCAAAATCTTGCTTATAAATCTCCCCTGAGTGGAGAGTTGGGTAGGTGGAAGGAGGAGACGAAGAGAGAATGTTCACAATGCTAATATCATGGTTATACGGTGGACCCTTGAACAACACAGGTTTGAACTCTGTGGGTCCACTTCTAGGCAGATTTTTTTCACCTCTGCCACTCTTGAGACAGCAAGACCAACTCCTTTTCCTCCTCCTCTTCCTCAGCCCACTCAACATGAAGATGACAAGGATGAAGACCTTTATGATGATCCATTCCCACTTACTGAATAGTAAGTATGTTTTCTCTTCCTTATGATTTCCTTAATAATACTTGCTGTCCTCTAGCTTACTTTATTGTAAGAATACAGTGTATAATATAGATGACATACAAAATACATATCAATTGATTGTTCATGTTATTGGTAAGACTACTTGTAGGCTATTAGTAGTTAAGTTTGAAAGAGTCAAAAGTCATATGTGGATTTTTGACTGTGTGTGGGGTCAGCACCCCTAACCTCGACATTGTTCAAGGGTCAGCTGTATTTATTTAAAGAAGCATAGAAAAGAATACATTTATTCACTTGATAAACATTTGTTGAACACCTGCTATGTGACAGGTTGAGTCGTAGGTGCTTAAGAGAAGTTAGTAAAATGAGCAAAGACACCTGCCACGGAGCACTTATGTTGTAGCAGGAGGAGCAGGCAATAAACAAAAAATAAAAGATAATAATATAATAGATAATACATATAACACAATAAGGCAATAAACACAATAAGATAAAAAAAGTCACAGTATGTCAAAGGTGATGAGTGCACTGGAAAGAAAGGAGTGCAGAGAGAGGAAGGAGGGCATAGGCCTTGCCTGTGAGAGGACAGATTGCAGTTTTAAATAGGAATGGTCAAGGTTGGCCCTTCTAAGAGAATGACCTTTATGAGAAAGCCTGCAAGAGGTAAAGGAGTTAGTCGTTGGGGTGTCTGGGAAAGGGGGTTCAGGCAGGTGGAACAGCCACCACAAAGGTGTTAAGGCAGGAGCATCTGACATGTTCAAGAAATAGCAAGGAGGCCAGTGCAGCTTGGGTCTTAAGGGAGGGGGGAAAGTAGGAGGCTGGGGCAAAGGAGGAATGCGGGGGCCAGACCATGTAAGGTCTTGGGAAGAATGAGAAAAATCAAAGATGCCCTCGAACCTGAGCAAAAAACCAAAAGCAAAAACAAAAGCCATAATAAGCATATTGGCACTTGATTAATTTAATTCCTTATTGAATTAGTAATTCTCATGGTGGGGGAGGGAAACTATATATCATACCCCCTACCCCTGCCACCAACCGGGGAACATCTTTACACCATTCCCCTCCTTTTAACACCACTGCCTTATGGAGGCATCTGTGCTAATGGGCAGATACTTAATGTGCTCCTTGCAAATATTAGGGCAGGGAAAATGTTGAAGACGTTTGGTGTAAACACACCAAATTTAACTGACATAATTATTGCCTAATATGTGTGTCTTCATCCATTTGGGCTGCTATAGCATAACACCTTAGATTAGGTAATTTATAAACAACAGAAATTTATTGCTCACAGTCCTGGAGGTTGGGAAGTCCAAGATCAAGGAAGATTTGTGTCTGGCAAGGACTTGTTCTCTGCCTTGTTGCTGTGTCCTCACATGGCAAAAAGGGCAAGGAGGCCCTCTCAGGCCTCTTTTATAAGGGCACTAATCCCATTCATGAGGGCAGAGCCTTCAAGAGCAAATCACCTCCAAAAGGCCCCACTTCTTTATACTATCACACTGGGCATTGCATTAGTTCATTTCCACCTGCTGATAAAGATATACCTGAGACTGGGTAATTTATAAGGAAAAAGAGGTTTAATGGACTCACAGTTCCACGTGGCTGGGGAGGCCTCACATTCATGGTGGAAGGCGAAAGTCACGTCTTACATGGCAGCAGGCAAGAGAGAATGAGACCCAAGCAAAAGGGGTTTCCCCTTATAAAACCATCATATCTTGTGAGACTTATTCACTACCACGAGAACAGTCTGGGGGAAACCGCCCTCATGATTCAGTTATCTCCCAACAGGTCCCTCCCACAACATGTGGGAATTATGGGAACTATAATTCAAGACGAGATTTGGGTGGGGACACAGCCAGACCATATCAGGCATTAAGTTCCAACATATGAATTTTGGGAAGACACCAACATTTGGATCATAGCAATGTGAAAACTCTTTTCTAAGGCAATTTTAAATTTTTGTCATTTATATTCCCACAAGGTATCCTGAGCAGAACTACACCAGATAACATGGTAGAGTTTTTTTAAAGGTTCTTAAGGGGTGTATCTTAATGTAGCTAATAAATATCCCAGTAGGGCTTTCCATGTGTTTGTTTCAAATCATAGAACCAATTTAAACTCCACCCCTTTTGGATGGGGCCAGACTCATACAAGGAGTGGTGACTATATGAGTTAATGTGGTTTTACTACTCAGGAGGAGAGATTTAGCTGTCATTTTAGACCTCATTTAAAATATTATAACTTCCTTCTCATGTTTCTAATATTCTATCTTGTACAGTAGTTACATTTTTGGATTTAAAATCCTCCCTTTTGAGCCTTTGTAAGCTAGTGTAGAGATTCATGATGTGCGATGAGTTACAATTTTTATGAGGCCCAACTTTGAGTCTCAGGCACTACAGGAATGGGCCCCAGAGGTGGGTTCCTGTTTTCACCTGGCATCTGGCGTCACTGTGGCTTCATCATCCCATACTCACCCTGACCTCCTCCCTTTCATGCGAAAGTGAACATTTTATTGTGAAGTCCTGTTCTATGGTGATATTAACAAATTTGAGGAATTTTGTAGTCCTTGCAATGCAAACTCACAACTGTCAAATGTCTACTGTTTCTATTTTTACCTTTTCTGAGTATTAAAAAATGAAGTATAATTTAAGTACAACAAAATGCACAGATCTTACATGCTTAGTTTGATAAGTTTGGACAATTGTACACCTGTGTAACCATCATCCCAATCAAGATTCAGAACACATCCACCACCCCAGAACTTCCTCTTCTCTCCCTTTCCAGTGAATTGTTGATCCACCCCCACAATCTTGGAGGCAGCCACTTTTTGACTTCTATCACCATAGCTTTAACCTCATAGAACAGTTTTGCCTGTTCTAGAGTTTCAAACAAATGAATTCTTCCAACATGTATTCTTTGTGTGTGTGACTTCTGTCTCTCAAAGTGGAGTTTTTGAGATGTGCCCATGTTGTTGCACCTATTAGTAACTTGTTCTATTTAATTGCTCAATAGTATTCTACTGTATGACTATACCACAGTTTGTTTACCCATCCTCCTGTTGATGGACATTTGTCATTTTGGGGAAGAAGGCTATTGTAAATAAAGCAGCTATAAACATTCTTGCATACGCTTTCTGTAGACATAGGTTTTCATTTCTTTGGGGTAAGTATTCATACCTAGAAATGGAATTGCTGGGCAATAGGGTAGCTTTAAGAGAATTGCCAAACAGTTTTTTAACATGATTGTACCATTACTCTCCCCTAGTAATATAAGATAGTTCCGGTTTCTCTACATCTTGGCCAACATTTGGCATTGTCAATCATTTTTATTTGAGCGACTCTAGTGGGTGTGAAATGGCATCTTGATGTAGTTTTAATTTCCGTTTCTCTGATGACTAATGGTGCTGAGCGACCTGTCATGTGCTTCCTGACCATTCCTACATGTTCTTCTGTTAAGTGTCTGTTCTTTTGCCCATGTTTAAAATCAGGTTATTTGGTTGCTCACGTTAATTGGTAAGAGTTCTATTATTTATTTTTGTACTTGTCCTTTTCCCTGGTTACCTTCTAAGTTCCTTGAGATATTTTATCAATTCTCTCTACAGCGTCCAGCACAGTGCTTTGTAAATAGCAGGTGCTTAATAAACACTTATTGGATTATCAGCATAAAGTAGTAACCCTGCCTGTACAGTGGAACAACTTGTTGATTTTATTAACAGAATTCAGTAAAGTTTGGGCATTCAATTTTTGGATTGGCAGCGTCTCTTACTTTTCACTTTTTGAATTGGACATTACTCTTTTCCAGTATGTGACCTTTTGCCAACATTCAGGCTGCTCATTTCTAAATGCTTTAAGCCAATCTGGCATACAGTACTTGATTGTGGAAACTGTCATAAACTTTATAGTTAATTTTTATAAGACTTACTTAGGAAGATCTGAAGTTTTCATGATAGGTGATCTCTTCGAGAAGTTGAAATATTTATAGTCTTGAAAATAGAATGTTCTGTACCATCACCTTCTGTTTTCCTCCTCTTCTGAAATTTATGAGACATTTCTTAACCAAGAACCAGAGCCCAAGGGGCAGACAGAAGAAATATAAATAGTTTTATTTGAAGATAAAGATGGTGAGCATCGACAAAAAGAATATCTGAGGCTTTTTAAACCTTGTCTCCTTTCCAATTTTGTCAGCCAGAAGCATTATAAATGGGTGCTCCACTTTGAAAGAACACCTGCAATGATGTCATCTTTATGTTCTTAAATTAGTTCTAGACAGACTGGCCAGCTTGGGTAAGCCAGAGCAACGTTTCCATTCTCATCCATTTGAACTTTGCCTCAGACCTATGGCTCCTGTGTGCTAACCCCATGTTTTAGAAAAGCTCTCATCCCCAGGGTGATTCAGAAATCTTGAAAATCATATGTAGCCAGTGAATTTATTGGTTAATTTTTTTATCTCAAGTCAACTCAACAAATTAAAATTCTTTCCTGATCTGATCTCAAAAGTAATACTTGCTTGTTGTAGATAATATAGCATGAATGCATACAGAAAATAAGGTTGATCTAAAAATTGATCTCACAAAAATAATTACTATTAAAATCTCATAGGTTTACTTGCCATTATTTTTGTTTTTATTTTCTAACATTATATCTAACCTGTAGTCTATAAAAAAAGAATCATAGTGAATATATTCATGGATACTGGGCTTTGTTTGTTTTTTTATTTTATTTTATTTTTTTCTCCAGAGTGATTTTCACTTACTGTTACAGATTTTTACCGGCTGTGTAGCATTTCATTTTGTTCTGTTTGTTGATTATGTTTGTATTGTATCTCAATAGTTTTTTTTTCTTCATGTTCTGAATAAGAATGAAATCTTTTTCACCAATGAGAGTATATTTTTGTTTGCTTCATGTTGGTGTATGGAAAAGCAATGGACTGTTGTACGTTTATTATTATTTTTTAATCTGGTCCCTTTACTTTGTTTTTTTTTTCAATTCAAAGTGCTTAGAGTTGAATCCCTTGGGTGTTTAGGTTATCCAGCCATGTTGTTAGTTTATAATGAACTTTTAATCACCTCCTTTCTCTTAGTTATGGTTCATAGTTCTACTTCCAGTCTTATTACATGACTCTGATCTTCTTGAGCAAGGTGAAATAGTAGACACACCTGCCTTGTTTCTGGTTTTAACAGGAATACTTTTAATGTTTCATATGCTGGCCACTTGTTTACGTTTACATAATTATGATGTGAAAGAAGTATCCTTGAGTTCTCATTTTCCCTAAGGATTTTTAACAATGTGAGAATGTGTTTTAGGTGTTATTTAATGCCCTTTAAATCCTAATAAATGTGGGGACCGCTGACATAAAGTATTATAACGTTGAATTTTCTAAAATTGAATGCTTTTGCATTCCCAAGATAAGATATGCTTTCCTTGATCATGATAGAAAATTCCTTTAGGATACTATTTATTTTGCCGCTACTTTATTTAGGATTTAAAAATTACTCCTAAGTGAGACTAGCTCATGATTTTCTTTTCTTTATTGCATTATCTTTGTTAGGTACAGAAATCAAGATTAATTTAGCTTCATGAAATCGATTGTGTAGCTTTCCATCTTTTTCTATTTTCTAGAAGAGTTGATACAACCTGATTCCTCAAATTTGTGAAAGAAACTTTTGACATATGTTAATTGTATTTTAAATTTCTTTTGTGGCTAGTAATATATTCACATTTAAATTTTTCTCTTATGTCAATTTTGGTAACATGCCCAGAAAAGTGTGCTTAATTTTAAGATTTTAAATTATATTTTGCAAGGTAGAATATCATAATCTCCTATCACTTTTGTTCTCAGCTCAGTTTAATTTTAAAAACTTTTTATTATATAAAATTAGAGAAGATAGTACAATTAACTATTGTCCCATCTTCTAGCTTCAACATTAGTCAGTTCATGAAAACTTCATTCTACTTATATCCCCATTCATTTTGTCATTCACTGCCACCCCCTCTCCCATTATTTTGAACAAATTCCACCATCATAATTTCATCTTTAAATATTTCATCATGTAGCTCTAAAATATATGGACCTAAAAATAGTGAAAATATCACTACCTACCTAAAACGTTGGCAATAATTTCTTGATGTCATCAAATATTCATTCAATGTTCATGTTTCTCCAATGATCTTTTGCTTTTATACAGTTTGAGTACATACATTATAATCAGTTGATATGTTGCCTCCATTTCTGTTATTATACCTTTCTCCTTCCAACTCTTTTTTCCCTTGACATTTCTTATTTCTGATTTCTTATTTGCCCATTTTTCCTGCTTATGTTTATCGGAAGCTTATCATTTTGCCTTTCTCTTTTGTTATTTGTTCATTTTTTCTGTTTTCTTAATTATATTTGCTTAGGGTTTATTATATTTTTTAAAGAGCCAAATATTGCACTACATCAAATTTGACACTATACTCCCAGCCTCCTCTAAAACATATTTATCTTATTGCAATTGTTTTCTTAGAATCCTTTCTTATCTCACCAATCATGTTTATCTTCTCATCTGGTTGTCTTGGCTCGTCTTACTTTTTAAAAAACTGATGTTAATTTTCCATTCACCTTTTTTCTGTTTTCTGTGTAAGAGCCTGTGGAAAAACAGTTAAGACCCCTCAGTGGCTGGGCAGTGGGAGCTGCAGATCAGCCTTCAGTGGGAGACTGAGCCCCTTAGACTTCAGTAGGGATCAGCTGAATGGGCCCAGAGGCCACCTACACCTATAGCCCAGTCTGCAGCCTCAGCTTGGAGAGCAGTCAACTCAGGAACTGGAGCAGTCCATTCTCCCTGAAATTCCTCCCTGGCCACAACCTTTTCCGCAGCAGCTGCTCTTCCCTTTCTGTCTCTTCAGGATCTCTGTGGAACTGGAGATCAGACATGGCCTTCCATGGGTGTCACAGGGGTGCCACCATGCACAGAACTTCCTGGGCCAGCATCGCCTACATCAGACCTGTGGAGTGAGCTCGTCTCCATTTTTCACATGTTTTAATCCCTCCTCAAAGCTCTCAGACATTTAAACTACTATCAATCCCCATTCACTGAGCCAGACTCTTGTGGTGTTAGTGCAAAATGTGCTCCTTGTGGAGCACACAACCTGCCATCTTTCTGTCTTTAATGCTCATCTTCTTTCCCCTTCCTTTGCAGCCTGTTCTTTGGTTTTGGTTTCTGATTTTGTTTCATGGAGTTGCTGTCTTTGTGTATTCTATTAGTGATGGCACACTGTTTCGAAAATAATTTACTTCTGGTATCTCTAGTAAATCATTTTGAGTTTCCAAAATAATTTATTTCTGGTTTGTGCAGTAAATCATCTTCAAAAGTCTCTCCATCCCCTTCTGAGTTGTTGGGGTTGTTTTTCTTTCAGTTTTTAAAAAATATTTTATTCCCAATGGCACATATTGATGTTTTCCTTTTAGATTTACTCTTAGAAGAAACATTTATCTAGCCTTGATGATGGCCTACGTAAGAATGTGTTAACTTCCCTATCTTTGTTAAGGAGGTCACTGGTTATGGCTCATAGTGGCAGACAACAGAATGCACTCTGGTTACTCTGAGAAGAAAATGATTTATCAGATGATACGATGATTCTTACAGAACTTCACCAGGACCCAGGAAATAAGATTTGATTGCTGCACACTTAGAAACAATGGCAATCAAGGGAAATGCCCCATCTTACATGGAGCTCTTCTAGTGGAAACACCATGGTTGCCACCACGTACTGCTCCGTACCTAAGTTTCTAGGAACCAGACTCTGGAAACTCTTCTAGAACTGCCCCAGGAGAACCAACGTGTCTGTTGCTTGCAAAGACCTCCAGTGTCCCTGAGCCTGGCCACTGCCTCCCATTGCTCAAACCCTCCTAGTCTCGTATGTGGACATCTGCTTGGAAGAATCTCATCCACGTACAAAATCCTGGCTCTGGTAAGTGGGGTTTTTAGTTTTCTAGCATTGTTATATCAGAAGCCTCACTAGAATCAAGCAGGAATGGCAGTGGAGTCAGCGAAAAATCTGCCGCACTAAAGAAGTTTAGTGATGGTTAGAACTCCTACAATCCCAGGTCTAGAAGGCCTTCATCCATGGTAGCTTTGCTATACAGGAGTGGGTCTCCTATCACACAACTGATTTCCTAGAACTCTGTGCCAAAGAATGATATAAAAAAAAAATCACCAATCCCTTCTTGCTCACTCTAGAGCTCCTCTTGCCTTCATCTTCCCTAAAAGAAATTTATTTTCTCAAATGAAATGTGTTACTAACAATTTCTCCCTAAACCCTTCACACCACATCACTCCCCTGATCCCTGCACATCTACTAGTTTTCTGAGAGTTTTAGTATCAAGGTGGAAATAAAAATATGTGGGGAGAAAAAGGAGAAGGGAATTCTGATCATCAACACAGTAGAGGACCAGCTGCACAGTTTCTAGGTTGGTATAGATCCTGGGGGCATGAGCTGGGGGCAGAATCGATGCTCTCGGTAAATTAGCTGACCCGTTTGAGGACATTTGAAATAAATTACTTCTAAGCAGAATTCTAGAGGCAATGTGCTATGATTTCATAAAATTATAGCCATTTATATATTAGAGACTTTTTTCTTTGACAAAAATGCTGCATGGCTTTTCAACAAATGGTGCTGGAACAATTAGATATCTACATACAAAAGAATGAAGTTGGGACCTTACCTCATAGCATACACAAAACTTAACTCAAAATGGATCATAAAAAAAATGGATCATAGGCCTCTTACAGAAGTCTAGATGTAAGAATTGAAAATGTAAGATAAAATGTAAGATATACAAATAGTCAATAGCACGTTGGAAAGATGCCCACCATTAGTCTTTTGAGAAATGCAAATCAAAACCTCAATGTGATACACGTCACACCACTAGGATGGTTAAACTAAAAAAAAAAAAGACAATAACAAGTGTTGACAAAGATGTGGAGAAACTGGACCCCTCATTCATTGTTGGTGGGAATTTAAATTATGCAGTTGTTTTGGAAACAAGTTTGGCAATTCCTCAAAAAGTTAAAGTTACCATATGACCCAGCAATTCGGCCCCATGAGTACTGAAAACATATGTTGATGCAAAAACATCTATGCAAATGTTCAAAGCAGCATTATTCATAATAGCCAAAGAGTCAAAAAGCCCAAATATGCATCAACTGATAAAAGATAAACAAATATGGTACATCATTCACCATAAAAAGGAAGGCAGTACTGATACATACTAAACATGGATGACTCTTGAAAACAGTACATGAAAGGAACCAGTCACAAAATGTCACAAATTGTATAATCCCATTCCTATTGCATGTCCATAAAAGGCAAGTCCATTGGGACATAAAACAGATTAGTAGTTGCCAGGAACTGAGGGTAAGATGGGGAAAGACTGCCGATGGGTGCAGTTTTTCTTTTTAGGGTGACAAAAATGTTCTAAAATGAGAGAGTGGTGAGGTTGTATAACTCTGTGAGTACATTAAAAACCACTGAATTGTAAACCTTAAAAAGGTGAATTTTGTGATAGGTGAGTTAAACCTCAATAAAGCTGTTATTTAAAAAAGTAATGCATGAGATTCCTATTTGAATGTCACCAAGAAGATTGTTCACTTGACACAGATTTATTCATGGTACACTCATTATATGAAGTATAGTCCTAGCCTCAGTAAAAATTTAAAAAAATTTAAAAACAGAATATATAAGTGTTTCAAACTCAACAGATTTTAGGAAGCAAACTCAAAAAAAAATCAGAAGAAAGGAGATAATAGATAAAAGCAACAATTAATGAGTTAGAAACTTAAAAAACAGTAGGTATAATACATTCAAATTTAGTTCATTAAAAAAACAACAAAGCAGACAAACCTATTTAAGAAAATAAGGGAGAAAACACAAATATAAAGAAATGATAAGGGAGAAATAATTATGGAAACAAAGGGAAGTGAACAAAATAAGGAGGACTTCACCTCAGGCCATGAGGAAATAGCAAGACATGAACTTCTTTTCCTATAAAAAGCTTCGAAACAGGACAAAATAGATTAGACAACTGTATTCAGACATTGGACAATAGATAGCACAGTACTGTGATCCCTAACAACAGATAAACACCTTTCTACCTGGAGGCGTTTTTCAGACCATGGTCGCAGAAGCAGCAACCCGAACGGGGCCCAGTGGCCTCAGAGTTGAAAGGATAGAGATCAGAGTTCAAGGAGGCTGAACCTATAAGACATTGTAAAGATGATTTCCAAAGTGGAGGGAACTACCCAGAGAAACCACTGCAGAAATTTGCAGAGGGTCTTCATGAGTGTTTGCTGAGTTTTAGGCTGTTCCTGTGCAGAGTGAATGTCAACAAAGATGGGCAAAGCATGACCAGTGAGCTGTGAGCTGACTGAATGCCCATCACACAAGGAAGGCAGATGTTTATGGTCTGGCTTGTCAGAGTGGAGAGTCCTCAGCAACACCCTGGAGTGGTCACTGAGTACCCCAGGGCAGTCACGCAGTACTGATAGGACCAAATTATTGGTGGAGCAACATTATTCTACATCTACCCTAGAAAAGCTTTAAACAAAAACAGGTCTCCAAGGGATCAGTCTAATCTTCAAATGACTTAGATGTTTTTCAAAACAAAGCCCACCACTCTATAAAGGGAAATGGCAAAATGCAAGCCCCAAAACATACCATTTATAGTATCCTGCTAAAAACTACAAGAAGCAAAAAGAAAACGTGAATAATAACTAGGAGAAATATTAACCATTAGAAGCAAATCAGAAAGGACAGAGTGATATGGTTTGGCTGTGTTCCCACCCAAATCTCATCTTGAATTGTAGTTCACATAATCCCCATGTGTTGTGGGAGGGACCAGGTGGAGATAATTGAATCATGGGGGTGGTTTCCCCCATCCTGTTTTCATGATAGTGAGTAAATTCTCACGAGATCTGATGGTTTTATAAGGGGCTACCCCCTTTACTTGGCTCTCATTCTTCTTCTCCCTGCCATCATGTGAAGAAGGATGTGTTTGCTTCCCCTTCTGCTATGATTGTAAGTTTCCTGAGGCTTCCCCAGCTATGCTGAACTGTGAGTCAATTAAACCTCTTTCCTTTATAAATTACCCAGTCTTGGGTATGTCCTTATAGCAGTGTGAGAATGGACTAATACACAGAGATTATGGAATTAGCAGACAAGGACCCTACAACAGGTATTATAAATACATTTAGGTACTTAAAAGAAAATAAAAACATAGTGAGGACAGAATTGAATAAATTTAAAAGAACCAAATGCAATTTCAAGTGATGAAAAATACAATAAATGAAATTAAAAAATTAGTGGAAGTAATATGAGTAAATTGAATAATACAGAAGAAAAAATTACAGGTTCACTGAAAGGTCACTGAAAATCAACTGACAAAAGGCAGATTAGTAGGAGAAAAAGGCATACAAACTTTATTTTAATGTGCATAGCACAGGGGAGTTGCAGGAGAATGATTGCCCAATAACCCAATGGGGTACAGATACTTATAGCCCCTTCTTCACAGGGGAAGGGAAAATGGGGGAAGTGTGGCAATCTGAGGGATAATAAATGATTTTTAGGTGGAAATAAATGGGCCTAATGGTCCGACAATGGTTAGTAAATTGGAAATTTACTAACCATTTGGAAATTGGAATGGGGCAGAAAGAAGAAATGGTTTGGGATTCTTCCTCTGTGATATGAATTTTAGTCTTCTCTGGTTAATAAAATTTCGAGGCAGGCAATTGTGTTCCTCTTTGGTAGGTCCAGTTTCTAGATAGATGAGGGAATTTTAGAGAACAGCTTTATCCTATGCTTTGGGGAGGACAGAGGACTGGGAGATGGGGGAAGGAGTTAGAACTTGAGCTGCTTCTTTAGATCAGCAATATTTTGGGGTGAAATATTGATTTTTTAGTCTCCTGTTTGAAGCTTTATTTTCAAAAGGTTTCACATATTAAAGTAGGATTGGTAGCTATGGAGAGAGAAATCAGATTAGTAATCCAGTGGCAAGCGATCTGTAAAGGGAGAAAAGAACATAGATTATGATGAGAATGAATACATAAAGAAAGAACAAATCTAAGCACTTTCAAAAATCCAATTAAACTAGTCTCTTATTTCTGGAAATTGGCCAGTCCAATTAAACAAGTGTGTTTCATTTTAAAAGATGGCATTGTAGATAGATTCTCAAAGCTAGGCCTCTATATATGATGTAGGCAAATAGAGCTTTAATAAGAGGGCTTTTATGGAAACAGAAACAAAAAACAAATGTTAATGGGTGAAATAATTTATAAACTAGTTTCTTTAGAGTCTGGAGGACAGTCAGTTGAGAAGATTAGTGGCAATCTGACAGATTTTTGTAGCCTGCATTTTGCGTGTAGAAAGTTTTGTCCAAATATAAGCTGTTGCAATAATATTCCTTCAAAGCCAAGTTGACTAGCTTCAGCCTCAGGAAAAAGGCAGTTTTAGTTTCTAATAATTCTAAGTCAGAAGGGTGGAAGAAAAATTGGAAACATTAGTCTGAGTGTCTCAGCCATATATTGGAGGAAAATAAAAATGTGTGATTCAGTCCAGATACAAAGCTCAGAAACAAATGGACAAGGCTAGAATGTAATAACAGGCATATGTGAAGTTTTTTTCTATGACATAATTTTTTCTCTCGAATCCTCCCATTTCAACCAAAGATAATCATAGACAGACTGTTTTGTTTAAGTTTAGTCTTTGACCTGATTATTTACAAAAGTTTAGTAAGAATGATGAATGACCTATAGGCTTGTTCTAAGTTGGCTTTGCTGGAATATTTTCATAAAGAATCTCAGATTAGACTTTTTAAAAAGCCCCTTGGCTTCCTAGCTATGTTAAGAAGTCAAGCCAAAAATCTGACTCAGTCTCAGACTGTGTCTGTAATACCTGTATAAATGGATGAATACCTCTTTTCTCAAGGTCCCTCAAATAACTTGAGGTTCATGGGCCTGTCATAAGGTGACATTCATTACTCACCACAAAATCAGGAAGCTTGTAAGGGAATCATGTAGACAAGGTACAAGGCCAGTCTCTCCAAGGGACATTTTATCAGCTCCACAAAAGTCAACTTCAGTCCTCAAAGCAATCTGATCATATCTAAAAATATTGTATTTCAGTCAGAGCCTTGGTAAAATAACCAGTGTTTCCAGTTGTGTCTTGTTATAAAAGAGAATGAGTTCTTACTGAACTTATGAAATAATTGTAAAGCCATAAAGTAAGAATACTCATGAAGAATTTCTGAATTCTGAAGGGATCAGGTAGAGAGAAAGGTAAATGTTTCAACTTTTTTCACAGAAATATACTTTGTCTATAGCTTTTACTGTAAAGCTATAGATAGCTTAAGAGAAAACAGTTTTCTTAACTCTCAAAAATAAAACTTGAAAAGGATAAGCAATGTTTCAAACAAAAGAATCATAAAAAATTATTTCAGTCCTTCACCATTTCAGCTCTATGTAATTAATTCTTGTTCTGCTTGACATTAGGTTAGCAATTTTATGAGTCAATTTTTTTTTCATTAGAGTTCTGGAATTTTAACCAGTCCAATGAATGGTATGTTCTCAAAGTTTTCTAAAAACCTTTTAACTTACTAAAAAGGTTTTTGAAATGATGACAACTTTTATTCTTGTTTATTGCATTTACATTTACCTGATTTACTCATTCTTAACAATTATATTTGAATTGCTCATAGAAAATAAAGCTAGCCATTTAAGTGATTTTTAATTTTAATTTATTATTTATTTTATTTCATTTTTTTCAGACAGGGTCTCACTCTGTCACCCAGACGGGTGTGCAGTGGCATGATCATGGCTCACTGCAGCCTTGATTCCAAGGGTGAAGTGATCTTTCCACCTCAGCATCCCAAGTAGCTGGGACTACAGGTACACACCATCACATTCAGCTAATATTTTTCTTTTTCCTTACTCAGCTAATTTTTAAATTTTCTGTAGAGATGGTGTCTCACCATGTTGTCCAGGAATGATCTTGAACTCCTGGGCTCAAAGGATCCTCCTGCCTTGGCCTCTCAAAGTCTTGGGATTACAGGTGTGAGTCACTATGTCTGGTCTATTTTTTAAAAGGCAACACGAGGCTAATCCTGTGTCAGCAAGCAGTTTATCCTACCAAGGCCTTTGAGATACTGGGCACAGACACCCCCCGCAATGTCCCTCCCACAGCCATCCTGGGTATCCAGGAAAGCTCTGAAGGGCAGGGCCCATCTGGGTCCTAGAGTTACATATCAGATGTAGAGCCCAGGACAGAGGATAGACTTTTGAAGAAAATGTCTAGAGGATCCAACCCCACTGAGCATGGCCAGGAGGTATAGCTGGGCCAGGGAAGACGGGGCCGTATTGGGCTTGGCTCTGCCCTGCAGCTGGTGGCTTAGGCACTGTAGACCCACGTGTCCCCAGGCCTCACCATAGCCACCTGTCCAGAGCCCAGAATCCAGAAGCTCAAAACCAAAGATATAAGCTCACAGTAAGATGTATGTAAGGTTGGGGGAAACCCAGCAGCCAGCCCACAGCACAGTTTTAGCTCACAGACAAATCAAGCAAGTATTAAAAATATCACAGAAGCAACAATTTTGTAACCTTAAAATGTCTATAAGAGACAGCATAAATCTGTCTGACCAGTAGACCCAGGCAAAAACGTCGCATTAATAATGACAATTCTGAAGGCATTTTCATTTTATTTTACCAACAATTTAAAAATTAGCTTTATTTACCAAAGATTTATTACAGTCATGTAAACTTGAATAGCATTTAAGCTTATCTACTTAATTCAAGAGTGTTTATTTTAAGATCAATTTGGTATTATGTAGACAATATAGAAACACAGGTATAATAATCTACATACATGTCGACACAACATACACCACCACATGCATACATGATATGTATCTAAAAACCAAAGAGATCCAGGAATTCAGTGCAAAAGAGAGCAGACCTTTAGATCTGAGAAGAAGCTGATTATGACTTTTGAGGCTCATGAGGAAGACAGAGGACCCCAAAAGAGAGGGTCAATAGTGCCTTTTCTGTGTTCTGCTCGGGTTCTCAGCATTGCTGAAAGTTTCCTTTAGATCTTTGTGGTGGCCAGAGTGCTGTTGCTTCCTTTTAGTAATTTTTATCAACTGATTACCAAATGAAGGAGGGAGGGGATTAACTGGATGAAAGATTGAAGGTGCCAAAAGGAAAGAGGAGAAAAAGTAAATGGACCAAGTCTTAGGGGAGTCAGTTTGGGAGAATCTTAAGTTTCCCAAAAGGTCAATGAAGTTTTAGTTAGCAGGGGTTCAAAAAAGAGGGGTCTTGTTGACTAAGAAGTTTCCATAGGAGAGATAGAATTTAAAAGAGAAGAGAGAAGATTAGCTTTTAATTAAACTGACTTTCGACCATAGAGCTCTGTAAAATTAAAAAAAAAAAAATACAAGCAGCAAATTTTCTGTTATGTGAGCAGCCAGCCTTTTGTGAGAGCTGAGAGACTGAGGAGGGGAGCATTGGCAGTGGTGGTGGGAGCAGCACCTCTCTTTTGCCACCTAAGAAGGTCTTTGGTTCCCAGTGGTGGTGGGAGATACATCTCTCTGATCCAGTAGAGGATGCAAGATAAACAGAAAAAAAACTTGCTATCACATTCTAAAAATAGAGTTTTAAACCAGAAGTATTCCTAAGTGAATTACTCAAAACCAAAACAAATAAGCATACATGAGAATAAAACCAAGAAGCCCTTTATGGGTTTAACCCAAGTCTCCAAAAGAGAAGCAAAAGTTGCAACCCTTCCAAGATCTAGACCCCTCCCAGTGACAGCTTAAAGCAAGGAAAGTGTCACCAGTCACAAATGAAGTACAGCCCACATCTCTGTCTGGTCATATTTTCTAGAGACCAAACTTCTCAGCTGTCCATCTACACACAATGGCCCAGCAATCTGTGTGCCCCATAGATGGAAAATTAAAAGCGACAGTTAGTTAGACAACAGAAAATGAAAAGTTGTCTATATGAGAAGAAAGAATACAAACAAATGGGTACCTCAAATGTTGAGTCATACAAATATAAATTCAAAACGAATAATTCAAACTAGTTTTTATAAATGTTTCCTTCTGAATTAAAGGATTTACATTTTCAAGGGGCCGATTCCCTGACCAGAGAACTAAATCAAACCCAGACCACAGTGGTAAATGCACAGAATCTTAAATACCAGACCATAGGCTGGAGTGACTTTTTTACAAATTCCCCTGGAAATTCAAAGTTGGCAGTTTGAGTGTTCAAAGAATTTTAACTTTTGTTTTAGGTCAAATTTTTGCTTTTTAATTTTGTCAGAATAATTTTTAAGACTAGCCATCCCAATATTACATGTCTTTCTTTTAATTTGGTTCTCTCATCAATACAAATAAGGCAACTGCTTAGGGCAAGAGATCTTCAAATTTTGTTTTCAAATATATAAGTCTTTCTAATTCAAAAAACTATTATCTGGCCATTGATGATTAGACTTTCCAATGGTGTACTTATTTTAATAGCAACTCAATCTAATAAGCCTCTTTATGGGAAGATCAGGAGGCATAGAAGATGCAGCCTCCATGATCCCCAAAAATTCACTCCCAGAAATAGGCTAAGATAGCAAAAGATCTTTGTTGCCACAGGTGATTAAGGATGGTATTTGTGTGAATGATGTCTCTGTTCTCCACACAAGTACATGGACACATGGACACTCGGCTGTACCATCAGTTATAGATCCACCAACTTCTGGGATTGGATTTGCCCAGCACTAACCAGGCAACAAAGATTGAGACAACAAAGCCCCTTGTGGATGAGGCTCCTTATTAAGACAAACCATCCTGAGAGCCTAGCATGTTAGCAACAGAGCACGCTGCTTAAAATTTTATGCATCTTGGGTGTCCCAGTCCTTTCAGACTGGCCACCACACATGATCTGAAAATCACACACCCTGGATAGCAGAGACCAAAAAGAGAAATGCTCCCACTTGGTCACAAAGAAAGCTTTCAAGGACATAAAACAAAAGGAGAGGGCAACCTCATTCTGTTTTCATTTTGGAGACCCGCAGCACAATTTTTCTAAATAGGTGCTGGAGGTCTGCTGAGAACTATAAAACTCACCGGTCTGTGGAAGCTGGCTTGAACAACAGGCTTATGTTTTAGGCCTATGTTCTACCCTATGGTACCCCTGTTTATGACAAAATGACACAGGGAGACAAAGATAAACAAAAAGCAAAGACTATTTCTGGGCATAAATGGATCAGACAATATGAATATTCATACCAAAAATACACCAGAGTCACCGCACCTAACAATAGTCATACAAATGCTTTTCTCCCATTAATCTTAAATGTAAAAAGGAAAAATAGACAAAAAGTAATTTTTACCATCTGCTCAACCAGATTCCACAGAGAGAGACTGGGAGTCTGGTACCAGATTCCACAGAGAGAGACTAGGAGTCTGGTAACAGTTTCTTACTCTTATATTGGCCTCTCAGGTCCTGAGTTCCTTTGGTTGTGGCTTCCAGAAAAGCAGAGCAGTTTTGGATATGCTGCTCACAGCACCAAATATATAAGAGTAAAGGGGGAACATTTCCCTCTTCATCCTCTGACTGTTTGCTGAAAATCAACAGAGAAAAGCAGACTCATAAGAGAAAAAAGGCATACAAACTTTATTTTAATGTGCATAGCACAGGGGAATTGCAGGAAAATGACTACCCAATGGGGTATGGATGCGTATATACTCTTCTTCATAGCAGAAGGGAAGATGGGGGAAATGTGGATGGTTTGAGGGATAGTAAGTGATTTTCAGGGGCAAAATGAATGGGCCTCATACTCAGACAATGGCTAGTAAATAATAGTCTTTGGAAATTGGAGAGGACAGACAGCAGACAACGGTTTGGGATGAGTTCATCTGGTGTTTAATTTTCAGTCTCTTCCTTTTGATATGAGTTTTAATCTTCTCTGGTTAATGAAATTTTAGGGAAGAAAAGTGTGTTCCTCTTTGGTAGGTCCAGTTTCTAGGTAGATAAGGGAACTTTGGAGAGCAGCTTCATCCTGTGCTTTGGGAGAGACAGAGGATTGAGAGATAGGAGAAGGGATCAAAGAGACCTTGAGACTGCTTCTTTAGCTCAGCCACATTTTGGGGTGAAATATTCTGGTTTCCTTTAAGATCAATGAACTTGTAGATATAGCAATGGGATTTATCCAAAATGAAGCCTAGAGAGAAAAATGACTAAGAAAAATTGTATGGAGCTACAGAGATCTGTGGAAAAATATAAAGTCATCTAATGTAATGGTAACTGAAATTCCTCAAAGAGAAAAGACAAAACATTTGAAGAAATAATGTCTGAAATGTCTCCAAATTGGATGAAAATTACAGAGCTAGAGATCCAAGAAGCACAACAAACCCAAAATAGAATAAATACACACATACACCCCCCAACCACACACCCCATAATAAAGCATTATAATAAATAGCTAAAAACAAGTGGTAGAAATATTCTTAAAAGCAGAGAGGGAAAATAGATATATGTACAGAGGAACAGTAAGAATGACTGCAGACTTCTTGTCAGAAGCTATGCAGACCAGAAAACTTTAAAGAGCAATAGATAGATAGACAATAAATCCTGTTAACCTATAATTATATATTCATGAAAAATAATTCTTTGAAAATGGAAGTCACATAAAATATTTTTCAGACAAATACAAGCTACAAGAATTCACTTCCAGCAGACCTACACTACAATAAATTTAAATCAAGTCCTTTAAATCATGGGAATATAAAACCTACGATCACATAGAAACTTGGATGTATACACAAGAATGGAAAGGGCTGATATTGATAAATATTTGAGTAAATATAAAGGGTTTTTTGCCTCATTTAAACATTTTGTTAAAAGATAATTTAATTTTTTTTCTTTTTTCTTTTTTTTTTTTTTTGAGACAGAGTCTTGCTCTGTCACCCAGGCTGGAGTGCAGTGATGTGATCTCAGCTCACTGCAGCCTCTGCCTCCTGAGTTCAAGTGGTTCTCCTGCCTCAGCCTCTGGAGATCTGGGACCACAGGCATGTGCCACCATGCCAGGCTAAGTTTTGTATTTTTAGTAGAGTTGGGGTTTCACTATGTTGGCCAGGCTGGTCTCAAACTCCTGATCTCAAGAGATCTGCCCACATAGCCTCCCAAAGTGCTGGGGTTACAGGCATGAGCCACCATGCCTGGCCCATTATTTGCCTTAAATAATGTAATATTTAAGGCAAAAAGAGTAGAAATGTATTTTGCAGTTAAAATAAGGTGAGAAATAAAGTGTACGACAATAATAGCACAAAGATAGCAGGCAAAAATAGAAATATGATGTCCTAAGGATTATACATGAAGTAGCATAATATTATATCTATATGGACTGTGAAAAGTTAAATTTGAATATTGTAAATCTTAGAAGAACTACTTAAAATAATAAAAGACTATAGCTTATCAGCCAATAGTGTCTATAAATAGAGTAGAAAAAATATATTCCAAAAGAAAGTGGAAATTTAGGGGAAAAGAAATAAAAAAGGGATGAGACGAATAGAAAAAAAAGGGAGATGGTAGATTTAAATTCAACCATGTTGATAATTACATAACATGTCACCCCAATCAAAAGACAGAGCTTGTTAAAAATGAAAGACAAAACTGTGTGCGAGCTGCAAGAAACTTAATTATTGTTATTATTTAAATTTTTAAATTTAAATTTTAGATTCGAGTGGTATGTGTTTGTTACAAGGTTTGTCGCAGGTTTATTGCAAGATTAGTTATATCGTGTGATGCTGAGGCTTAGGCTTCTATTGATCCCATCATCCAGATAGTGAACATAGTATCAATAAAAAGTTTTTCAGCCCTTGCCACCTTCCTGTCTTCCCTCCTTTTGGAGTTCCCAGTATCTCTTGTTCCCATCTTTATGTTCACATGTATCTGAGGTTTAGCTCCCACTTATAAGTGAGAATATGCAATATTTATTTTCTGTTTCTGAATTAATTTGCTTATAATAATGGCTTCCAGCTGCATCCATGTTGCTGCAAAGATCATTATTTCATTCTTTTTTTATGGCTGCATGGTATTCCATGATGTATATGTACCACATTTTCTTTATCCAAGAAATTCACTTCACATGTGATAACAAAAATAGGTAAAAGATAGAAATAGATATTTCATGCAAATAATAAAAATAAAGTAAGACTGGCTGTATTAACATCAGAGAAAACAGAAATCAGAAAAATGATTATTAGCAGGGATGAAGAAGGACGTTTTATACTGACAAAGGGTCAATGCATCACAAAGATATAACAATCTTAAATGTGTATGCACACAATAAATGAAGCAAAAACTGATAAACTGGGAAGAATGGGTAAATCAACAATCATAGTTGGAAATTTCTGCATTCTTTTCCTAATAACTTACAGAAGAAGTAAACAGAAACTCAGCAACACTATTTACTGAATAGTGAATAACACTATTTACCAACTTGACTAATTGATGTAAATATGTCCATGTAATAGCAACAGAATGTTCACTCTTTTCCAGTGCACATGGAACATTTGCCAAGATAGGCCATGTGCTGAGCCAAAGACCAAGCCTCAACAAATTTAAAAGGATTGAAATCATAAAAAGTTTATGTTCTGCCTATAATAGAATTTAATAAGAAGTCAACAACAGAAGAATCTGGAAAGCCCCCAAATATGTGGAAATTAAACAACATATTTCTAAATAACCCATGGGTCAAAGCAGAAATAACAAGGAGGATCAAAAATATTTTGAACTAACTAAGAACAAAAACGCAGCATATTAAAATAGGTAAGATATGGCTACAAACAGATCAAAACTTCCACTTCAAGATGCTAGAAAGAAGCAAATTAAATCCAAAAATAGGAAAAGGGAAATAATAAACATAAAAGCAGACATGAATTAAATTTACCAAAACTAAAAAAATAAATGAAACCCACAGCAGGTTCTTTGGGGAAAAATTAATAAAATTAATAAACCTCTAATTAGATTTATGCAGAAAAAAAGAGCGAAGACACAAATTCCCGCATCAGGAATGAAAGTGACACATCACTACAGATCCTACAGACTTTAAGAGGATAATAAGAAAATATTATGAACAACTTTATTTTGACTACTTTGATAACTTAAATAATTCTTTGTTACAGTGTTACTTCGTATTAGAGAGAATGTTTTTATTCTCAGGCGATAGATGCAAAAATATTTAAAGTGCAGCTCACTTTCAAACGGTTCAGCCAAATGTCGATGATTTTTGAATCTAAGTGGTGAGTATACAAATGTTCCTCGTATTCATCTTTTATCTTTTTTGTATATTTGAAAATTTTTGGAATACAAAGTTGGAAAAAATAAATCATGCACAAAAGATTGCCAGTAGAGCAGCTGCCGTTCAAGTTGAGTCATTTGAAACAGGGCTTATGATGGGAAGGATAGTGTCATGATCTTTTGACCATGAGATCAGGGTTGTGACCTTCCTTTTGTTTCAGGATGAAGCTTCTTGGTGATGTAACAGTCTGTGGAAACTCCCACAGGACAAATGCAGAAAGGAAGGACCTAGATCACTGGATGGTCAACGTTGCCCCTTGCACAGCAGCAAAGGCCTATACAAATTTTTTGAGTAGCTTTATCTAGTGGTTCAGCTACTGGGAATAACTTGTAAAATCCCCTGGATAGTCAACAGCATTGGGGCTTGCTTTGTAAACAGAGACCTGACCTACTTAATTCTTCCCAGAGGTTGGAAAAAGAGGCTGGACTCACACAGACATGAAACCTTGGCTTAATTGGACACTAATTACTCATAAGAGATCTGTTTACCCGAACTTCCCCTAGACCAAGCTCAGTATAAAATGAGAGGATGCATAAAGAAGCAAGATATTTAGAGGAAAATGTCACAAATACATTTATCAGTCCCAAAAGTCCTTTTTTTTCCCCAGAAGTGATGTTGCTAATTGCACAAAAATAAACAATACAGGGGTTGATAAATTCCACATTTAAGGGCTGAGGATAGTGTCCCTACATTTCTAAGAAGCTGTATATTTGGAAATGAATACAATTGAAAGTAAGGATAAGTGGCATTCTAAAGCCAATTGGATAACTTGAATGAACAAGCAGAATTTACCATATTTTGATATGTTTCTTTTTGATTAAAGTATCTGTAAAGGAAACAAATTATAGTATTGCTATAGATTTTATTACTGAACAAGAAAAAAAGGCTTGATGTTGTGCATTTCCTTTTGGCCTTTGGTCTTGGCTGATATTGGGCATCCAATGAGCTTCTTTGTCTTGAATGAAGACTTAAGAGGGAGTGAAAAGTAGGAAGAGCATCAAAACTTCTTTGCAGGATGTAATCAAACCACCTACTACTTATTGTCTTACGATCCATTTATTCAACAAATGGAACATCTCAATTGCTTGATGCTATTACAGACACTAGGTATAGTCTTAGAAAAACAAATTGCTGTTTTTATATAGCTTGTGTTATGGGTTGATGTAGTACAGTCAAAATTATTTAAATAAAGGAAGATGTGAGGAAGACTTTGAACTTAGAAATCTGGGTTCTCATCCAAGCTTTGCTGCTAGCTTGTTGGGGGAACCTTGGGTGATGAGTTGGTTGACTCCTTCCAGATCTCAGCGTTCATCCATCAAGTGAGGGAACTTGACCAGATATTCAATAATGGCCCTTCCAGCCCCATCTCTATATGAAAGGGAAACCACAGTATGGGCCCATGGGGAAGATCATGGACTTTGGAGTAAAACATTTCTGGCTTGGTCAATTATTTAATCTCTTGATCCCGATCAATTCATGTAACTACTCTGACCCTCAGTTTCCTTGCTGCAAAATGAGATACTAATATTTGCTCAAATAAGATAACAGGCAAAACAATCATGAGGGCTCCTGGCACACCACTGTGCATGGCTTTTGCTCCCTTGGGGAGCTTATAAATGAAAAAAAGATTTTACAATGCAAAGACAGTAAGCATTTTGTTAGTGAAGCAACAAAATAATTGGGCAATTTCCTCTCAATTGCACCATCAACTGATGCCCAACCTAGAAAGCATTTGGCTAAGAATGGAAAAGGAATCTTTGCCCAGATCCCTCAATTTTGACCATCATGGCATATACATGAATTGGCAGACTAAATTTATGCTCCTTTTGAAAACTGTGTCCATTCCAAGAAGTCAGGCTATTTTCACCCAGCCTGGTCTAGGCAGTGGGACTCCCCAAGGCTACAAGCAGAGCCACAGTGCTCTGGGCTGGGCTGCCACACTGTCATGCTGGGGCAAAGATGGCAGCAGACAGCTCTCTTGGGTAACAGCAGGAAGCTCTTTTCACAAGAGTGATCTCATCTCTTAGGGGACTATGGTAGAAACACAGGGCAAAAGCTATAGGAATGGTCCAACATAATAACTGTTTTTTTTTTTAATTTTCAAAACATGATAAATGATTAAGAATATAAAACTGGAATTTAGAACTTACAGAGAACTTGTATGAATAAATTAAAAAGACAACCTAATTTTAAAATGGGCAGAAGTCTTGGGCAGGCACATTACAATATAGCAGGGGTCACCAAATTAAAGCCTCACCAGCAAAATCCACCTCCCATCCCAGCCTGTTTTTATAAATAAGCTGTGTTGGAACACAGCCAATCCCATTCATTCACACATTGCCCATGGCTGCTTTTGCTTGACAACAGCATAGTTGAGTAGTAGGGACAAGACCATATGACCTCCAAAGCCAGAGATATTAACTGTCAGGCCCTTTATAGAGTGATTCACGGAGACCCCCATAATAGAGGAAAATACAAGTGGCCAATAGCACATAAGAAGATGCCCAGTATTACAGCCAAGAGGAAAATGCAAATTACACCCACAGTAAGATACCATTATGCATCCATTAGAAAGGCTAAAATTAAAAGGACTGACAACAACAAGTGTTGACAATGGTGGGTAACAGCAAGAGCTCTCATACACTGATGGTTGAAGTGTAAATTGGTTCAGTTTTGGAAAAGAGTTTGGAGGTGTCTACTACAGTTAAACATACATATTTCCATGCCCCAGAAACTCCTGGGCATATTCTCAAAAGAAACGAGGGCTGTGGCCACCAAGAGACATGTGTGAGAAAGGTCCTAGCACCTTTATATATCATAGTCCCAAACAGAAAACAACACATACCCATCCACGTTAGGATGAACTAAATAAATTGGGGCATATGCATTCAATGGAATAGTACATAGCAATGAAAAAATAAACTGTTGCCCCATGCAAAGATGTTTTACAGACATAACGTTAAGCAGAAGAAAGCAGATCTCAAGGAGCCCACATTGTACAATTCCGATCTATATGAAGCTCAATAACACATGGTACTAGAAGTTGTAATAGCAGTTACCTGTAGGACTGGAGGTTTGTATTGAAAGAGAAGGAACATCAGGAAGTCTGCTGGAGCCTGGAAATGTCTGAGATGTTGCTCTGGGAGGCAGTTGCATGGCTGTAGACATATGTAAGACATTATTGGATGGTATACCTGAGATTGGAGCACCTACAATAGAAGGTACAGTGTTACATCTCAGTGAAAAAGAGAAAATATTAAAGAAGAAAAAGACTGTGGATCATTTTGGACTTGAACCTTATGCAGTAGTGGGTACTACAGAGTCATGTCTCAACTACAATTCAAACTGCAATACCTTTTAAGCTTTGTGTTGAAAAGAATGAATATTTGGGAATGTAATTCTGTGTTTGTGATAAAGTCCTCCATAATAACTGATTCAAAGCAAAGGAGACTACAGTTTCCCCTGGTGCCCTGCCCCTGTCTCTGATTGGTGCATGTTTGTTGGGACATCTACCAGAGGGGATTAATGCCCCAGGCTAATGCCACTCCCTGTGCCCAACTCATATCAGGTGGCTGGGGGGCAGGCAATCCAGAGCCTTCTTGCTTCCCCAGTGAGGGATGGACAGCCCAGGAAGTGCCCTCCAAAGGGCCGGCCTGTCCCATGGATTGTCCAGGAGGAGGACAACACAAAGGCGAGGTTGTTTCTCGGTGAGCCCATGCCTGGCCTTGCAGAGCAAATACTGGGGATCATGCATCACGCCTCCAACAGGCAAGTGGCCCCACGCCCATAAGCCACAGGATGCCAGGGATGTGGGATTGGAGCTGCCCTGTGGGTTTTCTCAACGAAGTAAATACCTCCGAAGAAATTTGGGTCCTCTACCGCTCTCAGTCAGTTGCTTCCTGACTGGTCCACATGTGCTGGGATTCTGGGTTCAACTGGATCATACCATCGTGGAGGGCTGGAGCCACATCAGAAATGTCCCTGTAGCTCCTGCCTCCACAACTACAGGCCTGTAACGCTGCTCGCCCTAAGTGGTCAGTTAACACAGTGCATGGATGGTCTGGTCCACGAATGCCTTTTCCGGGCGTGTTTGACTTACAGCCATCTCTGTTCTCACTACGAAGACAGGAGAGGAGCTTCATAGAGGTGAAGTCAGTGGAAGATGCTCCAACCCTCCTTTGAACACACCTGCAACAAGGAAACCTATCTGATTTCCCCAGCTTTCCTCCCTCCTGTCTTGTGGCAGAGCAGTGCCTCCCTGCAGCTGACTTAGAGCAAACCAAACACAATTGGACCTGTTTTCACCGAGCAACTTGCAGTGTTTTGCCCAGATTCCAGCAGTGAACTCAATATCATTGGATGGGTTCATAATGCATGCATTTGTTCATACCAGGGAATTCCCTGGAAGGTTACTTGTAAAATAAATATCTTGTAAAACGGGGGAATTAATTTATCTATGTTCTTTTTCTTACTGGTTCTGTCTCCTTATAAAAATATGGAGAATGGTTATCAGGCATACATCACTTTTTCTTTTAATGGCTGGTTCAGGCTAATTAGATTCCAGGTTTCAGGTTTCGCAATGGCTGTATTTTGAAGTGTTCATGTGGCCCTGTGTGTGTTTCCTGTGGCTGGCTTAGTAAGCACCACAAACAGCTTGGCTTAAAACACCAGAAATGTATTCTCTCACGGTTCTGGAGATCAGAAATGTGAAATCCAGGAGTTGGCAGGATTGGCTCCTTCTAGTAGCTTCTATGCCTCTTCCAAGCTCCTGGTGGTTGCTGCAGTCCTTGGCATTCCTCGGCTTGTTGCTCCATCCCTCCAACCTCTGCGTTGGCCTTCACTTGGCTTCTTCCCTGTGTGTCTCTGTGTCTCTGTTTTCTTTCCTTATAGAGGACACCAGTCATTGGATTTAGGGCCCACTTTGATTCAGAATGATGTTATACTAACTCATTACATCTGTAAAGACCCTTTTTCCAAATAAGGTCCCATTCTGAGGTTCCGAAGAGGCCATGGATTTTGGAGCGATAACTATGAAACCCAGTCCAAGCACCATGCACCCAATGCTCATTTCCATCAGCCCACTTTTTGCCAGTGGGTAGAGAGATCTGCCTGTGACCACATGATAGGAAGTGGATGGATGTCAGGCCTTATGATCTGGAAGGAGAATGTCTGGATCAAGTGATGGGGAGGAGAATGAAAGCTGGAGAGCTGGTTGCCATGGTGACTCCTTCTTCAGTCTCCCAGCTTCCATAAAGTCCTGTTCCTCCTGCCATAGGCTTGGATTATTCCTGAGTCAACACGCTGTACTTTCAGGGCCTTGTGGGTGGCCAGTAGCCTTCCCTCCTCACTTGATTGTTTGGGGACCAGGGATGTGGCAGCTCTGGAGGGGGTTAGGACAGGGCTGTCTTTCAAGGAGGGTGACGATCACATGAGTCCCAGTTGAAGGAGGAGACTTGATTTGTTATTCTAGCAATGGGTAGAAGACTGGCTGGAGGCTGACTCAACATACAACAGCTCACACAGCTTTCTTGGGGCTTAGTCTTCACTGGTAAGGCCAGAGTTCTCACTGGACTTTTATGTCAACTGATGGCAAGGACTTTAAGATTTAGTGTGGTCACTAATGTATTATGGAACCTGAAGAACTGGGTGAGGGCCTTGCTCTGAAAACTGCACCTGGAGACTTCACCTAGGGCATTTTCTATGGGAGTATTTAGGTGGAACAGTCTAGTCTATGCCTAGGCAGTCCTGGGCACTCTTGCAAGTCTCAAATTTCACAACCACTGTTCCCCTTTTTCTCCTCCAGAGAGTTAACTGAGATAGCTAGGTGCTGACTTTGCCAAGGGAAAAAATGTATTTTTTTAATTCGCAGGCAATTTTATTTTATTTTATTTTTTATTTTTTATTTTTTTTTTGAGACGGAGTCTCGCTGTCGCCCAGGCTGGAGTGCAGTGGCGCAATCTCGGCTCACTGCAGGCTCCGCCCCCTGGGGTTCACGCCATTCTCCTGCCTCAGCCTCCCGAGTAGCTGGGACTACAGGCGCCCGCCACCTCGCCCGGCTAATTTTTTGTATTTTTAGTAGAGACGGGGTTTCACCGTGTTAGCCAGGATGGTCTCGATCTCCTGACCTCGTGATCCGCCCGCCTCGGCCTCCCAAAGTGCTGGGATTACAGGCGTGAGCCACCGCGCCCGGCCCCCAGGCAATTTTAATAATAAATCTTAATAGATGGGGTAAGAGCTGCCTTCATCCCATACAGAGAATACAATGGTGCTAGACTAAGTAGAGATTTTATTTCAGCTTAAAGATTCTGTTTGATGTCTGAAATTACATGTTTAGGCGGCATGGGGAACAGGACTGTTCTTTAGCATCAGTTTCACAATTACTTTAATCTACTAGGTTTCATTCACCTTATAATTCTGAAATTTCATCAGCAGTGGGAACAGAAAAGGATATTCACATGCCAGCCCCAAATTGGCTGTGATTGAAACTAATGATACAATTACAGCAATGAGTGTTTGCAACGGTTGATGATCAGGTACTGGTGTGGGATGAAATAGCAGATAAGTGGTGCTTGTGGGTGATGTGAGTCTCCATTGATCTGTTGAATTAGGTGCCTCTTCCTCTGGCATCACTGACAATTCTTGGTGGGGCCCGAAGATGGGGGTGGGTTACACTCTGGGTCAATTTCTTCTCCTCTCTCTGATGTGCTGAGGCCCATGGATTCCGTGAACAAGTGTGGGCTCTGTTTGTTCAGCCCTTGAAAAAGCTCAAGGGAAGATGTCTCCTAGGCAGTGGTAGCTCCTTCCAATTTCTGTGGTCGGAGGTTCTCCCTGCATATGGGAGCCCAGAGCCCGAGGCTCTGGATCTTCTCCCAGGAGAAGCCTGCAGTGGGCCTGATGGGCCATGGCCAAGGCTGAGCCTTCAGCTCTTTGTCCCTGCTGTGTTCCCTGAGAAGGCTTGGAAGTAGGGCAAAAGCCATGCACTCCTCTACAGCCCCACAGAGGGAGTATCAGGACAATGGAAAGGGAGTGATTCCCCCAGAGGAAGAATGCCTTGTGGACTCACACAGAGGAAGTTTGTTATGACTTTGATACTTGGAAGGCATGAGCCCAGTTGTAGCTGTGAGCTGTCTGACCTTATTTGTTGCGATGGACTCCACTGTGACTCTGGACAGAGCATTCTATTGAAGACAGTTTGCATATCAGCCGGATTATTATAAAATATACCAATAAGATTCTTCCTCCTGAAAGTGGCAGAAACTCAGATCAAACTGCCTTAAGCTTCTAAGGGGACTCATTGACTTGGGTAATTGAGCGCATTAGCGTATGGCGCTTTATGGATAGCTGGATCCAGAGTCACAGATGCTATCAGGATTCTTTCTCTTTCTTTTAGCTCTACTACTTTCTCTGCAATAGGTTAGTTCTCCAAAAGGAACAAGACGGCCACTGGAGCCCCAGGATTACAGGATCCTTTGTGTTTGGGATCTTATGGAATCCTGGACCTGCTTGGGTCACGTGCCCACTTCTGTGCTGAGGAGTTGGAAGTCATTTTCAGGTTGAGGAGGGCATCCCCAGAAAGCCAGAGAAGGGGGCAGAAATGCAGGTGAGCTCAACACCAGGCCTCCGCTACCGAATGTCAGGACACCAGCCTTCCTGAAGGGACATGTTAGGTGGACACCCAGTGAGAACCTATGATAGCAACCAGCAGCAGTTGGAGGAGGGCTGGGTGCGGCAGCTCACGCCTGTAATACCAGCACTTTGGGAGGCCGAGGTAGGCGGGTCACTTGAGCCCGGGAGTTTGAGAACAGCCTGGGCAACATAGTGAGACCACATCTCTACTAAAAAAATAAAGAAAAATTAGCTGGGTGTGATGGTGTGTATTCATCATCACTGCTATGAAGAACTCCTGAGACTGGGTAATTTATGAAGAAAAGAGGTTTAATTAACTCAAAGTTCCATAGGCTGTACAGGAAAGATGACTGAGAGGCTTCAGGAAACTTACAATCATGACAGAAGGTGAAGGAGAAGCAAGGACATTCCTCACAAGGTGGCAGGAGAGAGGGGGTGGGGGGAAGTGCCACACACTTTTAAGCCATCAGATCTCATGAGAACTCACTCACTATCTCGAAAATAGCAACGGAGAAATCTGCCCCCATGATCCAATCACCTCCCACCAGGCCCTTCCCCTAACACTGGGAATTACAATGCAACATGAGATTTGGGTGGGGACACAGAGACAAACCACACCACAGTGCATGCCTGTAGTCCCAGCTACTTTGGAGGCTGAGGCAGGAGGATTGTTTGAGCCTGGGAGTTCAAGGCTGCATTGCATTCCAGTATCCTGGGTGACAGAGCGAGATTGTATCTCAAAAGAAAAGAAAAAGAAAAAGAAAAAGTTGGAGGAAAAAAAAATTTAATAGCAGAAAAAATAGGAGTCTTCATACTGACAGCCTCACAACTCAGAGAACTTGAAAAATGTTATGTAGACAATGGCAATAAAGGGCTGACACGTCCCTGTGCACTGGTGAACACAGAACCTTCTTGAGGCTGTGCCCTTCAGCTTCGTTTGGAATTTGACATTTTAAAAAACACTCCACCCACAGGTTTCCTTTGAGAGACTAGAGTGTCTTTGAACTTAATATTCAGGTAAATAAAAAGACCACTTGGAAGAAAATTATCTCCTCTGAAAAGCTTGTCACTTAACACTTGTTTATTAGGAGAACTACAAAAAAGTCAGCAAAATGGCAGAATTCTTCTCTGACATTTAAAGCTTTCCATGTGGTTTGCCACTGAGAACAAGGTGTATGTTCTTTTCAATTGCCTAAATCTTGCTGCCCCAGCTGGGAACTTTGCTGCAGAATCCAGAGAAGTGACTCTTCAGGGTCTGAGAATGAACTTGGATGGAAAAAAATACGTTTTTATTTTTACTAATTTCCAACAGATATCAAGCATTTTATTCAACTATGGAATGGAAGCAACAGATTACAGCAGCATTAACAAGACCTGGGATACCATCACCAATCAAAATCATGGATATTTCATAGCACAAGAACGTTGTTTCAGAATCTCAAAGTACTCCTCCTACTCAACATGACTTTGAAATTGCAATAGTTGTTAGAACGGTCACTGCAGTTTGATATATGATGTGTTTACAAAGAGGCACATATATTGCTCTTTCAGAATTATAACTCTGTATGCATTTCAATGTAATTGGTTTCCTTTGTCATCTTCTGAATTTTATGTATTTAAAAATATTATTCTGATGTTAATACACAACAAAGAAAGGATAGAATTTTCAATAAATGGTGTTGGGGAAATTGGATATCCATATACAAAAAATAAAAATAAAATTGGATTCTTATCTTAAACCCTACACAAAAATTAACTCAAAATGGATTAAAGACATAGACATAAGACCTGAAACTTTAAAATTACTAGAAGAAAACATAGGGGATGACACTGGTCTGGGCAATAACTTTTTGGATATGACACTAAAAGTACAAGCAACAAAAGCAAAAATAGACAAACACAATTACATCAAGCTAAAAAAGCTTTCACACAGTAAAGCAAGCAATCAACAGAGTAAAGAGACTCTGTTGCAACCTACAGATGCAACTTACAGAATGCAAGAATGTATCTGTCAACCATACAGCTGAGAAGGATTTAATATCCAAAATATACAAGGAACTCAGCTCAATAGCAAAAACAAAAAACAACAACAAACCAAAACCAACTCACATATAACTCAGCTAACAATGGGCAAAAGATCTGAATAAATATTTCTCAAAGGAAGATATACGAATTACCAATGGGAATATGAAAAGATGCTCTACACCACTAATCATCAGGAAAATGCAAATTAAAACCACAATGAGATACCACCTCACACCTGCTAGAATATCTATTATCAAAAAGATAAGTGATAACAAACGTTGGTAAGGCCATGTAGAAAATGGAACCCTTGTACACTGTTGATGGGAATATAGATTGCTACAATCATTATGAAAAACAGTATGGAAATTCCTCAAGATACTAAATATAGAACTACCATATGATCCAGCAATCCCACTTCTGGGCATATATTTAAAGGAAATGAAATCAGTATCTTGAAGAGGTATCTGGACTCATATGTTTATTGCAGCATTATTCACAATAGCCAAGATACGGAATCAACCTTAGTGCTTAGTGTCCATTGATGGATGAATGGATGAAGAAAATGTGATACACACACACACACAAACACACACACACATGCACGCACACACAGGGATATTATTCAGTCTTTAACAAGAAGAAGATTCTGCCATTTGCAACAACATGGGTGGACCTGGAGGACATTATGCTAAGTGAAAGCAAGCCAGACACAGAAAAACAAACACTGCACAGCATGATCTCACTCATATGTGGAATCTAAGAAGGTTGGACTCAGAAACAGAGCAGAAGGCTGGTTACCAGAGGTGGCAGTAGGGATGACAGTGGGAAATTAGGAGAGGTTGGTTAAAGGATACAGACTTTTAGGTATAAAATGAATAAGGTCCTCAGAGCTAACGTACGGCACAGTGACTGTGTTAATAATAATGTATTTTAGATTTGAAAATTGCTAAGAGAGTAGATCTTCAGTACTCTCACCACAAAAAAAGGTTGAACTATGTGAAGTGATAGATAACATTAATTAGCTTGATTGTGGTCATCATTTCACAATGGATATATGCATCAGAGCTTCATGTTGTACATCTATATTCCATTTTTATTTTTTCAATTATAACTCAGTAAACCTAGAAAAAAATAATAATATCACTCTGAAAAGTGGTCTGCAGGTTTCACTAGCTTCTGAAGGGGGCTGTGGCACTTCCTAGATGCTGGGCACTATTCTATGGTTTTCCATATATTATTAAGTGAATCCTCACAGTCACATTATGAGGTATGTATTAATAATTAAGATAAAAAAACTGAGGGTCACAGAGTAGATAAATTCCCCAAGGATAAAGCCAGTAAGTGGCATAGTTGGCACTGAAATCTAGAAATCCAAGCCCCTAAGCTTTTTGCACCTCTCCTTGGTGAGGTAACAACCTTGTCATGGTCCAGTGAAGAGGCAGCGCCCAGCCCTGTCCCAAGCCCAGTGCTTCCTTCCCCCCAGTGCTTCCTTCCCCAAGTAATGTTCACAAAGAGTCCCAAAGTGAGCAGATGTCCCAGGGCCAACTGAGGGGCCCCAAGTCACACTCAAGAGGGAACTGCTATTGCAAGAACAAAGGAAATCTGCGCAGGGTTTGCTTCCCCCAAACGCTCCTGGTAAAGTTTCCCAAACTTTTACTTTCTGTGATCACTTAATGAACATTTAACTTACCCAGAGACAAATCTCAGGTTTTTTTAAAGGTGTCATCAGAAATTTCCCAACAACAAAGAGAAAATGCAGTGTTCTAGGTTAGTAATAATAAAATCTGTTTCTTACAGTGAGAGAGGTGATATTTTCTCTTTCCCTAAAACCTCTCCATCCCTGTTGATGATAGAGAACTCAATCCAACAAGAAGTTTTCTTTCTTCATTTTTCTTTTTTTTTCAAATTGAAAAGTAAAAATTGTAAATATTTATGGTGTACAACATGATGTTTTGATATTTGTGTACATTTTGGAATGGCTAAATCAAGCTTTTTAACATATGCATTACCTCATATACTTATTTTTGGAGTGAGAACACTTAAAACTGCCTTTCTAGAAATTTTCCAATGTATAGTATATTATTATTAACTGTGGTCTCATTATGTATAATAGATCTCTTGAACTTATTCCTCCTGTTTAACTGGAATTTTGTGTCCATTGACCACCATCTCCTCAATCCTCCAACCTCTACCCTCTGGTAGCCACCATTCTATGACTTGTTTCTCTGAGCCCTACTTTTTTAGATTCCACATATAAGTGAGATTATGCAGTATTTATCCTTCTGTGTCTGGCTTATTTCACTTAGCCTAATGCCCTCCAGCTTCAGCCATGTTGTCACAAATGACAGAATTTACTTCTTTTAAAGAGCCCTCACACTCTTGCTCTCTCAAGCTACCTTGTCCTTCTGCCTTCTGCCATGGGATGCGTAGCAAAAAGGCCCTCACCAGATGCAGCCCCGTCACCTTGGACTTCCCAGCCTCCAGAACCATACGAAATAAATTTTTCTAAATAAATTAGCATGAGGGCTAATTTAAAGGTTGAATAGTATTTTCTTTATCCATTCATGCATTAATGGATACTTAAGTTGATTCCATATCTTGGCTGTTGTGAATAATGCTGCAATGAACATGAAAGTATAGATATCTCTTCAAGCTACCGGTTTTATTTCCTTTAAATATATGCCCAGAAATTAAATTGCTGGATCATATGGTAGTTCTATTTTTAATTCCTTAAGAAATCTCCATACTGTTTTCCATAATGGCTGTATTAATCTACATCCCCACCAACAGTGTACAAGGGTTCCATTTTCTACACAGCCTTGCCAACATCTGTTATCTTTCATCTTTTTGATACTAGTCATTTTAACAGATGTGAAGTGATATTAATATCTTATTGTGATATTAATTGCATTTCTCTGATTAGTGATGTTGAATATCTTTTCATATACCCATTGGCCACTCATATGTCTTTTTTGAGAAATATTTATTCAGATTCTTTGCCCATTTTAACTGATTTATATTTGTTTTTGCTTGTTTTTGTTTTTGCTATTGAGTTGTTTGAGTTTCCTGCATATTTTTGATATTAACTTCTTATCAGATGTGTGATTTGTAAATATATTCTCCCATACTATATGTTGTTTCTTCACTCTATGGTCATTTCCTTTGCCGCGTGGGAGCTTTTTTGGTTTGATTGAATTCTATTTGTGCGAATTTATTTATTTATTTATTTATTTATTTATTTATTTATTTATTTATTTATTTATTTTGAGATGGTGTCTTGCTCTGTCACCCAGGCTGGAGTGCAGTGGCGCGATCTTGGCTCACTGCAAACTCCCACTTCCGGGTTCAAGGATTCTCCTGCTTCAGCCTCCTGAGTAGCTGGGATTACAGGTGCCCACCAGCATGCCCAGCTAATTTTTGTATTTTTAGTAGAGATGGAGTTTCACCATGTAGGTCAGGCTGGTCTTGAGCTCCTGACCTCGTGATCCTCCCGCCTCGGCCTCCCAAAGTGCTGGGATTACAGGCGTGAGCCACCGTGCCCGGCTGCATTTTTACTTTTGTTGCTTGTGCTTTTAGGGTCATATCCACAAATTCATTGCCAAGACCAATGTCCTAGAGCTTTTTCTCCATGTTTTCTTCCAGTATTTATAAGGTTCTAGGTCTTATATTTAAGTCGCTTATCTACTTTGAGTGGATTTTTGTGTGTGGTGTGAGACGAGGGTCTAATTTTATTTATTTGCATCTGGATATCCAATGTTCTCAGCACCATTTACTGAAGAACTGTCCTTTCCCTATTGTATGTTCTTGGAATCTTTGTCAAAGCTCAATTGACCATAAATTCATGAATTAATTTCTGGGCTGTTTATTCAGCTCCACTTGTCTGTGTCTGTTTTGTGGCAGTTTTATGCTGTTTAGATTACTATAGCTTTGTAATAGATTTTAAAATCAGGTAGTGTGATGCCTCTAGCTTTGTTCTTTTTGCTCAAGATTTATTTGGCCATTCATGGGTCTTTTGTGGTTCCATCCAAATTTATGGATTGTTTTTTCCATTTCTGCTAAAAAAAGTCATTGGAATTTTGATAGGATTGTATTTGACTCTTGGATCACTTTGGACAGTATGGACATTTTAACAATATTAAATCTTCCAATTCTTTTTTTTTTTTTTTGAGTCGGAGTCTCACTCTGTCGCCAAGGTTGGAGTGTAGTGGCATGATCTTGGCTCACTGCAACCTCCTCCTCCTGGGTTCAAGCAAATTCTCTGCCTCAGCCTCCTGAGTACCTGGGATTACAGGCGCCTGCCACCACAGCAGGCTAATTTTTTGTATTTTTAGTAAAGACTGGGTTTCACCACGTTGGCCAGGCTGGTCTTGAACTCCTGACCTCGTGTAACACCTGCCTTGGCTTCCCAAAGTGCTGGGATTATAGGCCTGAGCCGTCATGCCTGGCCTTAAATCTTCCAATTCTTAAACACAGAATATCTTTCTATTTATTTGTGTCTTTTTTTAACTTCTTTCATTCATGTTTTATAGTTTTCAGTCTACAGATCTTTCATTAACTTGGTTAAATTTACATCTAAGTAATTTTGGGGGGAGGCGCCACTGTAAATGGGATTGTTTTCTTGATTTCTTTTTCAGATAGTTAATTGTTCTTATATAGAAATGCTACTGATTTTTGCATATTGATTTTGTATCCTGTAACATTATTAAATGTATTAGTTCTAACAGTTCTTTGGTAGAGTCTTTAGGATATTTTATATATGAGATCATGTTGTCTGCAAATAGAGACAATGTAACTTTTTCCTTTCCAATTCAAATGACTTTTATTTATTTCTCTTCTAGTTGCTCTGGCTAGAACATCCAGAACTATGTTTAATAGAAGTGGTAAGAGTAGGCATCCTTGTCTTTTTCTGATCTTAGAGGAAAAGATCCCAACTTTTCACTGTAGAGTGTGACGTTAGTTATGAGCTTTTTATATGTAGCCTTTATTGTATTGAGGTACACTCCTTCTATCTCTCACCTATTGGGACTTTTTACCATGAAAAATGTGGAAATTTGTCCGGTGACTTTTCTTTATCTCTTGAGATGATCACATGGTTTTTGTCTGTCTTTCTTTTAATGTGGTGTATCACATTTATTGATTTAATTATGTGAAACCATCTTTGTATCCTAGGAATAAATCCCTCATTAGTCTTTCAAATGGAAAATCTTAGCTCACAGTTAAAGGTCAGAAGGACTGTCAGTAAATAGTCAGTGGCTCAGAAAGGATTTAAATTCAAAGTTGACTTCAATATTAGGGAAAGATTTCTCACTGAAGAAGGCTCTACTTTCCTGAAAGATTATAGGAACTACCAGGAAAACCTTGAGTCATGCTGGGGAATGCTAAATTTTCTTCCCTTCCCTTTTCCTTTGTTTCCGTTTCCTTTCCCTTTCCTCCCTACCCCCAGTACATCCTCTGTCTCCCAGCATGTTCCTATCTCCTTTGAAGCTTCTCTCCCTGAATTAGGTATTCACAGAGTTCATTTGAAAGAATTAATTAAATGTTACATAAAAGTTAAAACCAACCGAAAAGAGATGAGTAAAATATTCACCTCACCTGAATTTTTCAATGAAAAACCCTGAGCACAGTTTTCATGGAGTTTAGTAAGCAGATTTGCAAAGGCTTCAGGTCAGGGAGAATATTCAGGCATCACCATGTGACCAGGACCCAGCAACGTACTCAGTCTATGCGCAACTGATACTCAGTCTATGTGCAACTGGGTTGGGCAGTGAAAGTTGATTGAGGTGGGAAGAGCATCTTGTGTTATAATAGAATATCACAGACTGGGTCATTTATAAAGAAAAAAATTTTATTTCTTATGGTTCTGGAGGCTTGGAAGTCCAAGGTCAAGGGGCTGCATCTGGTGAGGGCTTCTTGCTACTCATCCCATGGCAGAAGGCAGAAGAGAGCTTGGGAGAGCCAGAGCGTGAGGGCTGAACTTGCTTTTATAACAATTCCACGCTCACAATAACTAACCTGCTCCCTCAATAATGACATTAATCCATTCATGAGGGCAGGGTTTCATGACCTGATCACCACTTATTAAGGCCCCACCTCTTAACGCTTGCACCCTGGGGATTCAGTTTCCAAAACTTGAACTTTGGAGGACACATTCAAACAACAGCAAGGAGAAAAATGAGAAAAAAAGGAGAAAAAAGAGAAAAGAGGGACAGAGGAGGGAAAGAAAAGGGAGAGAGAAATAGGAAAGATAAAGAATGATAGAGGGGAGGCAAACAGAGACAAAGATTGAACAAATTAGAGAAGAGGGAAAGGGGTCTGGGGTTCGCTTCTCTGTAAACATGAGTTCAAGCCCTGTTCTAGCCTCACCAGCTTTCTGAATCTGATTTACTTCTCAACCATAGACTAGGGATCACACACAAACCCCAGAGAATTAAGGAATGCCAAGAGGGGCTTGTAGAGCACAGAGCCAGGCCTGGCCCTCCATAGACACTCAGTGAATAGAAATGCAAGTGGTGTAGGGCCTGGCATTGCTGTCACCAAGAGCCGCTACTCACTTGGGCTTAGAGGATGGAGCTCTCCTCCGTGTCTTATCTCAGTCACAAGTGCTTCTGCTGAAAACTGCTCTTGTTCTCCAACCACTCTTTCCTCTGGAACCATAGTGGTCCTTTGGGATCAGAGAGCACAGCTGCCACCACCAAGGAGCTGCAATCACCACCACCAAGAAGCTGTAGCAACAGAGACCAGCGCAACGGTACTGTGAGGACCCAAGAAAACCCAGCTGTGAGCCAGGAGCTTTCCTCCCTGAAGCTTTCAACACCACGGGAATTGATTCATGGCCCTGTCATTTCATCTCATTCCTCGTGGACTCTCAGCATCTTTAGAATGACCTGAACATTGTGGAGGGAGTCCAGAATCCCTACCCCTGGGCTCTGAGGCAATGCCTTGGGTTTTTGCATTGTCTCTTTTCTAGTAATGGCAGCAACAACAACAACAGCGAAAACCCCAGCTCAACCCACTCTGACCCTAGCGCTCTCTTCCTGGTGTCTTCACTTGCACAGCTTAAAAACTATAAATAACAAGGCCCTTTTCCAAATGTCTTTTGGTAAACTATGCCTGACCCTGAAAACAAGGCCACCATCTTCCAGGTGGGAGTGGCCTGTGAGATTATAACCTCAGTCCTCTTTCCTAATAACTGGCTGCTGTGATCTACCTTGCCTGTGTGGCCCTGTCCTTTGATTGACACACTGGTTGGGGTGGAAGGTGAAGAGTCTGCCATGTTACAACCTTAGAAGGAGAATGTGTGGTCCCCAGACCAGTGCCTGGGGCAGAACATCTTTTCCTTGTGACTCAACCAGACTGATGAGGGTTCCAGCAATAACTGGACAGCAGCTAGGCCCTGGATGGCCAAGGAGGAGACAGGCTCTTCACACAGACACCCTCAGGGTGGATGCTGAAATCTGTGAGTAGGCTGGGGTGGGGGAGACGCCCACGTCAGAATACCTGGGAGAGGCTATATGTAAAAGGGAACTTACCTGCTGCTTGTGTGGATGTGGCCTAATACTAAGATGTTTTATGACTCCAGATTAGCTAAGAAAGGGGAGCTAGAGAGAGGCAGTGATTAATCCTCCCACGGAAGAACATGGGATGGGGGAGGTCAGATCTTGATCACCTGGTGACTTCTCCATGGACCCCAACATGTCCCTCCATGTAGACAGAGGGGGGTCAGAGCAGCAGTGCAGGGTCTTCCCAACCACTGAGGAGCCCGGTTGCACCCTGCAAGTTCAACAGAGGGCCTTTGTGGCACTGGTTTGCGTTGCTGGGAGGAGTGCAAAATGCACAGGAACCAGGGCCTACCCTTGGGGTGGAGCAGGTGAACAGCACAGAGAGGCGACACCATCACATTAGACAGACCAGAAATGTGTCCCAGGAGGTAGGGTCCATGTGCTGGGAGCCATGGGGGAGCCTCCATCCCTCTCTCAGGGCTTTCCCCATGGGGGCCTCGGAAGCTGCAGTGCTTGTCATATGCAGTGGCATAAGAAAGAGTCACATCAAGACCCAGTCCATGACATTCCTCAGGGGCCCCTGAGTGGATTTCACAAGGAAAATCTCTTTTAAAGCCAAGCCCTAAGCACATGTGTTTCTCCCAAGGAAGGGGCATGCTTCAGCCCTGATCTTGTTTCCCTTGTTCTTGGCCCATACAGCTTGGCCTCAGTTAGGGACTCAACTGTGTGAACTGTTGAAGTCCTATGGCCCACAGGGTACTTTCTAACCCCCTCTTGGCCCAGCCTCCTCCTGGGTCCTCTTGTCCCCGACCCCTTGTGCATTCACATTTCCAGTTTTCTGTTTTTTGGTGCAGTGTGCACCTTCCTGTGTGCCACCTTGGGTCTGTGGTGGAAGGAGGTAGAGGGTGACAGTGTGCACATCCGTCTGTCTTTTCCAGTCGGGGGTGTCCTAGTGTCTCCATTCATTGGACTCTCAGTGTCCCCAGATGAAGTCTTATCTCAAAGTCCTCCAGGAGAAGATACAAGCAGGGTCAGATGCCGCAGACACACAGTTATGAGAAGAGCCCACCTGGCCAGCCCGGGATGGGTCAGTGGGGCTCCTAGTGCACTGGAACACTCTGTAAGCTTCAATGCAACTGCTTAAAAATGCAAAGCAGTTTTTGTGGGTTGGCTGGTTTGCATATTGGGCGCACGTGTCTGTGGTAAAAGTCTAAAGCCATGTGTTTCCTGGTGGTTAAGAACACAGGCTCTGACCTTCTGTAGCCTGGATTGGAACTCTGGCTGCTTAGCTGTGTGGTCTTCAAGTTACTTAATGTCTCGGTGCCTCCATGTCCTCACCTGTAAAATGAGGATGATGATGACTATCTCATGGGGGAGGAGGGGACTATGAGAGCCCCTATGTTGGTCTTGAATTCCCGGCTGCAAGCAATCCTCCTGCGTTGGCTTCCCAAAGTGTTGGGATTAAAGGCCTGAGCCACCTCGCCCAGCCAAGATAGATACTGTTTTAATGCTATATATATAATCAAAATTAATGCAATAAATTCCTTGATGACAAAATAACAACATTTTAAATAAAGAGGATCTGTATTTCTGAACTTGCCTTTTGCTGCAGGCTCTAACATGGCTTGGTCTACCACTGACTGGCAGTTACCTCTCTTTGAGAATGTATGTGCTGGTCGCAACACACTTATGATTTCTCAGTCGTATGGCCGTATGGCCAGCCTGCAAGGCAGGAATTATTACAGATAAGTAAACTGAGGCTCCTGGAGATTAAGTCATTTGCCCAAGGTCAAACCACGGCCCTTGGCCTCTGCAAAGCTGCCTCCCAACTGTACCCACAGCCGGAGAAGACGGCCCCAGGCTCAAGACTAGAGATATGATTGGTCTCTTCCAGCTAAAAATGCCTAAGCAGATCAGAGGCTAAGGAGGAGATTTCAATCATGTAACTGCTATCTTGTGAGCCTGTAATAGCTGGCGAATGCATGGGTTTTTCTCCTGTGGTTTTTGCTTAACCTCTTTTTTAATTTCATTGTTCCTTTAACAATGTGATTCTTTTGGCTCTCTAATCTGTCCTAATAAATGCTGTAATTACAAGTTTCCCTGACGATGCTGTGCAGCAGGCGAGCTCCCTCCCTGGCTCCTGGGAAACTGAACTGGAGAGGGATCTTGGCAGGGAGCCGCTGCATCCGCCAGGCCTCAGTCACCACCCGCCTCTCAGTCAAGTTCAGCTCTTTGAAGCCAGGACCTTGTCTGTCTTGTTCACAGTAGTATCTCCCAAATCTGCCTGGTGCCTGGCACATAGAAGGGGCTTAATAAATCTCTGTTGAATGAATAAATGAAAAAATAGAAGTCTAAGTAGCGTGTTCGAACCCTTGAAAAAGTACATGCAACCTATGTAGCATCTTTTCTTGAACCTTGTACCTCGTGTGGTGGTTGGAGTTCACTGAGGATATTTGTAGAATGAAATAAAAAAGCATATAGGTGTTGTGTTGCATTGTATAATGTGCCTATACACACACACAATTATATATATGTGTGTATGTATACATATGTATATATAATTATATGTATATATATACCTCTTCAGTCAAGAACACAGCAGAATACACATTATTTTACCCCAAAGAGGATAAAAATACTCATTTGTCATCAGATTCTTAGACATAAGGTGTATTTGTATTTGATGTGTTCACTAAGATTCACTGAGCCCTCAGACATCCTGCTCATGGGACAAATGAGCTTGTCCGGAGCTCGTGAGTTGGTTCATGATTTGAAGCCTTTGACCTTGTCTTCAGGCTATTCCTTGTACAAGCTGTGTTTAGGCAGAGTGCGTTCTCCATGGCTGCTTCCCCAGTGTGACTTCCAGTCTGTGGTCCTTTGTACTCCTCAGAAAAATAAAGTGTTCTGAGGCTAAAGATCACCCATGGTAGATAGGGGCGTTGGAGAGGATGAGCAGGAAGAGCCCATCTGTGTGGGTTGGGGATCTGTTCTGCTGCCAGGTCCTGCCCTCCCTCCTGAGTCCCTGGATCCAGAACACAAACTCTCCTGTTCCCCTAGACCAAGCTGTGTGCACCCTCGTGTCTTTGCCTGTGCCTTGTCCTGGCCAGAAATCTTTCCTTCCCTGTCCCTTCATCTTTCCTTCCCTGTCCCTTCATCTTTCCTTGACTCCTGCCCTATAATGATCTAAAGAGCCTCCCTCTTTCGTATCTCATCAGCATAGGCATCACCTGGGAGCAAAGCAAGGCTCAGGCCCCTGCCTGATGAATCAGAATCTGCTTACTAACAAGCTCTCCAAGTGATTCATCTGCCCCTTCAATTTTGAAAAGCACTGGAGATAGCTCCTACTCATCCTTCAGTGTTCAGCTCAGGAGCCGCCTCCTCCAGAGAGCCCGCCCTGATCTTCCTACCCACCACAGCCGGCTGCTGGGACAATTAAAGAGCGAGGCACAGCCCCAGCATGTACACCCACCACATTCATGAGCACTTATAGCTCATGAGTCTTTCTTATTTAATGGTGGTGCACTCTGGTGGAATAAACTTAAAATTCCTCTTGGAATCTCCAAACGAGGGGCATCATATAGCCTCAATGCAGGCTGTAAACGCATCATACCTGAGAACCCCCACCCTTCACTGGAGCCCCACCTGTACCCGCCCCTACCGTCCTTGTTGTGGGAGTAGTGCAGGAACCAAATGCAAGTTCAAGAGAGACATGCGGCACACCACACTCTATGCTAGGGAAAAGCAGGCTTTCCCTGGGGTAATTAATACACTACAGCCTTTCTGACTTTTTGTCAGGGGCTCTCCTGCAGAGATTTTACTAAGGCTTTCTTAAAGTAGTGACAAACATCACAGGGTTATAAGAAAGCACCCAAGGGTGTCTTTCATTCCTCCTCTCTGATCCTCACAACCATCCAAACACAGCCCGATCTGTCCTTGATTCATCTTGTGATGACCACCCCAACAGCAGACCCCTGTGACACCCCTCGCTGAAATCCTGCCTCTCCCCCAATTCTTATTCCGTTCTCTCCACAACCAAAAAGGTCAAGGTGGCATACACATTCCTCCATGCCCCCTTCCCTGCAACCCCACCTCTCGAGGGGTAAGACCCTTCCCTGGGTGATCACACTGCACTGGATGTCACATCTGTGCACAGGGCTCTGCACACTCCCCACAACCCCACTTTACTTTGCTTCCCCTGGACCCAGAGGCAGAGTTCTCCTGGTCTTATCCTACCTGTACCTTCTACCTGCAATATTCTGCCCCTGACCCTCCTAGGGTCCTCCTTCTTACTTTTAGATCTCAGGTTAAATGTTGCCTCCTGGGTGCTCTCCCATAGCCCCTGTTCTCCCATCACTGGATTGGAAATGTCTGCAGAGCACATATTCCCATCACTTGCTTGTCTTTTATTACCTGACCTTGCCCATCACTAAAATGTAAGTTCTAGTGGTCTGCAGGCCTCATCGGGTTGGCATTTTTCATCTCTGTATCCCAAGCCCCTAGAACAGTGCAGAAGACATGATAGACACTCCATGGATATTTATTAAATAAATGGATGTGAGTGAATGCAATAAAACAAGCACTTTCAGTCAAATAAACCCAAGAGTGCTGGTCATTCTCCAAATTTGTTTTCTGCCTGCTCTGTGCCATGGAGGCCAACTCCTCTGGCTTGCACTTCGCAGGCCCTCTTTCAGGCAGCTGCCTGTGCACCTGCAGTCAATGAGAGGATGGGAGCAAAAAGTGGGGGCAGTTTTCCCTGGTCCCTTGACAGGGCCTCACTGGGCTCAGATGACATCACTTCCTCTCTCCTCCCTTGAAACCTGGGGGTGGGAAACCTTGGCATCTGGGAGGCTTCCCATCATTTGTCTGAGCTCTCATCCCTGCCCACAGCTCAGGAAACTTCCTTTGTCAAAGTCTCTTCATCTGCACCATTTAGCATGAACTGTTCCTTGTGGGGGCAATGCTCCTTCTGCGTGCATACAATTTAGATATCTTTTCTGTATATACAGAATGTATGCACATAACTTTAAAAAAATTTACTTAATTTTTAAGGGGGTGGTTTCTTCATTTTCTGCTTTCCTCTTTAGCTCTGCTTCCAAGTTCCCCTCATCACTGCGGTCCCTAGTGAAATCTTCCAACTGCATGGTGTCCAGCACATTTTCAGCCAGAGATTTTAGTTGGCTCGTGGTATCTTTCATGACCTGTTTTTTTTGTGCATTCAAAGGTTTCCAGCCTTTCTTTCTCCTCCTTCCTTTCCTGTACTCTCTGCTCCCATCTCGCGATCTCTTGGTCGAGCACTTCCGGACTTTCTGCAAAATAGGTGTTTTCATTCAAACTGTGTTATTTCCTTCTGAAGTTTTCCTCCATCCTCCTTTCATCCTTTTAAGATGTGTCCTGCATCAATCACTTGGGAACGCTTAGGAGACTCACTTTTCCATGTTTTTTTTTCCAGAAAGCCTCCTGTGTCCTGCAGAGAAGACCTGCTCAGATTTTTATTAAGGGTCGATAAGCAGAGGGATTGTAACATTCAAGGTCTGGCCTCCATCAGGGGTGACTTGAGGGCTTCCTCAGCCTGTCTCTTTAGTCCAGTGTTCCACCTTCTCCATGGACCTGCTGGTGAGAACAACACTTTTACTAAGCTCTTTTCCTCTTTATAAAGTGTCATCTCTTAATGACTAAGACCACCACAGCAACACAAACCAGGACCTCCCAGGGATGCCCAGGGACCCCCGGGGCTCATCTCATGATCTCAGCCATCACCAGCACAGCAGCCCGCAGCAGCTTCAGAGCGGCTGGAGAGACATTTGGGGACGAGCAGCCCCTCTGTGGCTCTGCCTCTGTTTGCCAGTGGCCTGTGGACCACAACTGCCTACTCGGGACCCTGCGGAGTGTTCTGTATCTAATGCAAACAGGTGCCTGGCAACCAGGACAGATAATCAGTTGGGCTGGGGGAGGGGAGCAAGCCAGATTCTAAAAACAGTGTCCCTGACATTGCTGTGCTTACTGCACAGATAGAGGTGATATTATATTCCCTGCCCAGGTCATGAGGGAACTGGGAGTGGCTGACAGCACTCTGGAGCTCAGCCACACCAGGCCCAGCTGGCCCCACAGCAAACCCAGAGGGTCGAAGTGAGGCTACGCCCTGTCCCTTTCTGTCCACAAGGGCCTGTCAGGGCACAGTGGTGGGGCCTGTCCCTGGGTGAGGCTCAGTCTCCTGATTTCAAGTTTCCTTCTGCACAGGGAAAGTGGGTCCTGCCCACCAAGGTCCGAGGGACCCTCCTCTGAAGCCCCTCTCTCCTTTGTGTTTGGTCAAGGTTAGCAGATGGGGAGAGGACTGAAGAGTCTCCCCAAAGGTCTAAACTGAGAGACCTGGATTTTCAATGTAACAATCCAGGAGAAATAAGTAGATGGAGTCTAAAATTTCTGGTGGAGTCTACAATTTCATGGATTTTCTATGAAGCTGGTTTGTCCCTGTTCAGCAAGTGTCCTGAGTGAGGGTGACTCTGCTTTGGGTATGACAGGTTGACCCAAGCTCCTTCCCTCATGCCTCCCAAGGTGGCCCTGGGAACAGTCTCCAATCCACTGAGCCGTCTTCAGAAGTGCATGTCTACTACAAGGGGATGGGGCCTTCTTTCGGCTCATATTTGCCACCTTTTGCTTATTAAGCTACTTCTCTCTCCTAGAATCCCTCTGGCAGACCGAGACTCACAGCCTCTTGTTCATCCTCTGGGACTTTGCCATGAGCAACTCGCTCATGGTCCCTTTACCCAGAATGAAATTAGAGAACTGTCCGCCAAGGCCAGCCCTGGGGTCTTGAGAGATTGCCTAGCTCAGGCAGTAGGGGCCCCATGGATGTAGAGGACCAAGGCTCCGACTGGCCAGGTGGTGAGGGCCGGGGTGGAGGTCTAGGTCAGCCAACGCCTGAAGCGATAGTTGTGATAATTTCCTTCTTTCCTTCCTTCCTTCTCTCTCTCTTTCTTTCTTTCTCTCTTTTTTTTGAGACAGAGTCTTGTTCTGTTGCCCAGGCTGGAGTGGAGTGGCATTATCATATCTCATTGGAGCCTCAAATGCCTGGGCTCAAGCAATCCCCCTACTTCAGCCTCCCCAATAGCTGGGACCACAGGCATGCACCACCATGCCAAGCTATTTTTTTTTTTTCCTAGAGATAGGATCTCGCCATGTTGCCAAGGCTAGTCTGAAACTCCTGGCCTCAAGCAATCCTCCTGCCTTGGCCTCCCAAAGCGTTGGGATTACAGGCATGAGGCACTGCACGTGGCCTCTTTTTTTAAAAACAAAACAAAACTGGGCTTTATTTTTTAGAGCAGTGATAGGTTTAAAGAAAAATTGTGCAGAGATATTACATAGACCCTTGACTCCTCCCACAGTGTCCCCTATTATTATCAGCATTTTGCATTGTTGCAGTACGTTTGCTAAAATGGATGAAAGTACTGGTACATTATTATCCATGAAAGTCCATAGTTTACGTGAGGGTTCACTCCATGTGTTGTTCAGTTCTAGCAGTTTTGACAAATGCATAATGTCAGGCACGCACGATTACAGTAAAGCATAGAAGAGTTCCACTGCCCTAAAATTCCTCCTGGCTCCACTTGCTCACGCCGCCCTTCTTGCCCCTTTGCCCTGATACTTTTTCTGTAGTCCACATTGTCTGATATAAATACAGATATTCCAGCATTAACATGGTATATCTATCTCTATCTCTTTACTTGTATTCTAATTGTGTCTTTATAGTTAAAGTGAGTTTCTTGTAGACAACATACAGTTAGGTCTGGTTTTTTTAATCCACCCAGCTAGCGTCTGTCTTGTAATTCACATATTTAGAACATTGACATATAAACTAATTATTAATATATTTGATATAATATCAACCATATTTATTACTGTTTCTATGTGTTTCCCTTGTTCTGTTTCTTTTTCCTCTTACACTTTTTTCTCCTTTTCTGATTTTCCTTGAGAATTTTATATGATTCCATTTTATTTCCTCTTTCATTATATATCAGTTATACTTCTTTACAATTTTTTTAGTAGTTGCCTGTGATTTTGCAATATACACTTAAAACTGATCCAAGTCCATTTTCAAATAACACAATACCACTTCATGTGTAGTGAGAATATGTTATCACAGAGTATTCACAATTCTTTTCCTCATCTCTTATAACATTTTTGTCATTCATTTCACTAATTTATAAACTATAATCACCCAATACATGTTTACTATTATTATCTTGAAGAAAATGATAAACTGTTAGATTAGCATAAAATATGAAAAAGAAATTATTCATTTTAGCCTTCGTTTCTTTCTTCTTGAATGCTCTTCATTCCTTTTAGTAGACCTGAGTTTTTCACCTATGTCATTTTCCCTTCTTTTTCAAGGAAGTCCTACTGGCAGCAAACCCCTTCCGTTTTTCTTTCTCTGCAAAAGTATTTGCCATTCACTTTTGAAGGATAATTTCACTGGATACAGAATTCTATCTATAGCTAGTGGTGTTTTCTTTCTTTCAGCCCTTTAAATATTTCACTCCACACTCTCTTTTTACTTGCATGGTTTTCGAGGAGAAGTCTGATGTAGTCTTATGCTTGATCCTCCATACGTAAGGTAGGTTTTTTTTCCACCTCTGAATTCTTTCATTATTTTCTCTGCATCTTTGATTTTCTGCAATTTGAATATATACTATATACCTAGGTATACGTTTTAAAATATCCATCCTGCTTGGTGTTCTCTTTAGTTTCCTGAATCTGTGGTTTGGTGTCTCATTAATTTTGGAAAATTCTCAGTCATTATTACTTCAAATATTTTTTCTGTTCTTTTCTCCCTTTCTTCTTTTTTGGTATTCCCATTACATATATGTTACACCTTTTGTAATTGTCCTGCCATTTTTAAACATGGTGCTCCATTTTTTTTTCAGTCTTTCTTCCCTTTGTCTTTCAGTTTGAGAAGTTTCTATTCATATATCTTCAAGCTCACTGACATATAGCTTATATTGTGTTCCAGTTACTACAAAAGAGCACTGCGGATGTGCTGGGCAGAAATGGGGGAGGCGAATCATTCTATATAGAGTCCAATGATTAGGTTTCAGGTTTTTAGTGAGCCTGTGTCCCTGGGCTGTGACCTTCACCTGGGAGTCTCAGTTATTATCCCATCTTATATTAGGTAATACAGGAAAGCTAGCTGAGATGGGACTGGGATGTTTCCTTTTCCCTGGGTGTTAGGATGAAGGAAGCTGAAGTACAGCATTTCCCTCCACAAAGATGAGGTGGTGCTTCTCCACCTGTCCACTAAGATAATGGAGGTGGTGGAGCCTGGTAGACCACAAGTAGGGTGGTGGCACAGATGTGATGTCCCCTGCCCAAGATGGAATCAGAGAGCCAGCCTGGGATCCCACCTCCATCACTTCCCAGCTTTGTGATCCTGAGCAAATTAGTTATTGTCACTGCAGTGTCATTTCCTCATCTTAAAAGAAGGTAATAACAGTCATCCCATAGCACACTTATGAGAGTTAAATCAAATGATGCAAGGGAAATGCCTGCAACACTGCCTGGCAGATAACAGAGTCTCAACAGATGGTAGAGGTCATTCTGAAGAGAATGCCATTTGACCTAACTGGGGTGACGAAGGCAGTTAAGAGTAGGCGAGAGGAGTGGTAGGGCTTGGGGAAAGCAGGTCAGGCAGCTGGTGGGATTTGCAGAGCTGAGGAGAGCCTTCCAGGTGCATTTAGTTGCTGACGGAGTCTGGCCCAAGCCCAGGCCACAGGCACAGTCCCAGGAGACATGCTCATGAGCTGTCATCTCAGTCCAGCCGCTGACTCACCCCACAGGCGGGCACCCAGGGAGCAGGTGCTGCAGCTGTTGCGTCATTAGACCTCTGAGGCTGTAAGAGCTGACCATCTTCTGGCTGATGGAGTAACTTGCCCACAGGTGGGGATGGGAGGGATGAAGGCCCAGCCTCTCTTGTGTGTCTGGGATGAGAGGGACAGTATCCTCACCTTGGTCTAGACTTTGTCGTTCAAAAGGTAAGCTGGGGAGCAGCAGGCTCAACATCACCTGGGCGCGTGTTACAGATGCAAACCTCTGGTCTAGTCCCAAACTTGCTGAGTCTTAATCTGCATTTGGCAAGCTCTCAAAGTGATTCCTTTGTATGTAAAAGTCTAAGAAGCACTGGCTAGCATCTTTCTGGTTCACATGCACGTTAAAGCTTGAGAAGTGTTGGCCTAGGGATCTTCGTGGATTCCAAATAGAAGTCAGAATACCAATAACCAGTATTAATTTCTGATTGTAATATCAGCAGCTGAAGGATCAAGGTGTTTGGAACCCAGGAATCACAATCAGACTTTTTCAGGCCGCAAATGGATTGATAAAACAATGGAGGTCTCTCTGATAAGGTAACATTTCAGCTGAGCATGGAAGTAAGTGAAGACATGATCATAGGAGTATCTGGGGATCGAGCAGCAAGTGCAAAGGCCCTGGGGCTGGAACACACTCAGTGTGTGTGAGAAATGGCAAGGGGTTCAGTGTGCCTGATGCAGATTAAGCAAAGAGGCCAGGAGTAGGAGGTGATATGGAAAGATTGTGTTGACTCTGCAGTTCATGGTAAGGCCTTAGGATATTGTCATGAGTGAAATGGGAAGCTGTCGGAAGGTTTAGAATGAAGGGGTCATATTATCTGACTTTTGTTTTAACAGGAATCTCTCCAGCTGAGTCTAATTTCTGAGAGTAGACTGAAGAGGACACAGCAGGGCAGTCTAGTCAGAGGTGCCTGCAGGAATCCCAGACGAATGGTAGGGAAGGTAGTGAAGGAGGTGAAGAGATGAGCTTTGAGCCTGGTCCTGTTTAGAGCAGAGCTGGCAGGACTTGCTAGGGATGGGTGCATGCTGTGGGAGAAAGAGAAGCTCCTGGGTTGGCTCTGTGCACCTCTGTGACTCAGCTTTCCTGGAAGGTGCTTTGCGTTTTTCCTTCAGTATCTGACAGGCATGGGCAGAAGAGTCTTTGTTTTTTGGGGGGCTTTTTTGTTTGTTTGTTTGTTTGTTTGTTTGGTGATGGAATTTCACTCTTGTCACCCAGGCTGGAGCACAGTGGCCTGATCTCGGCTCACTGCAACCTCTGCCTCCCGGGTTCAAGTGATTTTCATGCCTCAGGCTCCCAAGTAGCTGGGATTAAAGGCGCCCAACACCACTCCCAGCTAATTTTTGTATTTTTTAGTAGAGACGGGGTTTCACCATGTTGGCCAGGCTGGTCTTGAACTCCTGACCTCAGGTGGTCCACTCACCTCGGACTCCCAAAGTGCTGGGATTACAGGCGTGAACAACCATGCCCAGCCCAGGCAGAAGAGGCTTAAACATGGCCGGTGGTACATGTACTTTCATTACTTTTCTGCCCACCCCCCCTAAAATGTCAGTAAAAGCATGAAAACAGGGAACCTTACAGGATGAGGAGCCCAGGACTGGGGATTAAATAAGATGAATGACAATGTGAGTTATGTCTGAAGAGGAAAGCAGACACAGCCATGGGTGGGAGGTGACTTAGCAGAGGGAAGGAAGCTGGCTACCGAGTGTCTGCAGTCAGAGGTGCAGGCAGAAGACCTTGAGGATCCACCCGAGAGGCTCCGGAATCAGACTCCAGGCCCTCTGAAAGGTTGGGATGAGATGGGGTTGGCAAGAGGTGGGTTATTGAATGCTGTCCAAGGGTTGTTAGATCTGCTGCTCAGGCAGACACTAGCTCCTTGATCCCACGAGAGACTCGAGGGTGATCCTCTGGGAAATCGAGGCAGCTGGCACTCCAGTGCAGGGTGAGGTGGGGATATGAATTGTGCACACTGAATGGTGGACTTCTGGCCCCTTCCCCATCCCTGCTCCAGGGCAGCCATAGCCAAACCTATAACCAGCAAGCAGGAAAACAGATGACCTCTGAGGACAACATCACCCAGAGGACAGGCTCCAGATGCTAACAATGTGGGCTCCTCTGAACATGTACTTCGCCTCTCACTGCACAGGCAAATCCTGCCCCAGCACACCAGTTTCTGATAAATATTTTAGTGTCTCACTCTTAACTATGAATAGATAGCCAAGGATCACCAGACAGGAAGCCCTCTAACACAGACAAACAGAAACTAAAGACAAGACAGAAAGGATCTCAGAGAAAACAGGCAATTCAGGGAGCAGAGGGAAACTTTCTGGACAAACCCACAATTAAAACCTTCTAGGACTTAAGAGGAGCTGTATACTTGTGATTCAAGATCAGGCTCCTAGCAGGAACATTCATAGCTCCAGGATTAGGGGCAGGAAAGAGGACAGAGCTGAAACAAAATTCTACAGGAGGATTAGAAGATAACAATGAGAATTTTTGCCAAAAAAAAAATACCGCAAAAGGCCGAAGAACCAACAATAGGAGAGGAGAGATGAAAAGACAAGAGAAGAAAGTTGAACTCCTGACAAACAGGAATTCCAAAAGAGAGAAAAGGAAAAAAATATATAGAGAATAAGTTATTTTTTAAAATGCAAGAAAATTCCCTAGAGCTAAGTGGCATAAATCTCCTGATAGATGCTCAGGCCAAGGCAAATCATCATGGAATATCACTGCAGCAGAGATAAAGAGAAGGCCTTAGAAGCTTCTAGAGGAACACAGAGGCCACTTAGCAAATATCAGCAATCAGGAGGCCCTTAGAATTCTCAACAGCAACACAGGGAGCTAGAAGACAAGGGCCTTCAAAATTCTGGAAGGGCAACAAATTTCTAATGTGGAATTCTTGGCTTATGAAACTACTGATCAATTTTGAAAATGAAATACAGGCATTTTCAAGCACTCAAGATCTCAAGAAACGTTTCTTGTCTGCACCCTTTCTCAGGCAGTTACTGGGCACATGCTCGTCCAAGATAAGAGAAAACCAAGAAAGAGGAGTCTCAGCAGCGAAACCAGTGAAGCAGAGCAGGACAGAAGGGATTGTCAGGCTGGCAGCCATGCAGGGGACCCAGGGAGCCATCAGTCCAGGTGGAAGCTGGGAGACCAGGGTTTCCCGGAGGCATTCCTCCAGGAAAAACATGAACTGAATTTTTTTTTTGATATATAAGCTGTGCGGAAAATAGAATTGAGAAAGCGTTTTACAAGTAAATTGTGGCTGTTGAAAATTAGCCAGAGGTGCATCGGGGAAAATCCAAAGTAATTATAAGCTTGAAAACATACACATGTACGAGACAGAAATGCAATCTTATTTCTTGATGTGGCTCAGTGGAAAATATTTACATAATCATAGTATTGACTTCCTGAAGACCCAGATAAACAACATTGGGAAGATGAAGAAAGAGAAGCGAATGTTTGTTGGGGCAACAGGGTGGTAATTTGGGGGAGTATTAAAGAGCTGTATTGGCTTCCTGTTGCTTCTGTAACTCATTACCGGACATTCAGTGGCTTAAGACAACACAACTGTGACCTTGCAGTTCTGGAGTTCAGAAGTCTGAAATGAGTCTTCACTGTGCTATAATCAAAGGCGTCGGCAGGGCTGTTGTCTTTCTGGAAGCTCTGAGGAGAATCTTCCTTGCCCTTTCCAGCTTCCAGAGGCCGCCACATTCCTCGGCTTTGGCCCCTTCCTCTGTCTTCACAGTGAATTGTTCCAACCTCTGCTTCCACGGCGACCTCTCTTTTTTCTGACTCCACTCTCATCCCTCCCTTTCATATGGACGCTTATGATGATATTGGACCAGGCTGAATAATCCCTCCCTTTCATATGGATCCTTATGATTATATTGGACCAGGCTGGATAATCCCTCCCTTTCATGTGGACCCTTATGATGATATTGGACCAGGCTGGATAATCCAGGAAAATCTCCCCATCTCAAGATGCTTACTTGAATCACACCTGCAAAGTCCCTTCTGGCATGGAAAGTGACATGTTCACAGGATCCCATGTTCCCAGGATTAGGACATGGACATCTTTAGTGGGGAGAAGCCATGGTTTTGCAGATCCCCAAGGTTAATGTGCTCAATGGAGGATCAGGATCTAGCCCTATGAGCATGTTATTAACGAGCATAGAAGTGAATTCCCAAAAGCATCACTAAGTGCACTGGTGGTCGTAATCTCATGGCTATGAGCAGCGTGGGGTAGGCAGAGCCAGGGGCTAGTTGTTTCCATTATAAGCCTTGTGATATTTTAGACCATGTGTATCTAATGCTGTGATAAAGAGTAAAATGTCCAGTCAGGTGCAGTGGCTCAAGCCTGTAATCCCACCACTTTGGGAGCCCAAGGCGGGAGAACCACTTGTGTACAGGAGTTCCTGGCCAGCCTCGGCAACATAGTTAGACCCTGTCTCTATGAGAAATAGAAGATGAGCCAAGCGTGATGGTGTGCCTATAGTCCCACCGACTTGTGGGGCTGAGGTAGGAGATTGCTTGAGCCCAGGTAGTTGAGACTGCAGTGAACCATGATTGTGCCACTGCACTCAGCCTGGGTGACAGTTAAGACCCTGTCTCAAAAAAAAAAAGAAAAAAGAATAAAAAGAGTAAAATGCTATCGTTAGGCCCAACTCATACCTAATCAATCAAAACGTAACTTAAATTCTGGAGATCTAGTGTCCTGCGTGGTGACTGCAATGAACAATACTGTGTTGTACACGAAATTTGCCAAGAGGTCAGATCTTGAGTGTTCTCATCACATACCAAAAAGGTAACTGTGAGGCGATGGATATGTTAATTAGCATAATTGTGTACATGTATTTCAAATAATCAAGTAGTACACCTTAAATACATACCTTTTAATTTGTCAATTCTGCCTGAATAAAGCAAAGAAATCTAGGTAGGAGCTCTGAGCTCCGTATTTTTGTAGACTTAGCCTAGGCTCCACCAGGCTGTTGGATGCAGAGCCGGGCAGGAACCCCTGTCAGCCCTCGTGACTACTCCTGGAGTTTATCGCTGACATGTCTCCCAAGCAGGATGTGAGCAGATAGGTTGCAGGGCCTGTGCCGGAGTCTTCTGGCTGCCTCTTGCCCACATCTGTTTCTTACATTTTCAAGGCACACAGAAGGATGTGTGAATGCATGGGAAATCTCAAAGGGGAGGATTTCAGAGGTTCCACCCCTTGTTCTTCACAGACACGAGGTTTCCAAGTGCCTGCTTTCTGACTGGGGTTGGTCCATATAAAAGCCTTTGCACTGGTCTGCAAACGAAAGTAGAAAAATAAGGAATGTATAGCAAGTTGTCATACTTCAAATGAACTTAATTGAGAAACTGTCTTTTATTCTAAGATAACTTTCTTTACCCTTTTTTTCTGTTAAAAATATCCTTTTATAAAATGATAGCAAAAATGAGTGTAACTATTTTTTCAATTTGCTTATTTGGCAAAGTGGAAGGTTGAAAGGCCAGTACACTTGATCCTTAAATTTTCATTGTTGTTGAAATTGTACAGGGCTTTAAATTTACAGTCTGGAAACCTCTGAACAGAGCTGGTTTCTCTGCCCTGCCAGGGTCCTGCCTGTCATCACATGCGGCTATGCGCCCAGGACAGGTCACCGGTCAATTTCCTTTCTCTGGTTTGGACGATGACTTTTTCTCGTGGTCTTTGTGTAATACCTGTGTGGCAAATAACGTAGTGAGTGACTGGGCGACTTCCAGAAGCTCAGGGTGTGTGCTAGATGAGAAATCATCTTTGACTGACATGTAAGAATCCCCTTTTCATTTATCTTGGCATATAAGTAAGCCTGAACTGGGAATCTATCCAAATTTGCATTTCAAAAAGGGCTCTTGCACTGTGGAGGTTCACAGAAGTTCAGTAATGATTTTCTGAACTAATGAACTACAAATGGTTGTAGTTCATCATGGTTTTGTAGACATTATGGTTGTGATCCTTAAACTGGGCTTGATTAAACTTGTCCTGTGAGTGGCATGCAGAGGGACCGCACCCCACAGTCAAGGCTGCACTGGGAAGGGGCCCTGCACAGTCCTGCGGAGCTGGAAAAAGTCCCCTCATTCTGAGAGGGGCTGGGGGCGTCTGAGGCTATTCCAGATCAGGCTGGAAGAGTAGGTAATGCTTTCCAATGCAACGCTTTAACAGTCCCATTGTTTTTCACTAAGTAGAGGGCAGGGATGATGGCACTGTGCTGAAGGAGGTGGCTTCACAGCCAGGTGGATTTTATTTCATGTGAGACTGGCTGACCAGGACTAGGATGACCTTAGAACAATGACACTTCCTAACAGATAATAGGTAAATTGTGTTTATACAATTTTATACAATTTATAGTTTTAATATTTGCTCTTGTCTGAATGTGTCCCCCAGAATTCATGTATTGGAAGCTTAATCCCCACTGTAACACTGTTTGTTGGGGTGTTGGGCCTTTTGGGAGGTGTTTAGGTCATGAGGATGGAGCATGTATAAAACTTGGTATAATCATGTACAAAATTAAAAGGGAAAAATACTTTCTATAAATGTGATGTGCAGCTAGTTACTCTCCACAATACATTAAATATCATTAAATACAAATATTTCAAAATCAAAATAGAAAATTTGCAGAGTAGGAAAAACCACTGTCTAATAAAATGTGAATAATGCAAAAGTTAAAAGTGTCACTCATTATATTTAACGAAGTTAAAAAAATTTAATAAATTTTGGCAAAGGTACTCTGAAGTGGCCATTCTTGTCTTGCTGGTGAAAGAGTTAGTTGATACAAGCACTCTGGAAATCTTTTGCTAAACTATATCAAGAATCTTAAAATGTTCATGCCCTTTGATGTACTTTAGCATGGGAATTCCAATTATAAAAACACCTCCCAAGAATATAATCAGTGTTTGGACCAAATATACCACACAAAAATACTTATTACAGAATTAGTTGTGACAGCAAAAACCTGGAAACATCACCACAAAATCCGTGAACAGGGAAAAGGTTCAATAAATTCAGAGATTTATTTGGGATGATAATACTTGACTATGGAGACCAGGGGATAGGCCTTAAGTGGCGGAAACCATGTGATTAGATATAGATTACTGTCAGTTAAGTTTTTGTTTGGAAGGTGAAATAGAGGGTGCTTCTTACATTGTTAAAAATACATACATATGTATGAAATGCACCTACCATGCATAGATCAATACTGAGATTTTTCCACAAATTGAGGAGTAGAGTTTGCCCAAGTCTGAAAATAGAGACTCAAAGATAGACATAGATATAGACATTAATATAAACATATAGCTGTAGTGATAGATATACAAATACACCCACATGTATGTGTTTTTATATACACATATATTTTTATATAGCATTTAAAAATAAAAGTTTTAAAATACTCTTTACAATAGCACCCCAAAATATGAAATACTTAGAGATAAATTTAACAAAAGGTATGTAATACCTCTGTAATAAAAACTATAAGATGTTGTGGAGAAATAAAATAAGACCTAAATAAATGGAAATATATACAATGTTTATGGATTGGGAGACAATTTTCTTATTATGTCATTTATCTCCAAATTTATGTATAGATGCAAGGCAATCCCAATCCAAATCCCAGATGGTTTTTAAAAATAGAAATCAATGAGCAGATTCTAAAATTTATATGAAAATTCAAAGCACATAGAATGGCAAAAATAATTTTGAAAAAGAACAAATTTGGAGGACTTATACTACCTGACTTCAAATTTTAACCTAAAGCTGTAGTAATCAAAACAGTACTTGATATAGTTTGGCTGTGTCCCCACCCAAATTGCACCTTGAATTGTAATAATCTGCGTGTGTCAAAGGCAGAGCTAGGTGGAAATAATTGAACCATGGGGGTGGTTTCCCCATACTGTTCTCATGGTAGTGAATAAGTCTCATGAGATCTGATGGTTTTGAGTTCTCCTACATACGCTCTCTTGCCTTCCACAATGATTGTGAGGCCTCCCCAGCCATGTGGAACTGTGAGTCAATTAAACTTCTTTCCTTTATAAATTACCCAGTCTTGCATATGTCTTTATTAGCAGAATGAGAACAGACTAATACAGGACTGTACTGCTGAAAGAACAGACAAAAAAAGATCAAGCAAAATAGAAATTCTAGAAATAAGTTCCCAACTATATGGTCAAATGGTATTTTCAACAAAGATGCCAAAGCAATTCAACGAGAAAAAAAGGAAATTTCCAAAAACAGATGCAGAAATAAGTGAAATCCATATGAGGAGAGGGAAGAACCTCAATCCCTACCTCATACCATACAAAAAATTTATTCCAAGGTGGACCATAGGCCTTATCATAACACTAAACCTGTAAAACCTCTAGAAGAAAACTTTAAAAATATCTTTATGAATTTGGGGATGGACACATTTGTTAGCAGAGTCATAGAAAAAAATTTTTGGAATTCACCAAAATTTGGAATTGGAATTCACTAAAATTGGAATTGGAATTTGTATTAGTCCATTTTCACACTGCTATAAAGATACTACCTGGGACTGGGTAAAGAAAAGGGGTTTAACTGACTCACAGTTCTGCATGGCTGTAGAGGCCTCACAAAGGCGAAGGGGAAGCAAGGCACATCTTACATGGTGGCAGGAGAGAAAGAGAAAGAAGGGGGTAGCACCAGACCCTTATTAAACAACCAGATCTTGTGAGAACTCACTATCACGGGAACAGCATGGGGGAAACTGCCCCCATGATCCAATCGTGTCCCACTAGGTCCTTCCCTCAACATGTGGGGATTACAATTCAAATTATAATTCAAGATGAGATTTGGATGAGAACCCACAGCCAAGCATTATGAGAATTCACCAAAATTAAAAACTTCTGCCCATCAAAAGACATTATTAAGATATGAAATAGGCAAGCCGCAGGCTGGGAGAAAACGTCCATTCTTATGATTTTTTGACTTTATGATGGCTTTATTGGAGTGTTAAATGCAAACTCATGATAGTTTTGACTTACAACAGGTTTATCAGGATGTATCTCCATTGCAAATCAGGGAGCATCTGCATATATTTTTAAAAACTGCTAGAATTTAATAATAAAAAAAACAACCCTAGTTAAAATTAGGTAAAAGACTAAAAAGAGACTTTACCAAATAGGATATGTGACCAATAAGCACATGAACACCGTTAGTCATCAGGGAAATGCATATTAAAAGTGAGATAGGACTTCAGCCCTCTAGCATGGCTAAAATGAAAAAGATTGACCATTCCAAGTATAGCAGAGGAAGCCGAACTACTGGAACTCTTACATGTAGCTGGTGAGCACATAAAATGATATAACCATTTTGAAAAATGGTTTGGAAGTTTCTTATAATTTTAAATATATATCTATCCTATGACTCACAATTCAGTTCCTAGAGATATGAAAACATATGCCCACAAAAATCCTTGCACAAAAATGTTCATAGCAGCTTTATTCATACTAGCTCCAAAACAGAAATATGCCAAGCGTTCATGAACTGGTGAACCAATAACAAAATTGCAGTGTACCCATACATGACTCAGCAACAGACAGGACCAAAGCACCAATACACAGCAACATGCATGAATCTCAAAAGCATTATTCCGAGTGAGAGAAGCAGACACAAAAGTACATAGTGTATGATAACATTTATGACCTTCTCAAGGAAAACTAATTCATGGGGATAGAAATGAGAATAGAAGTTGTTTCTGGAATGGTGGGAATTGATCAGGAAGTGGCACAGAAGGAATTTTCTAGAGTGATCGAAAACATCTAATATATTGATAGTGATGTGAGTTACATAGCTGAATGCATTTGTCAGAACTGATTGATATGGTTTGGATCTGTGCCCCTGCCCAAGTCTCATGTCGAATTGTAATCCCCAATGTTGGAGCGGGGGCCTGGTGGGAGGTGATTGGATCATGGGAGCAGTTTCTTCCTTTGATGCTCTTCTTGTGATGGAGTTCTCACAAGATCTGGTTGTTTAAAAGTGTTCAACACCTCTCTCCTCTCTCTCTATTCCTTGTGCTCCAGCCACATAAGATGCATCTGCTGCCTCTTTGCCTTCCGACATGATTGTAAGTTTCCTGAGGCCTCCCCAGAGACTGTCGTGCTTTCTATACAGCCTGCAGAACCATGAGCCAATTAAACCTCTTTTCTTTACAAATTACCCAGTCTCAGGTATTTCTTTACAGCAGTGCAGCAATGAACTAATACACTGATCAAACTGAACCCTTACAATCTGTTCATTTTACTGCATGTAAATTAAACCTCACTTTTTTAAAAAAGGAAAGACCTTGCCATTATGGAGCTTGAAAAACTATTATGTAGTCATTGAAAAACAGATTTTTAAATTTTTCTAGTAACATATTAATGGCAACAATGTTACTTATTAAGAAGCTATATGATTATATATGACATGTTCTTACTTCTAAGAAAAATGTGGGCTTTAAAATATTGGTAAGAAATACAGGAAAATGCGATCAGTAATTGTATTAGTATGCTTGGGCTGCCATAAGTAAATACTATAGACTGAGTGGCCTAAACAACGGACATTTATTTCTCTCAGTTCTGGAGGCTGGAAGTCCAAGATCAAGGTGCCAGCCTATTGGGTTTCTGATGCGGGCTTTCTTCCCGGCTTGCAGATAGCTGCTCTCTCCCCTTGCTGTGTCCTCACGTAGCAGAGAAAGAGAGAGAGAGGGAGAGATTGTGTATATACAATATATATAATTATTAAATTATCTTTTTATGAGGACACCAATCCTATTCGATCAGAGCCCTACTTTCATGGCCTCAGTTACCTTAATTACCTCCATAAAGACCCCACCTCCTAATACAGTCCCATTGGTGGTTGGGAATTTCAACATATGAATTTTGAGGGAACATGATATAGTCCATTGCAATAATGATAATGATCTCTGGTTGGCGAGATTATAAGTAATTTTAATTTTCTTCTTTTTTTTTCATGTTGTTCTATTTTCCAAGAATGAGAGTGTATTATTTTTATCATCAGAAATAAACAATGAAAATTTTCTCTTTTAGAGAATACTATTTTACAGCACTTTTCCTGCTCTCACTGAAATGGCTTCGTTTAGTTTTCTGTTGCTGCCATGACAAACAGTCACAAAGCTAGGGGCTGAAACCAATAACGGTTTATTGCCTGACAGTTCTGTAGGTCGGAAGTCTGGGACAGCTCAACTGCTTTCTCTGCTTTGGGTTCTGTAAGCCTGAAACCAAGATGTCAACCAGCTGGGTTCTTACTAAGAGGCCTGGGAAAAATCAGCAGCCAGGTTCATCTATACTGCTAGTAGTTTCCATGGTTGTGGGGCTGAGGTCCCTGTTTCCTTGCTGGCTGTCAGCTGGGAGGAGCCGTCAGAGCCCCTAGAGATCTCCCTCTGGTCCTCACATGTGGCCCCTGCATCTCAGGGCCAGTGAGCGTGCATGCCATCCATCTCAGGATCAGACTCCACTGACTTCTCTTCCTGCTGCACCCCTCTTCTGCTCCCAGCCTGAGAGTGCCCTACTGTGAAGGCCTCATGAAATTAATTTGGCCCACCCAGAGAATCCAGGACAATCTCACTATTATAAAGTCCCTAAATTTAATTACATCTGCAAAGTCTCTCTGACCATGTAACACAGCATATTCACAGGCCTCAGAGATTAGGGCATAGACATATTTGGGGGGCCCTTGTTTTGCTGATCACACACATTGTGTGTGAAATTAGAAATAAGGCATGTTGGTTGCACAACCAAGCACAAGGCTGTGCCCCCTGGGAGGTTCTCAGTTCCTTGACTGGAGTACAGCTCTTGAATGAACAAGACTGTTGTAGTCATCGCCTTTCGATAATGAGGGCAGCATTGTGCCAACACCTTGACAGAGTGATTCAAAAGTGGGTAATCTCTGTGGAGACATGATTCTCATGTTATTGTCTGGTCAGACAGCTTCACTTCATGGAAACCACCAACATTCTCATTTGTACTTTGATATTTCCACTGGGCACCTCTATCAGCAAACTGCTCAAATCTATTCATTTCCTCGGAAAGCTGTTCCATAAGTGCTAATTGAGTCTATCTTTTCAATACATTTAAAAAATAAGTGCTAGAGATGGTGCACAGAGTTAGGGAAAAAATGATGCTGGAAACAGGTGACTTTGAGGAGGGTTCATACACCACGGGGCTGTTCACAAAGGTGTGGGCGTAGGAAACTGCAAAGTAGAAAGCAAGGTGCGGTACACGCAATAATGACCCCCAAGAGGTCCACCTCCTGCTCCCCAGAACCTGTGAACATGCTGCCTTACTCGGCAAAAGAGACTTTGCAGGGTGACTGAGGATCTGGAGATGGGCAGACTGTCATGGATCACCCATGTAGTCACAGGGTTCCTCGAAAGAGGGAAGCAGGATCCTCACAGTCAGAGATGAGTGATGATGAAAGCGGAGGGTGGGCAGAGAGAGAGTTGAAGGTGCCACACTGCTGGCTCTCAGGATGGTGGAAGGGGCCATAAGCCTGGGAATGCAGGCTGACTCTAGGAGCTCCAGAGGGCACTAGCCCTTGACGTTAGCCCAGTGGGACTATTTCTGGACTCTTGTCCTCTAGAAATGTAAGATAATAAATATATGTTGTTTTAAGTGAATGAGTGTGTGGAAATTTCTTACAGCAGACACAGGTAATGAATACAGGCAGTAACCTGGGGCTCCCTGCAGTTCAGCTTCAGCACCTTCTAAGCCTCGAGGGACAAGGGTAGGCACTAGTTAGTGGAACCACAAGGAGAGCCATGGAGAGTCAGCCTTTGAGAGGAGCATAGCCTCAGGCCCACGGACACAGCCAGCTCAAGGCCAGCTGGTCAAAAGGGAGGCAGGAGAGCCCGGTGGCTCACGTCTGGAATCTTAGCACTTTAGGAGGCCAAGGCGGGCAGATCACTTGAGGTCAGGAGTTCAAGACCAGGCTGGCCAACACGGTGAAATTCCGTCTCTACTAAAATATACTAAAAATAAAAAAATTAGCCAGGCGTGGTGGCACGTGCCTTTAGTTCAGCAGCTCGGGAAGCTGAAGCAGAAGAATCGCTTGAACCCAGGAGGTGGAGGTTGCTAGTCAGCCGAGATCATACCACGGCACTCCAGCCTGAGTGTTAGAGTGAGACCCTGTCTCAAAAAAAAAAAAAAAAAGCAGGGATCAGGGGAGGCAGGAGAGTGAAACTCCAGTCTCCTTCTGGAAATCCCCATGGGATGAACCCCCAAGAAACATGGGGTAGGAATCTGTTTGTGGTCAACACCCCACAGGTCAGCGGCACCCCACAGGGTGGAGAAGGACAGAGGTTAGACATAAAGGCTGAACTGACCACACTGTACACCATGCAGTCATGAGACGTGAGAAGCGGGGTGCCCCTTGTGCTGAGTCAGAGGCAGATGCATGTCTCTGCGCCATAACTCTCAAGATCATGCCTTATTGCAGTGGTTCCCCAGCTTTGCTGAGCATTAGAATCATGAATGGAACTTGGAGAAAATATAGATGTCCAGGGCCCACCCAAGAGTAATGGAATCAGAGGCTCCCAGGGAGGGCCCCAGAGGTGTGCTGACTATTGCATTGACTTCCTAGCTGCCCTTTCTATAGTTCTTTTCCTGGCATAGCAACTCCATATCTTTACATTATATCTTGAGACTCAGTGCCTTACTTCACCACAAAAAATGTCCTTGAATCTGAGTCAAACAGATGAATCATTTGTCTATAATTCACAAGAACGTTGCATCATACAAACTTTAGAATGGACTCCTGTGAAATGATTTTCAAGCATAATATCTTCAGGTCCACAATAAATTAGAGGGGCCTTAACTTTAAACTATGCTTACACATTATTCAGCTTTTATTGGGACCTTCCCAAAACTGAGGTGGCTTACATTTGGCCTTTAAGAATATAGAATTGTCTTAACCAAAAACGTGATGTTCCCACATGGGCTAACTTGGCAAAGCAGTGGCGTTTCTTTGACTGTCCACGGCTGTATTTAGAGTTTGATTTGACTCATGTTGTCTATTTTCTCATGAGCTTCTATATTTTAGGAATGTTGCAGTTCTCTTTGAAAAGTTTGAATGCAAGTGACCCATTCATTCTGTGATCATATAATTTATTGTCGTAACTGAAGCAATTTTAAGAGTGAAAGGGAGCTATGAATAATATACTGGGCACAGCATGATACGCTGGCCCCAGCCAGGCCCGTCCAGGGCACTCAGGGATGTGTGCTCACCTTTGCTGTTCATGACCCGAGGTAGGAGACAAGGACCAAGGTCAAGGGCTGCTGCACACTCACCGCATGCAGGCCGAGGTCTGGCTTCATATGAAGCATGCTCAGGTCTTTGGTAAAAGGTCCACTCTGGCTGTGTGCAGACATGAATTGGAGGAAGTAATAGTGAAGTGGGGGCCTAGTAAGGGAGGTGGTTACCCAAGGAACAGAGCACTTGGGAAGAGGTAATGGTGGCTTACAGGATGGTGGTAGTCGAGATGGACAGAAAAGAGTAGAGGGGCTTTGCAGGGCGGAATTTATGGGAGTACCTGATGGATGGATACAGAGGAGTCAGGAGGGATTTCCAGATGTCTGGGCTGAGCAACCGGGAGAGCAGGGAGCTGCTGACCCACACAGGGGATTCTGGAGGCCAAGCATACCCTCCATGGTGGCTTCTCCAAGGGGGAGCTTCAGCCTACGGTTCCTCACACTTTTCTGGGACAGGTGGTATCCTCAGGACAAGACTCACCCACGCAGATGAGTGTTTCTGAGGATAATTGGGAAGACACCCTGCATATGTTGCACGCTGTTTCTCATGGTCCTGTCCTTCCTGCCTGATGTTGGGCTGCAGAACCCCAGTCACATGGTGCAGCTCACGCAGACCAGGCTGTCTGTGCCCTTGTGTCTTTGCCTGGGCTGTACTGTCTGCAGGAAATGCTCCTGTCCCTTCAACTTCCCCGGATCCTGCCCTGTATTTATCGAAGGATTCTTGCTGTTCCACATCTCATCCTGCTGTAGGCATCACCTGGGAGCAACCCGGGGTCTCAGCTCCTGCTGCAAGACCTGATAATCTGAACCTGCTTAGTGAAAGATCTCCAAGTGATTCATCTACCCCTTCATGTGTGAAAAGCATTGGAGGTAGCTCCTACTCATTCATCAGTGTTAAGCTCAGGGACCACCTCCTCCAGAGAGCCTTCCTTGATGTTCCCACCCTCCCCAGCCGGCTGCAGAGACAGTTGGAGCATGGGGCACAGCTCCAGCAATGCGCCGTGGCCACCTTAGTAGGCACCTCTAGCTCTAGTTTCTTCAGGTCCCAAGACAGTTCTTCACTGGGCTCAGATGACACCACATCCTCCTCCTTTTAGGTCCAGAGGTAAGACTACCTTTTCTCTAGTGCTAGCCCCTGGGAGTCTCACCATCTCTTGTCCAAGCCTTTATCTCCGCCCAGGAAACTGTCATACGAAACTGTGACAGCCCAGGAAACTTTCCTTTATCAAAGTCTCTTCATCTGCACCATTTGGAATGAACTGTTTCTTGTTGAAATCTTGTCTGATTCATCAGGCAACTCTCCTTTAGTGTATAGATAATTTAGTTGTCTTTTCTGTGTGTACAAATTGTGTACATACAAAGTTTTTCCTTTATTTATGTAAATATTAAAAAAACACTTTGTATCTCTCTTAATTCTACATTTTCTTCAGGTACTGACATAACAACTGAAAGTCCCTTCTCTCAACATTCGGGTGTTTTGTGTGTGTGTGTGTGTGTGTGTGTGTGTGTGTGTGTGTATGTGTGTAACAGAGAATGGGTTTGCCATCAATGGAAATCTTTTTGTTGATTATATAGTTTAGAAATGTTTAGACAACATTGTCTTAAAACATCAATGGTTAAGAAAAATATAAAACAAGAAACAAATAGTTATAAAATATCAACTCTCCCAGGTTAGTCAATAAATTTAGGACTAAACTAATACAAATATTAGATAGTTTGAATGTTATATTGTTCTTAAGTTTTTTTGCATTGTTTTTAAAAACAATTAAAATTTATTCAGGTAAATACTGTTACTTGTATAGATGTACAGTAACAGCTTGTGGCATTCAGAAATGAACTTTATCGTTTTAAACATCTCCACCCATCTCAAACATAAAAGGTGAACTTAAATAAAAATGCAATACTCATACCATGTAATTTAAAGGGTCCAGTGATGAGGAATTATATTTATGAGAATTACATTGATGTCTATATTTTAAAATACTAACGTAAAATTATAATGCTATACCAAACTTCAAGAAATCAAAATCGTGGCATCCCAAGTAACAATAGCTAAACTAAAAAGAGATAAATCCAGATCACTTTAAAGAGACAGCCCAGGCTGCTGTGTCCCTCTGTGGTCCCGCGCATTCAGGGCCCTACTTCTGGGAGAGTTGAGTGAAACCTGGTGGCCTGGGTCCCTGAGCCTCACAGCACCTCCCTCCTCCTTGCTGGGGACCTGATGACCCAGGGGACCCCTGCTACTTCTGGGCCTCTGTGGGCTGTGCCTGGAGAAGCAGGAGCAAAGGATCCCCCAGGGAAAGCCTGGAACTTGAAGTCCACGTCAGCCAGGATTGGCCTACTACAATCATCTTCTTTTCTTAGCTCCTGGAGCTTTCTCTCAGTGGACAGAACTGCCCTCCAGCTTTCCTGAGCTCTTTCCTCACAGATGATAATCTTCTTCTTCTTTTTTTTTTTTTTTTTTTTTTTTAGACAGAGTCTCGCTGTCGCCCAGGCTGGAGTGAGTGCAGTGGCGCGATCTCGGCTCACTGCAAGCTCCGCCTCCCAGGTTCACGCCATTCTCCTGCCTCAGCCTCCCGAGTATCTGGGACTACAGGCGCCCGCCACCGCGCCCGGCTCAGTTTTTGTATTTTTCAGTAGAGATGGGGTTTCACTGTGTTAGCCAGGATGGTCTCCATCTCCTGACCTCGTGGTCCGCCCACCTCGGCCTCCCAGCGTGCTGGGATTACAGACATGAGCCACCGCGCCCGGCCGATAATCTTCTTCTGACAGAAGGAAGTGGTCCTCTCCAATTCTTTGCTGATGTCTTTGGCCATCTCCTTGTAGAGGCTTCAAATCCGCTGTGTGTGTTCACGTTTCTACACATGCTGGGAAGTTTCTTCATCTCTAAGCTGTGTGTTTCCACCTCAGGTGATCTTCTCTGAAGTTGCACTATATGTTCTTGATGTGATTCAGGCAGGATTTGAAGCTTCAGCTGCAGGTTCTGGATCCCACCTGTGAGCCAGGATTTTTTTTTTTTTTAGATGGAGTCTTGCTCTGTTGCCAGGCACAATCTCGGCTCACTGCAGCTTCGACTTCCCAGGTTCAAGCAGTTCTCCTGCCTCAGCCTCCTAAGTAGCTGGGATTACAGGTGCACACCACCATACCCAGCTAATTTTTTGTATTTTTAGTAGAGACAGGGTTTCACCATGTTGCCCAGGCTGGTCTCGAACTCCCGACCTTAAGTAATCAGCCTGCCTCCGCCTCCCAAAGTGCTGGGATTACAGGTGTGAGCCACCACACCTGGCCCAGCTAGGAATTTTCAAATTGCAAAGATGCTTTCTCAGTTTGGAGGCATTTGATTTTTCCTGTGAGCTCTCATTCATTGCATTTTCTTCCCACAATTGCCTGGCTATTTCTTGATTTTTCTTGACTTTCACAGGACATATTTAAGTCACCATCACCCAGCAAAACTCTTCTGACTTACAGTTGGGAGGGCTGGGGCTGGGGGAGGCGGTCTTCATTTTCTGCTTTTCTCTTTAGCTCTGTTTTCTAGGTCTCGTCACCGTGGTCTCTAGGGAAATCTCGCAACTACATGGTGTCCAGCAGGTTTTCAGCCATAGATTTTAATTGGCTCATGGTATCTTTCATGACCTTTTTTATTTGTGCATTCAAAAGTTCCAGCTTTTCTTTCGCCTCCTTTTTCTGTACTCTTTGCTTCCATCTTGTAATTTCTTGGTTGAGCACTTCTGGACTTTCTGCAAAATGAGTGTTTTCATTCAAACCACCTGTTATTTTCTTCTGAAGTTTTTCTTCATCCTCCTTTGATCCTTTTAAGATGTGTCCTACATCAGTCACTTGAGAACATTTAGTAGGCTTGTTTTTTCCATGCTTTTCCCAGAAAGCCTCCTATGTCCTGCAGGGAAGACCTGTATTAATGGTTGACAAGCAGAGGGATTATAATGTTCAAGGTCTGGCCTCCATCAGGGGTGACTTGAAGGCTTCCTGGGCCTGTGCCTTGACTTCCATCCTTCTACACGTTCTGGCTGCCTTCTACATGGACCTCTTGATGGAAACAGTGTTTGGCTCAGTTCTTTTCGTGTGTCATAAAGTGTGTCATCTCTTGATGATTAAGATCACCACAGCAGCACAAACCAGGACCTCCCCAGGATGCCCAGGGACCCCCAGGTCTTCTCTCAAGCCATCACCAGCAGGGCAGCCCCCACCAGCCCCAGAGTGGCTGGAGAGACATTTGGGGACCAGCAGCCCCTCCGTGGCTCTGCCACTGCTTGCCAGTGGCCTAAGGGCCACAATGAACCATTCAGAACCCTGCAGAGTGTTCTGTCTCTAATGCAAACAAGCGCCTGGCAACCAGGACAATCAGCTGGGCTGCGGGAGGGGAGGCAGCCAGGTTCTACAAACAGTGTCCCTGACTTTGCTCTGCTCACTGCACAAATAATAATATACTAATGAAAAAAAAAAATGAAAGAGAACACAAACAAATGGAAAGACATCCCATGCTCATGGATTGAAAGAATTAATATAATCAAAATGACCATACTGCCCAAAGCAATCTACAGATTCAATGAAATCCCTATCAAAATACCAACATCATTTTTTCCCACAGAAATAGAAAAAACAGTATAAAAGAGTCTGAAAGGCCAAAGCAATTCTGAGAAAAAAGAAAAAGGCATTACACTATCTGACTTTAAAATATACTACAAGGCTATTGGTAACCCAAATAGCATGGTATTGGCATAAAAATAGACACATAGTCCAATGGAATAGACAAACCAAAAATAAATCCACATACTTGCAGTCAATTGATTTTCCATAAAAGAATGAAGAGCATGCAATGGGAAAAAGACACCCTCTTCAATAAATGATGCTGGGAAAATTAGATACTCACACATAGATGCATGAAACTGAACCTTTATCTCTTACCATGTACACAAATCAACCCAAGGTGAATTAAAAACTTGAGCATAAGACCTGAAAACATAAACTGGTAGAAGAAAACATAGCAAAAACACTTCAGGACATTGCGCTAGGCGAACAATTTATGGCTAAGACCTCAAAAACACAGGCAACAAAAACAGAAATAGAGAAATGAGACTATATTAAACTAAAATGCTTCTGCACAGCAAAGGAAACAATCTACAAAGGGAAGAGATGCCCTTTTGGATGGGAGAAAATATCTGCAAACTATTCATTTGGACAAGGAACTAATATCCAGAATATACAAAAACCTCAACAAAGTCAACAGTCAAAACAACAACAAATAATAATAATCCCATTAAAAAGTGGTCAAAACATGAATACACACTTATCAAAAGAAGACATATGACATACACACATATCAAAAGACGGGGACACACGGTTGATGGAAGTAAAAATCAGTGCAGCCACTACGAAAAACAGGATGAAGATTTCTCAAAGAAGTAAAAATAGAACTACCATGTAACTTATTTAGTGTTGAGGTGTATATGGGCTGTATTGTGTGCCCTCAAATTGATATGTTGAAGTCCTAACCCCCAGAACCTCAAAATGACACTGTCTTTGGAGGTAGGTTACTTACAGAGGTAATTGAGTTAAAATGAAATAATTAGATCTGGCCCTAATACAATATGACTGGTATCCTTATAAAAAGGGGGAATTTGGACACAGAGAGGGGCAAGGAGGGAAAGTGACATGAAGAGACACAGGGAGAAGATGATCATCTACCAGCCAATGGGAGAGAGGGCTGGAGCCAGCTCTTTCCTCACTGCACTTAAAAGGAACCAACCTTATAGACACCATGATCTTGGATTTCTAGCCTCCAGAACTGTGAAAGGATACATTTCTGTTGCTTTAAACCACCCACTTTGTGACACTTTGTTATAGTAGGTAGTCCTGGGGCATTGATACAGGAGACAGGGCATGGGAGGTGATGACCACCAGGAGGAGCAGAGACAGAAAAGGTGAAGCAAGCAAAAGGAGTGGGGTGTGTGTGTGTGTGTGCATGCGTGCACATATGCACATGTGTGTTAGTGTATAAGTGTGCGTGTGTGTGTGCATGTGAATACCTGTGTGCACACACGCACATGTGTGTATACATATGTATGTCTATGTGTGTCTCTGGAAGTGTGACTGCACACATGTATGTGCAAGTGGGTTGTGTGTGTGCATGTGTGTTCTTGGGATCCTGAACTGTCTTAATCCCAACTGAAGGGCTGATTTACAGAGACACTTAAGCACATGTGACCCCGGCCCCCATCACAGTGTTGGGTAGGGTGATGCCCTGTGGCCTCTTGTTGTGATACAATTGCTGACATGCAGCGATCAGGAGCAACTGGTTATTTTGGCTCCACCCACAGACATAGTTGAAGTGCTGGGCTCCACACTTCTCACTTTAGGGAGACTCCTATACCATTGCCTCTTTCCTCCAGGGCTCCTTCACTAGGAAGTGGCTTCCAGAAAGCGTGGGCAGCCTGGCTTCCAGTGATCTGCAGATTCCCAGAGGCTGATATTGAACCATGGTTGGGATTTGCTCTGGGGTCCATACATAGCTTGAGAAAACAGAAGCCCCAAGGTATGCAAATTTGACCCAAAATACAAGTCTGATTCCTGAGGACCTGAGAATTAGAAATGAGATGCTAATTCCTTAGGATGAGCTTCATCCAGAGGGTGGGAAGGCGTGGAGCACCTGCAGCACTATTGACAACTACTAGGGTCAACAGGAAGCCAAAGGAGGGTACCCTGTGAGGGAACATCCGGCCACTCAGCTGAGCTCCAGCCCTCTGAGCCCTCCCCTATTCCCAAGCCACAGTCTGCATCTCAGGCACAAGGAATCAGGGACCACGGATGAGTCAGGATAAGCCTCTCCAATTTCTTTTTAGGGGGTTCACCTCTCCGAGCTTCAGTTTCCACATCTGTAAAATGGGCATAATAAAACCAATCTCCCAGGGTCACAGGGAGGTGTAAGTGAGATGACAGATGAAAGTGAGCTTTGAAAATGGCGCCATATTTCCCAATTAACTAATTACATGCTTACACTGCAATGAAAAATAACCTCTTCCAGAACCAAATTGGGTGGAGTTTACCAGCAAATCATAAAAGTGTTTCTCATCAGAGCTTTACAGGCTACAGCAGACAGGCAATCTTTTTTGCTTAAGAGCTCATTTTTTTGTTTACTTATCTTCGTTTGCTCCCACCTCCACTTTCTTTCCTCCAACCAACCCACCTTCCTCCGGGCCACAGTCTTTGCTGGATCTGTGCTTCTGACCTTATGCCACTCAAACATACATGTGTGCTGAGCCCCAGGTCTATGTCTGGACAGTATGAAGCCATAGACACAGAAACAGCTAGCAAGAGTCAGATGTGGTAATCCCAGGCAGTTTTGCCATCTGAACATGACTTTGAGAAATGGGGAGGGGGCAGTTACTCATAGTACATGGAACAGAGGTCATGTCCATTCCAGTTGCCAAGATGTCATCACCTCAGCTATGACCAAAAATGGTCTTTCCCCTAATGTTAAATTTCAAGCAGAAGTCACATGTCCAGACTCCGCCCAGGAGTTACAAAAGAGTTGCACAATAAGGGGTTTCCCCCTGCACTGCTTCAAGACTCACCCTTCTGTTTTGCTGTTACAGAAAAGACAGATTAATATCTGGCCCAGATTATGAGATTCTTGCATCTGTTCGAACTCAGCTAGCTGCCAGCAGCTGCTGTAAATGAGGGCTGTGTGTTCTTTGGGTAGGAGGTTCCTGATAATTTAAAATTCAAATCAAGGGCTGTGGCCTCTGGTTTGTGGAAGGAGGAACTAGAAACTTGAAGGAGCCCTAGGTAGCATCTGGGGCAGCATTTATAATGACTTCAACCAAACATGACAGGGTTATTTTGGCCAGAGGACAACACCAGAAAACAGAAGACCAGGGTTTGAGTCTTGGTTCAGTTAAGTACTTGTTTCATCACTGAACTCTGCCCCTGGATTTCTTCTGATGAAAATGGAGACATGATTGTCTGGGATCCATATTTTCTTTGCAGATCCCCTGGCTCAAACACACCTTCCTTGGCGTGCTCTGTTCAAATAGCACCCCCATCCCAGGTTACTGACTTTACACAATCTTATACCCCCAATAGATCAATCCCCCCAACAGCCACAAATGACCTGGCTTTATGGAGGGGAAACTGAGGCAGAGAGTGATTAAATTGCATACCCAAGGTCACAAATAGTGCCTGACAGACCCAGTGACAGTGATAATCCAAGGTCCATCTCCAAATCACAACAAATCCTCCTGTTAACTTGCTTGATATTTCAGGAGAGGTGATGGGGCAGCTTGCTCCCTCTACCTCTTGCCACAGTTCCTGCTCCACTTCCTCTGGCCCTCAAGCCCTGTGCTCCCGCCCAGCAGCCCCATTAAAGCCTGAATCATTCCCAGTGACAAGTGTCCACCATGTGGAGTTCTGGAGCCCTATCAGGAAAGAAAGCTGGTAGGGTGTTATTTCTGAGGGCTCTGTTCTGTTCCATTGATCTATATCTCTGTTTTGGTACCAGTATCATGCTGTTTTGGTTACTGTAGCCTTGTAGTGTAGTTTGAAGTCAGGTAGTGTGATGCCTCCAGCTTTGTTCTTTTGGCTTAGGATTGACTTGGTGATGCGGGCTCTTTTTTGGTTCCATATGAACTTTAAAGTAGTTTTTTCCAATTCTGTGAAGAAAGGCATTGGTAGCTTGATGGGGATGGCATTGAATCTGTAAATTACCTTGGGCAGTATGGCCATTTTCACGATATTGATTCTTCCTACCCATGAGCATGGAATGTTCTTCCATTTGTTTGTATCCTCTTTTATTTCCTTGAGCAGCGGTTTGTAGTTCTCCTTGAAGAGGTCCTTCACATCCCTTATAAGTTGGATTCCTAGGTATTTTATTCTCTTTGAAGCAATTGTGAATGGGAGTTCACTCATGATTTGGCTCTCTGTTTGTCTGTTGTTGGTGTATAGGAATGCTTGTGATTTTTGCACATTGATTTTGTATCCTGAGACTTTGCTGAAGTTGCTTCTCAGCTTAAGGAGATTTTGGGCTGAGACAATGGGGTTTTCTGGATATACAGTCATGTCATCTGCAAACAGGGACAATTTGACTTCCTCTTTTCCTAATTGAATACCCTTTATTTCCTTCTCCTGCCTAATTGCCCTGGCCAGAACTTCCAACACTATGTTGAATAGGAGTGGTGAGAGAGGGCATCCCTGTCTTGTGCCAGTTTTCAAAGGGAATGCTTCCAGTTTTTGCCCATTCAGTATGATATTAGCTGTGGGTTTGTCATAGATAGCTCTTATTATTTTGAAATATGTTCCATCGATACCTAATTTATTGAGAGTTTTTAGCATGAAGGGTTGTTGAATTTTGTCAAAGGCCTTTTCTGCATCTATTGAGATAATCATGTGGTTTTTGTCTTTGGCTCTGTTTATATGCTGGATTACATTTATTGATTTGCGTATATTGAACCAGCCTTGCATCCCAGGGATGAAGCCCACTTGATCATGGTGGATAAGGTTTTTGATGTGCTGCTGGATTTGGTTTGCCAGTATTTTACTGAGGATTTTTGCATCAATGTTCATCAAGGATATTGGTCTAAAATTCTCTTTTTTACGGCTACCTGATCTTTGACAAACCTGAGAAAAACAAGCAATGGGGAAAGGATTCCCTATTTAATAAATAGTGCTGGGAAAACTGGCTAGCCATATGTAGAAAGCTGAAACTGGATCCCTTCCTTACACCTTATACAAAAATCAATTCAAGATGGATTAGACTTAAACGTTAGACCTAAAACCATAAAAACCCTAGAAGAAAACCTAGGCATTACCATTCAGGACATAGGCATGGGCAAGGACTTCATGTCTAAAACACCAAAAGCAATGGCAACAGAAGACAAAATTGACAAATGGGATCTAATTAAACTAAAGAGCTTCTGCACAGCAAAAGAAACTACCATCAGAGTGAACAGGCAACCTACAGAATGGGAGAAAATTTTCGCAACCTACTCATCTGACAAAGGGCTAATATCCAGAATCTACAATGAACTCAAACAAATTTACAAGAAAAAAACAAACAACCCCATCAAAAAGTGGGCGAAGGACATGAACAGACACTTCTCAAAAGAAGACATTTATGCAGCCAAAAAACACATGAAAAAATGCTCACCATCACTGGCCATCAGAGAAATGCAAATCAAAACCACAATGAGATACCATCTCACACCAGTTAGAATGGCCATCATTAAAAAGTCAGGAAACAACAGGTGCTGGAGAGGATGTGGAGAAATAGGAACACTTTTACACTGTTGGTGGGACTGTAAACTAGTTCAACCATTGTGGAAGTCAGTGTGGCGATTCCTCAGGGATCTAGAACTAGAAATACCATTTGACCCAGCCATCCCATTACTGGGTATATACCCAAAGGACTCTAAATCATGCTGCTATAAAGACACATGCACATGTATGTTTATTGCGGCATTATTCACAATAGCAAAGACTTGGAACCAACCCAAATGTCCAACAATGATAGACTGGATTAAGAAAATGTGGCACATATACACCATGGAATACTATGCAGCCATAAAAAATGATGAGTTCATGTCCTTTGTAGGGACATGGATGAAATTGGAAATCATCATTCTCAGTAAACTATCACAAGAACAAAAAACCAAACACCGCATATTCTCACTCACAGGTGGGAATTGAACCAATGAGAACACATGGACACAGGAAGGGGAACATCACACTCCGGGGACTGTTGTGGGGTGGGGGGAGGGGGGAGGAATAGCATTGGGAGATATACCTAATGCTAGATGACGAGTTAGTGGGTGCAGCACACCAGCATGGCACATGTATACGTATGTAACTAACCTGCACAATGTGCACATGTACCCTAAAACTTAAAGTATAATAAATAAATAAATAAATAAACAAATAAATAAATAAAGCTGGTTGAGTGATGTTGGGGAGAGCCAGGACATGGGGGAGAGCCAGGATGTGGGGCAGAACTGACGGAAATGTAATTCTGCTTCTTCCCCGCCATGGAAAAGGCGGGCAGGCAGGCCCCATGACTTCATCTCTGCACAATCCCAGTTTTGAAGATGTTCCGAAAAATGATTTCTCTAAATACTTATTTCCCTTCCCTTTCCTCTTTTCTTCTAAGTTTCAGAAAAACTGTGGCAAGACCAGGTGCAGTGGCTCATGCCTATAATCCCAGCACTTTAAGAGGCCAAAGCAGAAGGATCCCTTGATTTTAGGAGTTTAAAACCAGCCTAGACAACATAGGGAGACCCCATCTCTACAAGAAATTTAAAAATCAGATGGGTCTGGTGGTGCATGCCTGTAGTCCCAGCTACTCAGGAGGCTGAGATGGGTGGATCACTTGAGTCCAGGAGGTTGAGGTTACAGTGGGCTGTGATCATGCCACTAAACTCCAGCCTTGGCAACAAAGCAAGACCCTGTCTCAAAAAAAAGTGGCAAAATATACATTTTTTGTTTCCTGAAACAGATTTGGAATTGGACTGGAGCATGGAAAAGAACAAAGATAGAAGGATGGCAGGAAAAGGGCTTTGAGAGTATCCATTTCACCCTGTGTGAAGGAACTTTTCTTTATCATGCAGACTAGACAATTCTTCTTGATTTAAACAAGAAATGCTTCCTCCTTACCTGGCTATGAAAAGGTCAGAAGACTGGAAGCACGGACACTGGATTTGGGAGGCCAAAGGCTAATTTTCCCTACCTTCGCTTTGTCCTCCAGAGATCCACCACTTTTGCTCTGAGTGAGCCTCTCTTCTTTCTAGAACGATTGTCAAAATGTGCCCCACAGACTCTGAGGTCTCCGAGACCCTTTCAGAAGGATCCTCAAGGTTAAGACTATTTTTACAAGGATACAAATCCACGCTTGACTTTTTGACCTTTGCTATGATGGTATAAAAGCACAGGTGGTTTTGCACTATGGTGCTGAACCAGAATCACGTGAACCGGAACAGTTGGCAGTCACTGTGTCACTGCACTCTCCACCACCACCATGCACTTGCAGAAAAAAAGAAAAGAAAAAATAAGAGTTTCACTCAAGAATTTTTTTTTTTTTAAGACAGAGTCTCGCTCTGTCACCCGGGCTGGCTGCAACCTCCACCTCCCAGGTCCAAGTGATTCTCCAACCTCAGCCTCCAAAGTAGCTGGGACTACAGGCATGTGTCACCGCATCTGGCTGATTTTTGTATTTTTAGTAGAGATGTGGTTTTGTCACGTTGGCTAGGCTGGTCTCGAACTCCTGGCCTCAGGTGATCCGCCCACCCCAGCCTCCCCAGGTGTTGGGATTACAGGTGTGAGCCACCACACCTGGCCTCAAGAATGCTCTTGATGAAGCAGTAAAAACTTATTTTTTACTAATGGAAAACACATCTTTTTAATTTCTGTGTAATAAAATGGAAAGTACACTTAAAGAACTGGTCTGCACACATACTGAAATATGGTGATTGTTGTAAGGAGATGCAATTGTGTATTTGAGTTGCAAGCTAAACTGTCCACTCTATTCATGAATATCACTTTTATCTGAGAGAATAACTGGCAAATTATTCTGATTTGGGTATTTGGCTGGTCCTTCCTCAAAAACTAAATAAAGTGAGCCTGTCGCTTCCCCCCCAAAATGGTGGGAAGAGACACGTAGCTCTTGGGAGAACGCAGTGAGCTGGCTCTAGCACACCAATGAATATAAGCTTTTTGGCGTACTCACTAATTTTGAAGCATGTAAAAAGAACAAATTTGAAAACAGGTGTCCTAAGACCACCATCACCTTAACAACGTCAGAGTCCACTGAGGGGACAGAGTGTTGTGGCCTCAGTTCCAAAAGTACTTAAACCTCAAATTCTAATGTAGTTAGTATAAACATCCGAGAATCTCTCCTCAAATACTTAGGGGTATTTGTTGCTGATTATAAAATTTGAGGTTTCAAGTGAAAATTTGAATTTTAAAAAGTGTGTATCCACCACTGTGAGTTTGATAGTTTCCCAGTAATTTTCTGATGTGATTTGTGGTGATATTAAGTAATGTAATTGTTGAATATTATATTTTGAAATGTGTTAACATTTTGAAGCAATATTTTCCAAGTGACCAATGCAGGATGTTACAAAATCACACACGGCTAAAAGATCTGTTCAAAGTGCAACGTAGGCCAATGGAATTTAATGTAACCTTAGGAAAGTTTATTAATATGGTTTCATACCTGAATTGCAACTAAGGAATTATACTTTGTTAAGTTTTGGCATAGTAAAGAAAGAATATCTACAATTATCTGAAATAGTCTTAAATGCTCCTCCTTGTTTCTGTTACATATCTGTTAGGCCGGATTTTCTTCACATACTCTATCAAAATATATGCAAACAGATTGAATGCAGAAACAGAAGAATCCAGCTCTAATACTAAACCAGACATTAAAGAGATTTGCAAATGTGAAACAATGCCATGCTAACTTTTTAAAAAATAATTACTTTTTGCAAGAAAAAAATGCTGTTAATGCCAATAAGTAAAATTATTTTTAAATGAATTCTTTTAAAATTTACTTTAATTTCTAATATGGAAATTATTGATAGATATAACCAGTAGAGTGTTGGTAAATGTTTAACAATCAGCACTCTGGGGGAGAGAAGGCCCTGATTTGTAGTGTCTGCTGATTCCCATGGTGTAAATACTCTCATCACGCCCCATCTCAAGCTACCATTACTGATGCGATGATGGGAAGGGACATGTAGCTCTCGGGAGAACACAGTGAGCTGGCTCTAGCGCACCAATGAATATAAGCTTTTTGGCATACTCACTAATTTTGGAGCATGTAAAGAGAACAAATTTGAAAACAGGTGTCCTAAGACCACCATCACCTTACCAATGTCAGACTCCACTGAGGGGACAGAGTGTTGTGGCCTCAGTTCCAAAAGTACTTAAACCTCAAATTCTAATGTACTTAATATAAACATTCCAGAATCTCTCCTCTGTTATCTCTGCCAAGCTTCTGGCAAAGAAAGACATTTGAATCTTTCTATTATAACACTTTCTTAAAAGAATTTTTTGTTTTGAAAGAGAGCACTTTTTGGGAATTCTTTTAGGAAGGGCTCAAAGTTGATTCCAATTTGGGTTGTGGTTTCTAAGTGACTTGTGTATAAACCAGTTAAACAGAGACTTGCCGCTTGATGATGGAATGTTTTGAGTAGAGAATGGATCTGGGGTTAACATCCTTCCTCCAACTCCTTCATGCTGGGTGTGGAGAGGAAGAACGAGGACTATCACAAAGAATTTATATAAACAAAATACTTTATTATTGAGAGAGTAAAGGCCCAATTACAAAATTTTTATACTTAAGATCTGTTTATTACCATGCCAATGGTTTATAAGGACTGTAGTTTCCATAACTGTTAGGCTGAACCCCATGAAACTCCTTCTTTGTAGATAAAAGCCAGCCTAATATTGGCAATTTCACGTGGTTCAACCTCACATACAATGAGCCACTGCCTAGGATTCTTTTGGCAGCAAGATGTTCCCAGTCACATGTCTGTTTATATTATAAACAGATGTCCAAGTGATAAATACATCCCTCTTGAGAAAAACATCCTGTGCTTATGTATACTGGGAATGGTCTTTTGTGGGTATTGAGGCAGCGCAGCTCTGGCTTTGCTCTTCCCAGCTTGCCCGGCCACCCGATTCCTCAGTTTCATCACAGGAGGATTCTTTACAGATGTCAGCCACCCGTCCAAGGCCACGCAGCTAGTAAACAGACAAGCCTGTCGGACTTTGAAACCAACTTGACCGGGTCATTTATAAAGGCCGGGAATACACATGACTCAGGTGCTCTTTTGAAACGACTACAAAAGTCTCCATTTTGATCAAAACGTTTTCTCCGAATGAATGGCTCCGATGCTTTCTCTTTCCCATCTTAAGTCCCCGCTCTGTGCCTCAGAATAGTCTGTGTCCAAGAAAATAAGAATCACGTCATCTTGCTGTGGACACTGAGCAAAAAGGAGCAGCATGCTATTAAGATGGTTGAGACACACGAGTGAACAAAGATGGGACAAACTGTGCTTCGTTCAAGAGGTTTCATCAAGACCCCTACCGCCCCCCGTCCTTCAGCTCTGTACAGTAACTTTAACTTTACATAGAGCTGAGATAAAAATAAAGCTTTCTTACAAATTACATTTTTTTTCCAGTGAATTACTTTTGCAGTAAAAATAGCTGCTACATAAATCCCTCCTGATCTCTGAAAAGGAGTTGCATATTTCCAAAAATAATATTCTTATTTTAATCACACAGAAGAACGTGGAGCACAGGAAGGAAATGGCTGGGTGGTCAGAGAGAGGTGAGCTGTCGGAGAAACACAGTTAAACTAAAAAATAAAATCCATTTTGTGTATAAACTGACTTAAACGCATGCAAAGAAGTGGAAAACATATGCCATTTGTCAAGAAAAATACTGCTTTATAGCTTTTACTTTACAATTAAAGGAGAAAGCAGAGGCCAGATATAAGCCCAGATAATAACATTTAAGTTTCTCATAAAAACTCCCAAATGTACAAAGTCCTTGCCAGACAACCAAGGCAAGAAAACCCCCCAAAAACAAACAAACAAACAAACAAAAAAACACAAAAAGCAGGGATTACCCCCCACAGGCCTTATCCCTGTAAGTCTATTAAATGTAAATAATACATACTTTACAACTTCTCTTAGTCGGCCCTTGGCAGATTAAATCTTTGCAAAATTCCATATGTGCTATTGAAAAATGAAATAAAACCTCAGATGTCTGAATTCTTATTTCAAATACAGTTATATAATTATTTTAAATTACAATATACAATTTCTGTTAAATACAACTGTTAAGGGATTCTGAGAACAATTATAAGATTATAATAATATATACAAACTAACTTCTGAAATGACATGGTTGTTTCCTTCCCACCCTCCTACCCTCTCAAAGAGTTTTTGCATTTGCTGTTCCTGGTTGCAAAAGGCAAAAGAAAATCTAAAAATAGTCTGTGTGTGTCCACGACATGCTCGCTCCTTTGAGAATCTCAAACAGCCAGAACCATCCCGTCCCACGGACTGCCAGGCGCCAGGACGGCTTCCTGGTGCCTCTTTCTCGACCATTTTCACTTAAAAGCACTGTGAGTAGAATTAGCTGTGCCGTTGCTGCCACAAGGGAGGCAGCCTGGTCAAGAGGCGTGGTTTGGGATGCAATAAGGCCACTGCTTCTTGGCCACTTTCCTGGACATTTTCAATCCTGCCTTTCCTGGGTCCTCGGAGCAGCTGGTCAGGATGGGCTTCCCACTCAGTCCACGAGCCTGGGGCCGGCTCAGGGTGGTCCCGGCGACCTCAGTCCTCCGTGTCGGGCTGGACGCCCAGGATGGCGTGCAGTTCCTCGGGCGTGAACCCCAGCAAGTTCTGGAGGTCGCACACGAAGCGGTACACGTAGCGCTTCCCCGACGTCTTGTGGATGATGTTCTTGTCGTAATAGTAGCGTAAGCCCCGGCTCAGCTTCTCGTAGTTCATCTTGGGCTTATTTTTCCTCTTTCCCCACCGGCGGGCCACCTTTGGTGAACATGGATGGAAAAGAGTTAAACTCAATTTGTCAATGAAGAAAAAGTGAATGACATTCCTCCCTGATTATGATTCTGAGGCATGTTCACTCTAGAGAGAACTTGACACCTACACAAGGTCCGCAGGAGGACCTTTTGAGTACCTCTGAGTACCTTTGAGTACCTATGGTAGGGGCACTGTGTCCCCAAGGGGCAGAACCACTGGGGAATGAGGTCCCTGCTCCCTGGCCCCAGCTCAGTGAAACCTCCTGGGAGCCAAGGGTTCAGAGCCAGGAGGGTCCTGAGACCAGGGAAAGGTGGTGTCACCCACCCTCCAGGCTGGATATTCCAACTACTGAAGTTAACAGGTGCCGAGTGGGATTCTGAGCTGTGTGATATACTCATTCCTCAATGCTTGTCTCCCAAGGGAACTGGAGGCGGGGTGGGAATGGTGACAGATTACGCTCCCCAGTGCCAGAGACCAAGGGCTTCTCTCTAACGCTTTTCTGGCGGGGTTGGTATCCCACCTGCCCTTGGCCTTCTCCTTTAGACAGGGCTCCTGGTTCTAACTCTGCAGGGCTGGGGTCAACACTGCTGGGCTCAGCTAAGGAGTGGACAGAAGGCTGGCTCGGGGCCACATGAGGCTTGTTCCCCCGATGGACAAGGGCAGCCTTCCTAAGGCATTTTCAGATGGTCAGCAGAGAACCTCAGTTTGCAGCTTGGGCCTCTTGATCAGACAACTGATCAAGACAGTGAAATCTGTGCAACGCCCTTGTATGAAGCATACCCAGAAAACACTGTACACGTTTATCAACAAAGCAATGACTCCACTTCCATTTTCCCAACAGCCAAGGATGCCTCACGTGGAAAGATTCTCAGCAGTACTGGTGAACCCTTTTTTGTGCCCAAAGAACTGAGTTTTTGAATGCAAGCAGGAAATCAGGTTTTCAAGCCCAGAGATTTCCCAGGGCTCTGGCCATACCTCATCGGGGTCGGCGAGCTTAAACTCCCATCCGTCTCCAGTCCAGCTGATGAATGACTGGCAGGATTTGTCTGATAGCAGCTCCAGGAGAAACTGCCACAGCTGAATAGGTCCACTTCCTGCGGGGAGAGGGAGGGAGACGGATCATACCCTTTCACAGATGTAAAATACAGCAAGTCTTTAACCATCCTAATTGTACATGCTGATTTAGGAATGCAGACCCAACTCTCTGAATGGGGTTCCGATGTTACACTCAGGGTGGCACTCAAGGTGTTGGTGACAGTACTAAGTGCTTTAACGGGATGGGGCGGGGCACCAAATGTGAGTTCCTGCTCCACACTGCCTACTCCTAGAAAATAAGGTCACTAGGCGAGACACTCTTCCCCTTGATTGCTAGGTTTGTTCTTTCTGGAAGAAAGTTTAGGGCCACCAACTCTTGGCATTAAAATTCCCCATCTGGTTTAATTGTTCCTTATGTAAAAACCTTCAAGGTTTTTTTCTAGAAACACCCAGTGGGGCAGAGATGGGGGTGGCTGAGGGGGTGTTTCATCACAGAATGAGGCGTGTCATACGTGGGATCCCATGCCACCTTCCTGCCAAATGACCATGTGTAAATTGCTTAATGTGAGCCCGGTTTACTCAATAGCCACGCGGGGTCACACCCGTTGCCTCACAGCCTCTGTCTGGTGAAGCATGCTTTGCCAAGAGCTTCTCGTCCACCTGTCCTCGATTGACATTTAGAACTACCACCTTGCAAAGCAGGTGTCAGTGTGGTTCTGTTCTAAAGAGGAGGGATAAGATGCGGCTCAGAGGCCAGGTGCCTTGTCCTGGATCACACGCCCATCACAGCAAACAGGAGAAGAGCCTAGATCTTCCGACCCTAAGCCCAACCTCTTTCTACCAAATAGCTCTTCCTCAGAAACGCAATGGCCGTTATCAATAAAGCTTTGCTGTAAAGCACGGGACAGGCATTCTAGAACCAGAGCTGTGTGAGCACCGATAGCTGTCTGCCTGTGAGCCAATTTCCCCATCTGTAAAATGGCCTCATACCACCCCCATGCCAGGCTGTCCTACAGACTGTATGCCTACTTAACTACAGAGTTGGCAGTCAATAAACAGAAACTTATGTTACTATTAAAATGAACCACACTAACGTTATGGCTGTTTATTCTTCTCAGGCCCTAAACTCCCAATAATGAAACCGATAATGGCTTTCACACACTCTTTCCGTGTATTTTAATACGTTTACGTGGCTGATTGTTCTTAGATGACAGAAAAAGAATGAATGCCTCAGTATCCTTATTTTAAACTTATCAGATTTTTTTAAGTTAGGTAATTTCAATCCACAGTGGCTCCATATGGTTAAAAAAACAAAAACAAAAACGCATTTAAGGATACACGAAGCAGTGAAAACAAAGCCCCAGTATTTTCGCTAAAGTACTGGAAATACCTGTTTCTAAAAACAGCTTTATATTTGTCCACTGCCTAGAATAGCTCTCACCCAAACCTCAAAAATAAGAGCAGATAGATTTTAGAAGCAAGAAAAGGTAAACAGTGCCCATATTATTTGAGACTGGCTCTGCTGCCCCTCCCTAAGCCAGTTTACATTCTTTGAGATTCTTGGAGTGGGTGAGTCAGGGCTGAAGACTGCACAGGCCATGTCCCCTGCTCCAACTATTCCTCAGAACGTCCCAGGTGGAGGGAGTGGCCTGTCAATTTTCACTCATTCCATGGAGCTCTGTGTACATGAAAATTCCTCCAAGTGTGGCTTTTGTCGAATTCAGAGATACAGCAAGCCACGCATAAAACATGGAGTGTAGAGCACTGGTGTACCTAGCTTAGAAACACCCTCGGTGAATGTGGTACTGTGGCTCGAAAGGAAGCAAGGGACAGGACCCAGGAGACTGGGCGGCCAGGCTCTCGGAGTTCCACACACACCTGTGAAGCCGGCCAGCACAGCTGCAGGTATAACTGGTTTGCCTTGCTCCACTGGGTCACTCCTCTCTTGGATGTAATCCTTGAAAGACATGGTTGGCTTATTGAGGCAGAGAGACTGGCTGCAGTCATCTTCGAAGCTCTCGAAGGAAGGAACCCGTTGCACATCCAGCAAGGACGACTGGCTGTTCCAGGACTGGAGGAGGGAGTCTGAGCTCTCGAAGCTGTCCGCACCGTTCTCAGGGGAGTCGTGGTCTTTGGGAGTCCCTGGCAAAGACAACCAAACACATACTTTGATTCCTCCAGGACACAGTTGGTCTTGGGCACGACCATAGCATCACCAACCACTACCAGTGCAATCATGCACCTGCTGGTGTAGAACCACTCAGACTTCTCAAAATGCTCTCTACTCAGGTGCTTATTCCTTAGGGTAACTATACTACACAAATCCTATCTTCCATCAACAGTAGAATGAATAAAATTCTTATAATGGAATACTATACAGCGATGAAAAAGAACACATGGCTGCTACATCCAACAACATGCATGAATCCCAGACATGATGAGTAAAAGACAAACACAAAAGAAAACATGCCTTATGATTCCATCTATGTAAAGTTCAAGAAAATCAAAACCTAATCCGTAATGATAAAAGTCAGAATCGTTCCCTTCTGTCGGGGGGACATTATTGATGGGAAGGGGTACGAAGGAATCTTCCAGGCTACTGGAAACTTCTCTATCTCCATCTGGATGGTTATTACATGGGTATACATACATACACAAATCCAACCAGCCACATGACCTGAGACTTGTGCACTGTATTTATGTTACATCTCCATAAGAAGAAATGTCACATTCCTGCATCGCCTCCATAAATATCCCAAAGTGTGGAGAAATCTGGCTGTAAGAGCAGGGACTGTTTTGTTTACTCAATGCCTGCAGTACCTGGGCCAGTGCCTGAAACATATTAGGGGTATGCTTGTTGGAAATCCACTTAGAACATGGGCTTTGACCCCCTTCTCTAATGGCTGAATCCAGGAAGTATTTATTAAGAGGTTCATTATGGCTCTGGGGTTCTCAGAATCAAAGCAACAGCCTTGTTGAAAGATGCTTCCAATCTTACCAGAATTGTTGGTGAGCAAATTCAAGTTGCTGCCTGGGAAGTCCTGACTGACAGAGCAGTAGGTGACGCTGACGGAGCTGAGCCGAGACTTGGGGAACATCTGAAACTCCTGCTCAGAGCTGAGTACGCTGGGTGTGGAGGCCGGACACATGCTGTCCAGGAGGCCGCCTTTGGGGTAATTCTGTGTCTGCATTCCATAGGGCGCCTGCTCTGTGCCAAAACCTGGAACAGAACAATCGGACGGCAGAGCTCTTAAAGTCAGTGTTACCCCAGTAACTAACCCCTACGAGCAAATGACAGGTGAGCACTCCGCACACTCCAGCCCTCTGCAGAACCTCAGTGGAGACCCGGGCTTTGGTGGGGGTCTGTCACCAGGCCTTCTTCTCAAACCATTCAGCTTCTCAACCAGCAGCCCTCTGCCAAAATGACTGCAGCCTCTGCAGGCAGGACTCAATGTTCCTATTTCTACAACCCTAGTGCTTTCATGGGACCTTCAGGAAGACAGGGCTCACTGGCTCTTTTAGCTTCCGAGGAGAGTAAGGCTCAGACAGACCAAGTGACGTGTCATGTACTGTGTGATTCATAAGGGCAGAACCAGGCCATGAACCCTGTGTGCTGAGGCACAGCCCACTCTGCTTTCTGCTCCTTCATCACACCGCTCCTGTCTCTGTTCATTGCAGAATAATTTATTTTCTGGAGAGGGAAGGAAGCTCTCTGACTCTGATTCAGGTTCAGGCAGGCACAGGGTGTCCCACTGTCATGTTCAGAAAGACCTCCTGAGCAGGAAGCCCCCAGTGGGGCAGAGAGGTGGGCTTCACCGGGTCTGAATGGTGGAGCTGGGGCCAGAGAGAAAACACTGGGCCGGACCAACACCACCCAAGCCTGCTGTTCCGAGGACCCCTCCCTCGCTGGCCTGGCCAGACCCTGTGCCCTCCCCAGTATCAGCAACCAGAAGAAAGGACCCAGATTCCATGACAGCTCTTTAAGCTCCCAAGTTCAGAGCCAGTTTACAAATTGCTTTTCACGCACTCTGTGCCTGCCGCCTCTTGTTTGCTACACTAAACCAACATTACTGGTGACTGCGGTAATCAGCTCACTTCGTTCTGCTCCTTGCTCTAAGAATTGCCTGGACTAGCACTAACAGTGCTGACCTATGGAAGATCGTGTGAGCCACTTAAGCAACTGCGAAAGTTCTAGTGGCCATATTAAAAAAGCAAAAAGAAACAGGTGAAGTTAATTTTCTTATTTTACTTGGCCTCATATAGCAATTATCATTTCAATATGTAATCAATACATTAAAAATTATCAGGGAGACATTTTATATTCTCTGTTTCATACTAAGACTTCCAAATCTGGTGTGCATGACTATACTCTTCCTACACATCTCGATGTGGACCAGTCACATTTCAATGGCTTATAGCTCAACACCCACGTGTGGCCACCATAAGAGACACACAGGTCTAGGTGGCCCCTTAGGAGCCTACAGTAGAGAGATTCCAAGTCTACTGGGAAGACTGAAGACAAAGTTCTTAAGGGCAGAATCAATCGGACTGACCTAATGTATTGCTGTTAATCCAATGAGGAACGGAGGTGAGGTGTGAATTTTCTTCATATTGATCTTCTGTCTTTTCTTGGTTTTCTGAAAAGCAGACACAGGAGACGTAAGATGGCAGATGTAGGTGAAAACTACACAGAACAAATTGACTTTCTGAATTCCTGTGAGATGATAATTTTAGAATGATGAGATGCACGGAGTGCTTCACATTTAATCTCATGGTGCTCCACGTCCCTGCCTGTCTTTTTCAAAAAACGAGAGAAAGCAACCCATTTTTCCAATTACTAAAATAAATTTTCCAAAATGAATGATGTCATTGGCAACACTAAATTTTCTATCGCAAAAGGTCCAGATGGTGTATTGAATTCATTCATGCATTCAAGAAACAGTTAAGTATTTATGAAATGCCATCTGTACCAGAGGCTGCATACAGGAAATTAATAAAATGGATGGTGTCTGCCCCCGTGAAGCTTACAGTTCCACTGCTTCCAAACCTGCACGCTTCCCCAGGGTGTGGGAAGTCTCCAGGGCTGTGGGAGTCTGGGATGGGGAACACATGTGCCCAAGAACTTTGAAAGGGAAAAGGTTTGTGCACTGTGTATGCATACTTACTACGAATATATTACAAAGTGCACGTCCACCCGGAAACCCAAATACACACAAACTCACAGGCCCGAGGAATGGTAAAACAGGCCCAATTTGCCAATAAACAGATCACCAGAAACTTGGTAGAAAAGCCCTGTCCAAGTTCAGAAGAAATGAGGGTCTTTAAAAATGAGTTTCCCTGGCCCTCAGACGCCGTAACTAAAAAAAGTTAGCTGTTGAATCCTAGGTGTTTTCGAGATTCTGAGTCTACAGTTGATGCTGAAATTCAGTGTGTTTAAAATCAGTCAGGTGAGGACTAGTTCCCTGAATTCTATAAACATGCTTATTTTCTTATATTTTTTTAACCTAAATAATCCCTACTGTATTTTATTTCTTTCCCTCCCTCCCTCCCTCCCTCCCTCCCCTCCCTCCCTCCCTCCCTCCCTCCCCTCCCTCCCTCCCTCTTTCTTTCCTTCCTTCCTTCCCTCCCTCCCTCCTTCCTTCCTTCCTTCCTTCCTTCCTTCCTTCCTTCCTTCCTTCCTTCCTTCCTTCCTTCCTTCCTTCCTTCCTTTCAACAGAGTCTCACTCCCACAGGCTGGAGTGCAGTGGTGTGATCTCGACTCACTGCAACCTCTGCCTCCCGGGCTCAAGGGATTCTCCTGCCTCAGGCTTCCGAGTATCTGGGATTACAGGCATGTGCCACTATGCCCAGCTAATATTTTTATTTTTTGTATTTTTAGTAGAGACAGGGTTTCACCATATTGGCTAGGCTGGTCTTGAACTCCTAACCTCAAGTAATCTGCCCGCCTCCGCCTCCCAAAGTGCTGGGATTACAGGTGTGAGCCACCGCACCTGGCCCTCTTTTCTTTTTTAACTCAACATGTTTTAAACATTGGTCTCCCTGCTATTTTAAGTTTTGAATCAAGACTTTCTCTGTATTTGGTGAGATTTCTACTGATCAATGGCCAGTTTCTGTACAATATGATAGCGTGTAAATATATATCAATTTCTCACTTGTTTAAAAACAGACCCCGCCCCCTCAACAATCCTCAACATCCAAAATACATTCCATTTGGATGTAGGAAAATTTACAGTAGAATTCACAGGGTTTATGTGAGTAAAGGCTCCCCCCTTTCATTAAGGCTGCCATATCTCTTAGCTCTGTAAGGTGAGCTCAGAAGACGTGGGAATTCTTGCTGTCCTACATATCTGAGTCAACATGGACTCCCGTGATGAATACAGCCAGCAATAGCAAACAATTTAGTGACTAAGGCTACTACCTTGTGGCTATACTTGATGCTATACACACACACACACACACACACACACACTCACATAAAGTGGGATAAAAATCTATAATCACTGCCATATATCTGACTCACTTGAGTGGCATTTTGAGGCAAGGTACTCTATGTCATTTCAAGTGGCAACCCTAAGGTTGAAGAACACCCACGTGACTTTCCCAATCAGTCTTCCCGGCCACAGCTCATCCTGGACAAGGAGAAGTAAGACGTTCAGCTGGTACCTTTGATCATTTGCTCCAGATGTTCCCAGAGAATGTCACCCACAAAGTCAGGTGCCAGCTCCAGAAAGCGTTCCTTGCCAAGGTTACACAGCATCTGGCCATTCATGCCGAACCTCTGCAGATTCACGTTCACCAGACTGAACTCATTGGTGGCCCAGAGAAGCCACTGGCATACCTGTTGCTCACTCCACAGCCAGGGGTCTACCAGGAGAGAAGAAAAAATGGAACACATGAGGTAAAAACAGTGGAAAGGTAGTGAGACCACTGTCATCCCTAATTTATGCACCAAGTACCGACATACACCAGAACCCACGAATGAGCAAGATACCATGATGACACGTCACCATTCTGACACGACCCAGGCACATTTCAAGACACCAGTAATGCGTCCTTCTACTACATATTTAATGAGTTCTGGATCAAGTCTTGGGTTGATTGGGGTGAAACAGAAACTGGCTCAGGTTAACGACATCCATGCTACTCTTTGCAGAATACCCCAAGCAAAAGCTTAATAAACAAGTCAAGATCAAACAACTGCACTGAAGTTGGTTCTTCTCACCCAGTGCAGGCTCAGGAAAGCAGTACTTACTCTTTGGAATGCCCAGGCGCCGCTGTTCCTTTTTGAAGCCACTGAAGGTAGCTTTTAAGGCTTGACTCATCACAGCCTTGCTGCACGGGGTTAACAAAGGCAATTCACAGTTGGCGGAGTCTGGAAGGAAACCCCCCATGGGGACATTAGGACTTCAAGTTGGTGATATCAGGTGGAGATTTAGGAGAGACATCTTAGTTTTTGGAAAAGAACAATTTTGATCTCAAACCTTGGCATGATTCCTTAAAACAGTGTAACTATTAACAAAAAACTTTTCTGACTATAATTGAGAAAATATATATCTCAGAACTATACTTATTAAAAAAATCTAAAATAAAACTCAGATTTGATTCTATTTTGCAAAGCGTCACAAAGCAGTTGTGCGTAGGGAAAACTGCTAAGTCTATTTTAAAATTGTAGGCAATGAAAACAGTTGCATGGTTTCTGGTCAAAAGGCTGAAGGGACTGTATCATTTGGAAGTCACTTCCATTAAACTAGGCGTAGAGCTGAGAAGTGAGTGTGATATGAATGTGCCGCACTTAGCACGGTAATGGAACCACACCTTCCATTTTTATTGAAAAACAATCTTCTCCAGACACCCTCAGCAATTTCAAGAATGATAAATGGCTGCCATGCAGGGTTATGCTTACGCCAGTGTATGCGTTTTAATTAATTTTCTGGCCTGTATTCTCAGCACCTACTTCACATGACACAGTCATCTCTGGCATGTTTCCAACTAATAGCTCTGTCACAGTAATTGTATGAACATTATCTGACGTGCTATTCCTTTAAGAAGAATAAACAATGACACGAAGAACTACAGAAAGAACTACCGATGGGTAAGGATTACAAAGAACAATTTGTTGCCCCAAAACTCAGGGCAGGGGAGATGATTTAACTAATGATGCAAACCCAAATTACAAGTTTGGGTGTGTTTTAATGTCTACTCTTCTGTCTGTTTTCCAGGGCAGAGCAGGGAGATGAGGACCTGCTTGCCAATGTTGAAAACATCCAGGAGGGGCAGCTCAGGGGTTCCCCTGCAGTTTCCTAACAGCGGCTCACTGGGGGGCGTCTGGCACTCAAGACATCAGAATCCACATCAGAATCACCAAGTTGATACAAATGAAAAACTGCCTTCTCCCAGGTCCAGAACTTCTGGCTATTCATATCAAAGATTCCAGATACCAACATTTCTCACTTAGGAACTGTCATCTCTTTATTAACTGAACTACTTAGGAAAATCATGCACAATTTGTCAAGTCTGAGGAACCAATTACCATGAGAAATGGAATCCAAGCCTGTTGGCACTTCTTGCAGTGTTTGCTCTTCATTTAGAGAAGGAAAAACAGCAAACAGGGACCCATCAAAGGTGTCAAAGGCTGGCTGGCGCTGCAAAAACAGATGGAAAAAAAATGGAAATACAATATTTAAACTGATTGAATTACCTGTTGTAAAAGTGGTCTGTGGGCAATCCTACCAATAGTCCCTGATTAAACTGGCAATTTTGAAGCAAACATGGAATCAACCAGTCAGTCCTTAAAACAGACTCGTAAAATGGTCAAAGTGACTGAAATGATTGTATTTTACTGTGGATTATTATTATTATTATTTTGAGACAGGTCTTACTCTGTCACACAGGCCAGAGTGCAGTGGTGCAATCTTGGCTCACTGCAACCTCCCCCTCCTGGGTTCAAGCGATTCTCCTGCCTCAGCCTCCCGAGTAGCTGGGACTACAGGCGCCCACCACCACGCCTGGATAATTTTTGCATTTTTAGTACAGACAGGGTTTCACCATGTTGGCCAGGCTGGTCTCAAACTCCTGACCTCGTGTAATCCACCCGCCTTGGCCTCCCAAAGTGCTGGGATTACAGGCGTGAGCCACGGTGCCCGGCCACTGTGGATTTATTTAAGTAACCTCACAGAGTCGGAGTGACTGGGAATTTGTTTTAGTGGCCTAATCCACTTAAGTTAATATATTAAATACACAAATCTGAAAATAACAGAATCTTACAATGGTGTCGAGAGGAGCCTCAGAGACCCCTTTACCAAACACCTGACCCTCCTGTTACATTGAGAAAAATTCAACTAGGCTGTGTGTGTAAGAAAAATGACCCTTGACAAGGCCGTCTGAGCACAATGCAGTTAAAAGGCAAATGACCCGATAAACACTGAAAAATCAAACAATGAAATACACTACTTTATCTTTGGAAGCATTTATTTTGAAATGTTTGCCATGAAACAATTTAACTGAAACTAGAGATGCTTTTCCACATCAATTCCAATGGTTTGGAAAATAGTAATACATGACAAAATTCCTTAACGTTTCATTTTATAACAAGTAAAGTGTCTTAAAAATGAACCCCCTCCCCGCCCCCAGGCCAGGCGGGGTGGCTTATGCCTGTAACCCCAGTGCTTTATGAGGTTGAGGCCAGAGGATCACTTGAGCCCAGGAGTTCAAGTCTGCGGTGAACTACGATCAAGCCACTGTACTCCCGCCTGGGCAACAGAGAAGGACCCTGTTGCTTAAAACCAAAAACGAAAAAACAAATAAAACAAAACAAAAAAAACCCAAATCACCTACTAAGGGGAAAGATTTCCAAAGGAAATAGGTTTAAAGTTAAACTAAACTATCTGCAGAAAAGAAGAGACACACAGAAAGATAAAACCTTACACTAACTCGATTTCTGAGCATCTTACATAACATTTATGAAAGAAATACCTTTTAATGTAAGACTCATTTGAAAGTAACCGATAATATCTGGATTCATCATCGCCTAAATTGTTGAGGAACACGTGAAGAAAGACTATATTTTTCCAACATAAGCTGGAAATCCCATGTTATGTGTAATACAATGACCCATCTGTTGAGTCATCAATAAGAAAATGTGTAACACATTTACAAATAAAATCGGTTACCCGCTTTCTTTTTAGAAATGCAGAACAATGAATGACGCATTACAAAAGAGGGCAGGCAGAGGCTGGAGCCCAGCCCAAAAAAATCCAAGTCAATGATGACCAACTGCCTGAGATCTACGAGGAAAACCGATCAATCAGGCAAGTGCAAATTACTCATCTGGATTTACAAACTACTTTAGAGCAGAGCTAATTTTGGTGAAACCTCCAATAAACTTTTAAAGTTCCCACAAGCATTGCCCAGGTGACTAAGAAATGCCTTTCCTAACCGTAAATTCTTTTTTTTTTTTTTTAAAGCCAGGAAGCCAAAAGACAATACAAATCTGTGCTTCCTATTTCAACACATCAATTTCAGCAACGACTGCTTCTTTTCAGAAACCGCATAAGCATCGTCAAATTATTTGAATTAATAGAAGGATTTTTCTAAGGGGTGTGGTTTCAACTTAATACCATGATTTCTTGTACCACTTCTGCCATGCTTAAAATGTCCGGCCAAATCAAACAAGCAGACTCACTAGGCTGAAGTTTGATGACCTTTAGAATACTGCAGAAAGGACTGTGCTGAGTTTTGCCTCTTTGGGTCATATCAGACAAATAACCTCAATAATGATATACAAAGGAAAATGTAATATGCCAGAGACGTACATCATCATTATGCAAGACGCTAAACTTTGAGGAGGCCAATTTTAAAATCATGCTTCTGAAACATGTTTACTACATAATACTGAAAACAATCAAATCTTGCTGTCATATTTGGAGAAGACAAGTGGGAGATTACCAGTTTGTGCTACTAAAGAATGTTCCCAAAAGGAATGATGATAGAAGCTACATAAAATGTTTATGCAGCAGAGAGGGCGCTTTCATTTTTCATCTGGTTTTTGGTTTAACATAAGTAGGCCTGCTTGTTCTCTGAGCCAGTAACAGGCTACCTACAATTCCACGGGCGCTGCCCTTTCTGATAGGAGCTGTAGCGGTTGGGTCTGTCTGCCTCTTCTCTCTCATTTCAGTTCTTAAACAGCTTCCCATCAACCAAGGAAACTCCTGGGTAGACAGAAAAGGCAGTAGAGACAGCCTCTCCAGCTGTTTTATTGGGAGTTATAGGATTTTCACCTGGAAGGAGCCTCAGAAAACAAGCTATAAAGGCCTTTGGTTTCATATCGTGGAGGAGAAGAACAACACACATCAAGATACCCATTCTGCAGACCAGAAAACTGAGGACCAGAGCAAGTAAGCAAATAGTCTATAGTCACATGGCCAATAAATTAAGAAGCTAGGGCTACAACCAGTTTTCTGGGACCCAGGCCTTTTTTTTCTTTCCTCCTAGAGATCGAGTTTTCCAATTAAAAAAAAAAATTAAGACTTGCCCACTCACCTTGAGTGTCCCTCTGTAACTGTTAGCCACAGGGGCTACCTGGTCCATATTCTTGATTCCGAAATCATTCATCTTAAAAAAGAAAAAAAAAAAGTCAAAGAGGCAAAAGATTAAGTACACTAAACTCATCATTGGTGGCATCAAGACTTGATCCTGGCTGAGTTCTACAGCTAACAGGTAATTCAAAAGTGAATGCAGGGAATTCTTGTTTAAATGGCTGTCCTCCCAAAGGTCTCAAGAGGAAAGCATTTCTCAGTATCACAATGGGATATGCTGTTTCAGTGATTGAATAATAATGCTGATTCCTCACTGAATTCCACTTAGATGTCACAGAAAAAGTCACTTGCTGGCTGGCTGGTCAGAGCCTCCTTGCTGGGTTAGCAGGGCAAGAGGGCCTGGGTCAGGCTTTTCATTCACATTTCCATGGCCAGCTTAGGTGAGTGCTTGGGTGGGTACAGTGGGGCAGTGGGCCGCCTCCTGTCTGCTCTGGACACAATCAGCTTAACCTGAGAGCTTCAGGACAGCTGCAGGGGTCATTTCTAGAGACAGGAAAGGAGTCCAGGAAGCCCCCTCTCTTCCCTTCCACTCTCCAGGCTGTAAGAAAGCACACACCCAGGGAAGGGATCAAAGGGAGAACTGAAGACCAAACCCCCTTACATGGTCCCAGATCTTCCTGCTTTGAATACAGAGCTCAAAATATTTCTGCTTTGTGTGTTGCTTGGCTGTGCACTTCTTCAAGAGGAACTGATTCCAAGCACGGATCTGCCTTACTTCCTCTGACTGAGTCTTAATCTTCTACTAGGCCTGGGCTAAGCAATATGGTACCCACTTGCCATGTGTGGCTACAGAGCTCTCAACCAGTGGCTAGTACAAATCCACACATACACACTAGCTCTCAAAGACTTAGTGGAAAAAAGAAAAAAGCTCAATAATTTTTATACATACATAATATTTCGAATATATTAGGTTAATTTGAAATACACTGAAATCAATTTCACCGGCTTTATTGTTTTTAACATGGCTATTACAATGAGGCTTGTAATTGGACAATGACATAATAGGCTGAAAATTTATTTGGAGCTCTAAAATGTAATTGTTCAGCCAGGTAAGTTACATATCAGTAAGAAAGATACTTAGATAATAGAGTAACTAAAACTCATTTTCAGAGACCTTGGGTTAGCACCGATGAATGGCCTTCACCTCTAGGGTGATTCCTTGCCCTCCCAGGTTCATGGCTATGGAACTGAAGGCTGGTGGCAAAGCTCTAAGCCTAGCTCCATGGCCTCCACTGGGTGCTCTTACCTGTTTACAACTGAGAACTTTTTAAGTAATTCAGACAACATTCAACTGATAGAACTTACTGGATGTGGCGAAATAACAAAGGCTCACCGAACTATTTAATTTGCATTTATTTTCTTGTTTTCTCTTTATGATCAACATTATGGCTAAACCAGACCTTCCAAGAACCCTGCTACCCAACACACACCCAACACACACACACACACACACACACACATACACACACACCCCTCTTGGCTAAAAGGCAGCAGGTGAGGCCAGAGGCATCAGAAAATTCTGTTAAAACACTCGGAGTGCAGGTAATGATCATGGTAGCCAACAAAGGCTGGTCAGCACTGGCAATAAATAATAGTCCTATGAGAGGACAGAGAGGGGCAGCAGTCTTGGGTCCAAAGTGGCCACATTCACTCAGAATCTCCACTTGGTGGATTATGCCACTTATATTCACTCAACAATCAATAGTCTCTCCTATTGATGGCTGCCATTGCCAGAATGCCTAGTTACTAAGAGCTAAGCCCCGTGCTGGGGGACCATCCACTCCTACCTAATTGAATCTTCCTGCATCCCTGAGAGGCAGACGTCATACAGTGAAGCAACGGAGGCCCAGCAACATGGACAATCTGCCCAGGATCCACATAGCTACCAGAGGGGCCACCGCAGGGCAAAGTGGAGATCAAACCCCAGTTGAGTATGGTCCTAAATCCTGAGTCCTCCACACAGTCCTCTGTGCCGGGAGAACATGAATGATGAGGAATGGACCCTTCCCACCCATCCTGATATTATCAGATCAGGCCCTTCTCACTACTCCTTCCAATGTGAAATGCTCCTTCCTCTAGAGCTTTATGTCATTTCTCTGCATGAAATAAGTCCTGGTAGCTGCTGATTAAAGAAATAAACAAGCCTCAAACAGAAGGCCAAAATCATAGACATCTTGGGTGTTGCCAGTTATCCATCCAGAGCCGGATGGGTCAGCTCTTTTTCTTCCTTAGGCTTGCAGACTGCTTGCTGACTTGATTCTGTTTTTCAGCTTCTCTGAGATGGACAGAGAATGAATGTGGAAGGCAGTGGAAAAGCTCTCCCCAGCTTTTGTGTACAAATACCAGGAGAAAAGGCAGCCTACCACTCCCACATAAAGAGCTGTAATTACTAGCTACAGAATAGAATTCTTTTGTTGTCCAGCTTTTAATGAGTTTTGTAAAAACCATGCAGAATTAAAGTGCTCTACTAAATGGTTTCAGGCAGACACACAACTAATCAAATTTAAGCTTGCTTATTTTACTCAACAGGGCTTGTTAGATGGCAGACAAGCCAAGTTTTTCCACATAAATCAATTTCAAGTTTGGTGTTGCTGATGGATCGCTGCTTTTAAACCAAAAAAAAAAAAAAAAAAGGATAAAGAGCAGAAATGTAACAGCTGAGAATGGTTACATTTAAAAACAAGGAGAATTTGCCTGACAACAGTACCCTTATTGGAACAAGTAATCACTTATGTAAGATTATTTAGATAAATTTGAAAACAAACAAAAAAAAGAAACAACACAACCTTGTAACACACATTTGAAGGTAGTTTGCTTTTTTCGCTTTGAAAGCGATCAGTTTAGAGAGATGAATGACTAATCCCAGAAATGAGTATCTGAGCATTTCCCTGCGGATGGTCGGTGCTAACATTTACTGTGCTGCGCTACTACTCAGAATTTTAATAAAGCTTAACGTGGAGATTTATCTCTCTGATTGGTGGTGGTGTGGGCAGGCAGATAACGCACAGGCGCTTCCATTGTATGGAACAAATATAATCTCTTACTGGCGAATTAAAATAAATTACTCCTGTCTCCAAAGGGGACTGCTCATTTCTTTACTTTCTAAATAACTAGCGCGTCAACTACTGTTTTAGGCTACCCTGAAATTGTGTACAGGCTAACATAAAAGGTCTCCTGCCGTAAAAAATAAAATAGGATAACACACACGCAACCCAAACACACACAAGCAAACACTCAGTTACCTCTTCATTCAAATGCTGTAGGAACGAGAAAATAAAGGCAGCCCAGCGCAACCAGATCTCATTTCCGACAGGTTCCCCACGCTCTCCTCGCACGACCGAGGGGTCCCCAGCCCGGGCCCTGGACGCGGCGAGCAGGTGACCATGGCACCCCGCGCCCCGCAGGTTCCCGCGGTGCCGCAGCCTTCAGGTGTCTTGGGCGCCCCAGATCCTCCGGGCCCGGCGCCGCTCCAGGAAGTCACCCTCAAAGCCGGGGCGCCAGGCCACCTCGGACACGCTCTCCTGTGCCCCCACTCCCGTTCGCGAAATCATGTTCGCCGGGACATCCACTGGGCAGGACCCCCTACCAGGCCTGCGTTTCCTTTTAAAAACAAAAGCGAGCGAAACAAGCCAGCGCGCCCTGGCCGCGCCCGCCGCTAGGCGACCCCGAAGACAGCGGCCCTAGCACGCAGGAACCCCCCGGCCGACCCCGCCAGCCCCGGAGGCCACTCCATAACCGGAAAACGAGCCGGCGCGGAACTCAGACGCGCGCCCCTAGAGTCCTCGCAGCAGCCGCCACCCCCACCTGCACCCCCGGCAGCGCCCCGAGATCTGCGTGTCAGTGCCCCCCGCGACCCCCGCCCAGGCCCCGGGTGACCCTCCATGGGACTGGAGCCGCGCGCCGGGCGCTCTCTGCGGGCCCAGCTCTTACCCTGCCGCTGCGGGCAGGGCCGGCGCTTGGTCGGGACGGTGGCTGCTCGGCGCCCGCGGCTGCTCGGTGCGCGCCGGGCGAGGGCGAGGGCGCCGGCCAGAGACGATCAGGGAGGCCGGACGCTGGCCGGGCGGCTCCGGGAGCTCTGAGCTGGAGCGACACCGCACTCGTCAGTCTCTGGAGGAAGTAACCGGGCCGTCCCCCACGCGGCGCGCTCTTCAGGAGCGGGAGGAGGAGGGAGGAGGGAGGAGGAAGGAGGGACGGCCGAGTGGAGGGGAGGGGAGGAAACGAGGGAGGAGAGAAGAGAGAGGGGAGGGAAGGGGAGGAGAGAGAAGAGGAGGGGAAGGGAGGTAGGCAGGATGGGGAGAAGCGGGAGGAGAGGGAAGGGGGCAGCAGGAGGGTTGGGGGAGCGGAGGGAGAGGAGAGGGAACGCACGAGGGGAGAGAAGAGGAGGGCGGAGGCGGCGAGGGAGCGCGGGGCGGGGCTGACACCTTCCGGCCCAACCTTCCCTCCGCCTCCTGCTGTCACTCGGCTGGGTCCCTCGCCGGCTGGCCCTGAGGCCCCGGGAGCAGGGCCTCGGCCCCACGTGCGCGCGAGTGTGCGCCCTGGGAGCCGGGCGGAGACTTTCCGTGGAGCGCTCGGCGTCCTCTCTGGGGCCAAGGCCCTAACGCCAAACCTGCCTTTGGAATTCCGCAGCGACGGAGCAGTGGTGCTGGTGGCACCGAAGGGCAGCCGGGCTTGGGTAATAAGGCCCTGAAATTGAGCCGACCCCATTCTTGAACCTCTGAATGGGCTTAGGACTAATGATCATTCTATCACAAAAAGGCTCCAAATGAGGCGCTTCCTGTAGAAACCGGGCCCTGGCTGTGTCCCCGAGTCGTGGTGCTGATCGCGCTGCTCCCGGGAAGCCCCGATCCCGCAGGCTCCGCGGGAGTGGCGCCCTCTGGAGCTGAGCGGTGCCCAGATAGCGACCCGCCTTGGCCGCGCTTCAATCTGGGCTGGGCACTCCACGCACATCATCGTCACTCTCGGAGGACTTGCGGCTCCCACTTTACACAGGTGGGAACTGAACCTTAGGATGAATAACCTGCCACGTCAGATTGATGAGAAATTCAAGGTGGAAACCTGAGTTTATCTGACTCCGAAACCCTGGTCAAAACCACCCCCTACACTGTGGTTTCCGTTTTTATCAGAAGGTGCTTGAGTCCATGGCTGTTTGGACTCAGGTCACATGCTCAATATTTTGCAGGAAAGTTTAGATTCCTGAAGTTGTGGATGAAATAGGAAACCCCAGCTTAGGCGAGGCCACGGGGCTGAAAGCTGCTCACATCTCAAGAACTGCGGCACCACCGGGAAGGGAGAGGAATGGCCCAGCTTCTCTGTGACTCAGGGTTCTAGGTTTCCATGGTGACTCTAGGTCTAGAGTTATCCGGATAATTGAGATATCGGTGCACCTTAATGTTTCTGGGTCCCCGAAGGTCTCCGGGTATCACCGTGGCATGAGTCACAGTCAGAATCTATACGGCTGAAACAATCACGTATAGGGGAAGTGATTATTTCTTGGAGACTGAATTGATTCTGATGGCTTCTCAGTGTATATTCAGGCCCAGATTAGAGAACACAGATAGGTCAAGAAAGAGTTCCATAAATGGAATACAGATCCATAGTAAGTTACCATGGAGACATGAGTATGTTACTATTTTTTTAAAAAACCGTAGCAGAAAATACTGACTCATCTGGGCTGCAGTTTCAGCTAATATAGGGTCTTTCTCCCTCAGGCTACTTGCACAGCCCTGAGAAGCTGGGTATAGACAGCTGCTCCCCAAAGCTCAGCTACTTCCCGAAGCTCACTTGCCCCAAGCAGACTGCCTTGTCCCACCATGCCTGCCCTCGTGTTCATGGGTGCTGAGTGCCAGGTGCTCCAGGGCTCCCTGAGTCGCTGATGGGCTCCCTGAGTGGAGCCATATTTCCTCTTTGCAGGGCTGGCACAGGCTGGGGGCTAGGAGGTGGTGCTTTGCTCATGCTGGGCTGTTTCCAACATATATGAGCAGAAAGATATCAAAAGAGGAGCACAGGAGTTTGAAGACCACCGGTTCCCGACAGTGGAACCTTCCTCTGCTCACTAACCTTGGGCCTCCTCTACAGAATAAGGGATGATTATGGAACCTACGTCCTTAAGACTATGGCAAATGACATAGAACCAAATGTGCAGAATATGTTAGAGTGTTGAGTACATGGTAGAGAAGGACTCAAAATGATCTAGCTATTAAGAATCTTTTTCCAAGCTCTCCTCAGGGAGGATTTTATAGAAAACATTTTGAAAAAACTATCATATACACGAAAAAAAAAAAAAAAGTCCTGCCCCTCGCGGGTTTAAATGTGTGAAAGCCTTGGGAAAGGGATCCCGGCCGGAAGACCAAATGGCAGAGCTAAGACGGCAGGGAGGCTGTGGGAAGAGGAAGCTGGGCCTGTGTGCTGGGGTCATCGTAAGCCTAAGCTCCTGCCTCCCACCCAGGTCCCTGGTCCTCCCTATTTCCCCTTCCAAAGAGTCTGAGGCTGCCCCAAGCAGCCCCCTTGCCCTGGGTCCTGCCCTGTAGCTGATCCACCTCTGCACGAGGGCAGTCACATGTTCATAATAAAATGGCTTATCCTAGTTCTGGGGCAATATCAGGGTTCCTTACATTTTTGTCCTTAATACTAGTTGGCTTGCCAGTTACTCAGCAGAATTAAAAAGCAGTCTGGCTGAAGCCAGTGATTATTCATTGACTGTTATCGTGCGATTCACAGGGAACAATGAGCTTTACAGTAAATTAAACCTAATAAATAAAAGTATAGCCCTTGTGCTTGGAGATCAAAAGTCGAGGGTGTTGGAAGGAAATTAAAAGTCAGAAGGTGCACAGGGTGGAGTGATCAGATGCGCTATGGCAGACTGAGTTATGAGCAATGTTAACACTTTCCCCTTAAGAAAGAGGGACATTCACAGAAGAGAGGAGGAAAAGGGATATTACAGTAGAATATATGTGTTACGAACATGAAATATCTAGAGAGTAAAATGCAGAAAAAGAATTCTTTAGAATCCAGACATAATTATGAGAAATGATTAGCTAGCTTACGAAGTCATCCTTTGAAAAAAAACACACACAAAAACGTCTCCTTAGAAACATGTCTGTATTTACCTTAAAATCCAAATCAGTAGTCAACAGGCAGTTTGTGGTGGTTTCCAGTTGCAAGTTAAACAGACGTCATTTGGTCCGAAGTGCATCATTCATTCACTTAGCAAACACAGAGTCAGATGCTGAGAAGACAAATATGATTAAGGCTTAGTTAGTTCCCGCCCTCAAGAAGTAAAAGTGAAGTGCACAGTTCAGTTAAAATCACATGCACAGTGAGACTTTGGTAAGGAGTGGAGGAAGAAAAGAATGAACCTAGAGATAGAAATCATTTCCTCATGTGTAAGCTGCCGCCTGCATCTGGCCTGCTGGGGTGTCTGGCAGTGGTGGCTATTTCACTGATATATGTTGGGGTCAAGGACTTGATAAGCTTAACCCACACTTCCGCCCACCTCCGAATCCAACCAACCTTGCCCATTTGCAGGCTGGCCCAGCTACCAAGAATCCTAGGCAGATGTGGGGCCGTGGAGCTGCCTCCTGCTCCATCAGGGTGGACCCAGATTATGCAAGAGTTGGCCAGTGTCTAGTCTTTTCTGTGAGATTCCTTGGAATGGCAGATAGGGTATTCTGCTGGTGGTCAAAAACGTTGCTAATGCTCCTTTCTAATTCCTTCTGCTCCTTGTCAGCCTCCTTTGTCCCTTGCACTCCCTGTGGGCATGAAGACATGGTTACCCAGCTAGGGCTACCGTCTTCACCTCTGAAGGGCAGCCTGTGGGCCCAGACTGCCTGGGGTCAAATCCCGCCCAGCCATTCCCTAGCAGGCCACCTGTGGGCCCCTCGGGGCCTCCCTCTGTTAATGTCTCCCAAGCACTTAGAACAGTGTCTGGCGTGTCATTAAGTGTGTGATAAATAAGTAGCAGGTCCCCTGGCCCTGGAAGTCTTGGTCTCCTGCGGGCATCGCTGATCACTGCTGCCCTGCACTGGCACTTTTGGTTGACAACAAGGTATAAAATCAATCCCAGTGCTGTCAATGGGAACCATGGTGTCTTTGACTATGTTTTTCTTGCCTTTGGTGGTCAGAAACGAGAAAATGAAACATTGGATTTTAAAACTGGAAAAAACTTCAGAGAGCTGATGGCTCAGACCAACTCTGGTTTGTAAGATGCAGAAACTGAGACCCAGGGAGGATCAATTCCTTGCCCAGGGTCAAATGCCTATTTCCTGGCAAAGCTGGGGCCACACTCCAGGCCTCCTGCCCCCTCGTCCAGCACACTGCCACCCTGACACAGTCATTTTCCCTTATAAGGCAGTACTCTGGGAGGGTATAAACCGCTTGAAAATCCACCATGATATCAAACTGCACAGTGACGTGCTTTAGGCAAGTCTGAACAACCAAAATAGTAATAGCGACCCGTTGTATTCTGTAAAACTGATAATCCCTAAATAAATGTGTCTGAACTGAGTCAGACGTGTACAGATATATGATTTTATAGTTGTGTGTTTTTGTCTGAATCACAAAATGATTCCAACAGTATGCATGGAACTGAATAATCCTCAGTGCATCGGCTTATGTATTTTGCTAACTAGAAAACTGAACCACTAGTCTTCACACAAACCAAGAGTTAGTCATTCCTGTGCCAGTCAGTCTAGCAAATGATTAAGTTAGCTTAACTCACATTTTGGTGACAAAATAAAACTTGGATTAAAGTGTTAAGGCTGAATAATGTCACCGACTTAAGCAGGTGTATAAAGAAATCATTCAGAAGTTGGAATATTTTTAAGTTATAACACGTCTTTGGTGGAATGGCTTTCCAATTGCTGCAAGACTTTCCACCCACGTCTTCCCATTTATGACTTTAAGTGTGTCTCTTTCAGACCGACTGAGCTATTAGTACCTCTTATCTATGGCTGTGGTGTAGAGTCATCCCGCCTCACCTCGTGTTCTCTGCTCCAGGCAAATGCTGCCTTTACCTCTAAATTCCAGTGGTCACCACCTGGGACATGCCCCTTTGGTGCAGGTTGAAGAACCAGAGGAGGGCCAGCACCTCCACTCTTAGCTCTTAAGGCATAGGACACCAGCCCTCATCTTCTGGAAGATTCTCACTGAACGCCATGGGAGTTGCCCCAGTTCTAGCAAGGAAATACCTCTTAAAAGCGTAAAGAAACACTTGGCTTAATTCTTTGTGGTCACCATCTTGAAATTTGTAATAAGTTTTGCATAAGAGGCCCATTTTCATTTTGCACTGGGCCTTGCAAATTCTGCAGATGGTCCTGGACGGGACCTTGCCCTGTGTGCAGGGAGCCAGCACTACAGATACACAGGGTACATCCTAGTGGTGGGTTGTCAGCCCCTGCTCCCAAGGTAGGGTTGGGTTTCCATGTCGTACTCACTCTGTCTCAGTGCCTTGAAACCATTCTTTCTTGTTTGACAATGGAATTGAAAGGGCATGTTTACAGATTCTCCTGGCTGAGTGTAAATACTTCCATTTGTGATTAAACTTTTTTAGAAGTCACAAAAGAGCATTGTATTTGTGTGTTTGTGCATCTATGTATGCATATGTGTGTGACAGACACCTATAGAAACACCTTTACTGACGTATAACTCACCATAAAATTGATCCATGTCTTAGTCCACTTCTCCTGCTATGACAAAATACATTTGACTGGGGAATTTGTAAACAACAGAAATTTGTTTCTCATAGTTTGGGAGGCTGGGAGGTCCAAGATCAAGGCACCAGCAGATTCAGTGTCTGGTGAGGCTCTCTGTTTCTTGCTGTGTCCTCACATGGCAGAAGGGATAAAGGGCTCCTCAGGCCTGATTCATAAGGGCACGAATCCCATTCATGAGGACCCCACCATCATGATCTGTTATCTCCTAAAGGTCCCACCTCAACACCATCACCTCGGGGGTTAGGTTTCAACATAGGAATTTTGAGGGGACACATGCATTCAGACCATAGCAACCCATTTAGACTATACAATCCAACGGTTTTTAGAATATTCATAGGTAAGGACCAGGCACGGTGGCTTACACCTTTGGGCTCACACCTTTGGGCTCACACCATTGATCCTAGCACTTTGGGAGGCTGAGGCGGGCAGATCACTTGAGGTCAGGAGTTTGAGACCAGCCTGGCCAACATGATGAAATCCCATCTCTACTAAAAATACAAAAATTAGCTGGGTGTGGTAGTGCATGCCTGTAATCCCAGCAACTCAAGAGGCTGAGGCAGGAGAATCGCTTTAGCCCGGGAGGCAGGGGTTGCAGTGAGCCAAGATCGTGCCACTGCCCTCCAGCCTAGGTGACAGAGTGAGTTAGACTATGTCTCAAAAAAAAAAAAGAATATTTAAAAAAAAGAATATTCACAGGTAAGTACAACCATTATCGAAGTCCCTTTTAGAACATTTTCATCACCTCAAAAACAAAGCTGTTTTGATTAGCTATCACCCCATTATCCCTCCGACCCCCAACCCTAAGCAACCATGGATCTACCTTCCGATACTATGGATTTGCCTTATGATTTATGAAGTGTTCTGGACACTTCATAAGAATGGAATCATACAATATGTGGTCATTCGTGACTGCCTTCTTTCACTGAACATAATATTCTCAAGGTTCTTTTGTGCTGTAGCATGTACTGCATGGATGAACTTCATTCCTTTTTATGGCCAATGTATTTTTTTTTTTTATTAAACCCAATTACCCCATTTCTGTTTGTAGGTACATGTGAAACTGCTGGTCAGTAGCAATGGAGGACTCTTAGGGTGTCTTTGACACCAGAATTGGGTAACAACACTTGATGTTCTTTTTCTGGACCAACCTGGGCTGGGGCGGAAGATGTGCAGTAGGGGCTTGGGTGGCACTGGGCAGCCCATCACAGGCCTCTCTCAGGTGTCCTTGTCCCCTCAGCTCCCACCCTCCCAGCAGAGGGTGGTGAAGGAAGACATAGCCGGGCTCACCCAGAGGGCACGAGATGCAGGCAGCCCCTTCTCCACTCGGAGCGTGAATGTTTCTTGGTAGCAAGAATGTTTGACTAGATACAGCAAGTCGTGCCTTCTCGTTTCTTTCTTTTCATCCTACTATAGAAAAGTGAGTGGACTATTTCACTGCAAGAATGACCTGCTCTAGTTTAGGGGAAAAGGCAAGCATTTGACATTTAAAAAATGACTTTCAGTATGACTTGTGCATTCAAATACTTATTTCAAAAGGCTTCTAAACGTGATACCCATTCTCAACACAGCAGCCAGAGGGATCCTGTTTAAACGGCAGTCAGCCTGTCCGTCCTCAGGTAAAACCCTCCAACAGCTCTTGTGTGACTCAGAAGAAAGGCCTGAGCCCAAGCCCGCCACGCCCCTGGAGGCCCTGAGACTCAGCCTCCAGCAGTTACATGACTGAGTCTCTGCCTCCATGTTCAGTTCCTGCTCTGGGCACCAGGCCAACTCCCTCCTGAGCTGTTCCCTCTCCCTAGAAGGGTCTTCCCAGGAGTCCGTGTGACTCCTACTGTCACCGCTGCCAGATCTTTACTAAATAGTCACCTTTGGTGAAGCCTTCCCTGGCCACCCCACCTAAAATTTCAACAACTCCTTTCTGACACCGAATGAGTTTTTTTTTCTTAAGCCCTTATCGTTACGTTCTTTATCTTTTGCTTTTTTACCTTAATAATTCTCTGTCTCCACAGCACAAATTCCACCCCATTAGGGAAGGAATTATATCTGCTTTGTTCACTACTTTCCTGCAATGCTTAGAATAAATCCTGATGCACAGCACTCAATAAATATCTGTTGGAAAAATTACACGATTTAATTCTGCGGAAGGAATTTCGCCCTTTCAAAGGAAAATGTAAAATGCTGGTTAGTAAGTACTAATGCTTACAGTAGAAGTTTTATCAGTAAAAAGATGCAAATGCATTATGTAATGTCTTTTACAATACTTTGCTGAAATGGTAAACACTATAATAATGATAGAACCTCACATTTATATAGTACTTTATACCTTTCCTAGGTGGACACGTCTGTGACACTACTGATTTTGAGTAGCATTACTATCTTCAGTTTAAATAATTTGCCCAAAGTCGCAGAGCACACTTCTAGAGGATTCAGGACCAAAATCCTCCTAATTTTTTCCTAGAGTGATTCCCCACTAAAACAAACAGAATGGCACTTTACCTGTGGAGCCCTTCACAGTTTTCAAACTGTTTCCCAGATAGCAGCTCCATTGCCCCTTGCCCTGCAATAAGCAGAGTGAGCACTGCTACCCTGGGTTAAGCAGTGAGGACACAGTGACTCAGCCTGGCCCGGGGGCCTGGCTGGCTAAGCTGAGAGCCAGGCCCAGACCTCTGCTCTTTGTCCCAACCTTATGGCAGACAATGAGCAATGACATATCACTCAGACATACCACTTCCTTGTTCTTGGCAGAAGAGGACACAGCTTGACCCTCAGCATTTGAGGCTGTAGAGCCCATTGGTTTCATCATTTAAGAGCAGCCCTGGCTGGGTGCGGTGGCTCACGCACTTTGGGAGGCAAAGGTGGGTAGATCATCTGAGCTCAGGAGTTTGAGACCAGACTGGCCAACATGGTGAAACCCCGTCTCTACTAAACATACAAAAATTAGACGGGTATGGTGACAGGTGCCTTTAATCCCTGCTACTCAGGAGGCTGAGGCAGGAGAATCACTTGAACCCAGATGCAGAGGTTGCAGCGAGCCTAGATCGTGCCATTGCACTCCAGCCTGGGTGACAAGCACGAAATTCCATCTAAAAAAAGGACTTTGCAGTTGTAGTAAGTGATGGATCTCAAGATGAGATTATCCTGGGTTATCCTGCTGGGTCCTGAGTCAAATGACAAGTGTCCTTATAAGAGACACACAGAGAAGAGATACAAGGAGATGAGAAGATGGCCGTGTGAGGACGGAGGCAGTGAGGGGAGAGAAGCGGGCATAAGCCGGGGGGTGTCAGGGACCCCGGAGCTGGAAGAGGCCACGAAGGATCCTCTACTGGGGCTTCAGAGGGAGAGTGGCCCTTCCAACACCTTGATTTCAGACTTCTGGCCTCCAGAACTGTGAAAGGGTCCATTTCTCTGTTTTAAGCTAACTTGTTACCAGAGCCCCAGGAAACAAGTCCAATCTCATCACGAGAAGTGACCTGGAAGGGAGAGAGAGGGAGGAGGCCGGCGGCAGGGAGGGAGCCAAGAGAGGAATGCATTCAAGGAAAGTGGGGCTCTCAGCAGGAGTAAGAAAGTGTGGAGTATATTGAAAAACTCGGGTAAAGGGCAAATGGCTGAATTAGGCTGTAGCTTGGATCTTAGACCTTCTCTCTGTAAAAATGAGAAAAAGGGATTTATCAAATGGCTTCAGCCAGTGGGGGCCGCACGCGTTACATGGTGGTGAGTTCATGTTGAAAGGTTGAGCCCCGTCCCTGGGGATGAGTCACCCTCTGCCATTCATGCAGGAAAGAAATCATTAAAAAAAAGAATAAGAATTTACAAATTCAGGTCAATTACATGTTCATAATGGTGTGAGGTGTCAGAGGCTGGAAAAATGAGAAGAAGCCAGCAGGCTGCCTTTGGCCCTCCTGCTCTAGTTCATTGCTAGTTTCTCATAGCTGGGTCCTCCAGGGCCTCTCAGATTTGAGTCTGATCCAGTCCCTCTTCCTGCATCAGCAAGAAAAAGCTGGCCTTAGCCCGAACAACATGGTGAGACCCCATTTTTACAAAAAATGCAAGAATTAGCCAGGCATGGTGGTGCGTGCCTGTAGTCCTAGCTACTCAGGAAGCTGAGGTGGGAGAATTGCTTGAGCCTGGGAGGTGGAGGTTGCATTGAGCCACTGCACTGCAGCCTGGGCAACAGAGCAAGACCTTGTCTCCAAAAAAAAAAAAAAAAAAAAAAAGCTGGCCTTGCAGACATCAACCTGGAGACCTAAAATACCCCCAGAGCCAGCCCCATGGTCTAGTAGAGACTGGTCTGTCCCCTGGCCGGCCCAGGGTCACTTCCGGGTCCGGAGAGCCCCCTGCTTCCTGTTCACTGTGCATGAGAACCTTCTCTTTCCCTCAGCCCTCATCCTCTGGGTGGGCTTCTGCCTTGGTCTCACTCCTTCAACTCAGGCATCTCCCCTGCCTGGTGTCCTTATTCCCCTCCTCGACCAGAGATGTGCCATTGACCTGCCATCCAAGACAGTCCCACACAGTGACCACCCGCCTATTTCCTGTGTGTGAACCACACAGGGGCTTCCTTCCAAGCTCATCTGTTGGTGTGTGGGAGTGTTAATGTGGACCTCAGGTGCTGCCCTGCACATGATCAATCCCAGACCATGGGGAAGAGGCGTGGTGGCAGCAGGGCAGCCAGCCATGTGACCACAGGAGCATTAAAGGCAAGTGACGAGGCTGGCTCAGGCCAGCGAGTTATTAGCAGAGATGGAGAAAAGGGCTTCTCGTCCCAGGAACCGGTACCACCACCCACCGGTTGCTCAGCAAAAGACCTGGAGTTGTCCTGGATTTCTCTTCTTCCTTTACTCCCATAAACCATCAGCAAATGCCGTGGACTCTGCTTCCAGAACACATCTCAAGCACAGTCTCTTCTCTAGTGCCCTGGTCATCACCACCATGCAAGAGCCTCCCAGCTCTCCTCTGTTCTACCTCCTAGAATCCACCCTGCACACAGCAGCCAATGTAGCCTTTGGAGAAGTTAATCCTATGACGCCACCTCTCTCCTCAAAATTCCCAGAAGGTTTCTCACCCTGCAGAGAAGAGAATCCAAAACTCCTCACCATGCCCTCTGTGACCTGGTCCCCACCCCCTTCCTCATTCTCCTCTTTGCTGGTCACACTCCAGTGTACCTGCCTGGGTCTGTTCCTGGAAAACTCCCGTTGCTGCCCCCTGGGGACTTTGCACTCGCTGCTCCCTGGCGTTCTTTCCACCTGGCTCTCAAGCCTGGCTCCTTTTCATCATCTGAGGCAAATGGGCAAATGTCACTGGCTCAGGGCAGTTCTTGCCGATCCCAAGCGGAAAGAGCCTTACTTTCATGTCACTATCACATCCTGCCAATAATGCGCTCCCAGCATTATCTCTCCAAAAATGATTTTGTTGCTTTATCTGTTTTTTTTTTGTCTTTTGTTTTTGTTTTTGTTTTTTTGAGACAGTCTTTCTCTCCTCCCCAGGCTGGAGGGCAGTAGTATAATCTCGGCTCACTGCAACCTCCGCCTCCCAGGTTCAAGCGATTCTCCTGCCTCAGCCTCCCAAGTAGCTAGGATTACAGGCACGTGCCACCATGCCCAGCTAATTTTTGTATTTTTAGTAGAGACGGGGTTTTGCGTTGTTGGCCAGGCTGGTCTTGAACTCCTGACCTCAGGTGATCCACCTGCCTCGGTCTGTTGTATTTCATTGTCTTTCTCCACATACGAAAGCGCAGGGTCAGTGAGAACCGGACCCTTTTCACCTGTGGTGTCCCAGCACCTTCCTGAGTGCCTGGCGTCCTCTGGGTGTTGATGAATATGCTTTCACTGAATGAACAGATGGGGGAGGAATGAATGAGTCTGTGTAGGTTCAGTGTATCATTCCAGCCTCTCCAGATCTTTATGACCCTCGAGTTTGTTATCCAAGGTCTCTTCTATTAGTAACTGCTTTGGCCCACATATAACCCTGATAAGCAAGTCATTGAACAAACAGTGACTGAGGCCAAGCCCGTAGTATGTCACTAGGACTCTCCCTCTGCATTGACATCACCTAGGGGTGGTGAGCTCTTTTTGTCTAATTACCCATGAAGATGTAAGACATTGCGCCAAATGTCCTACTGAAGAATAAATAACAGCTGCCACAGCCTCCTAGCTGCTTCGCCAGCAAACCTGATACAACTTGTTTCCACGAGGTCCGAATGACCCTGAGGCCTTCATTTGGTGGAGTGTTTCCCCTCACTCCTGCTGGAGCATCTGTGTCCGCCACTGCCAGCTGCAGGCTCAGGCCCATGTGGCCTCCGTCCCTGGGCTGGTGTATGCTGTGGATACCTCACAGGTGTTCTTCATGCCACAAGTCAACACAGAGCCTGTAGGCAGAGGAAGTGTGGCTCCGAGAGTGGTTGGTTCAGCGATACAGTCACTTGAAATACAACAAAAGCAAGTTGTTCTGCCCCTCGCGTAGAATAACACATGAAAATAACATCAGTAACAGGAGGCCACACATACAGGGGCTTAAATGAAATAGAGGTTTGGCCAGGTGCAGTGGCTCACTCCTGTGTAATCCCAGCACTTTGGGAAGCCAGGGCAGATGCATTACTTGAGGTCAGGAGTTTGAGACCAGCCTGGGCAACCTGGCAAAACCCTGGCTCTACTAAAATTACAAAATTTAGCAAGATGTGGTGGCGGGCACCTATAATCCCAGCAACTTGGGAGGCTGAGGCATGAGAATTACTTGAAGCTGGGAGGTGGATGTTGCAGTGAGCCAAGATTGTGCCACTGCACTCCAGCCTGGGTTACAGAGCAAGACCCTGTCTCGAAGGAAAAAAAAAAAAAAGAAATAGAGGTTTATTATTCACTCCCATAACACTTGGGGAAGGTGACCCTAGGCTGGTTTGTTGGCTTGGTGATGTTGTGGTAGTTTTGGGACTTAGGATCCTCCCACCTTGCTGTGTCCTCATTCTCCTGGTTGAAGATGTCTCCCTACCACATTTGCATTCCTCCCTAGGAAAGGAGGAAAGAGAAGCAGAGGCTCATCTTCCTAAGGGCACTAATCAGAATTGCACATGGCAGGCCCATTGGTCTGGATTTTGTCACGTGATATCATCTAGTTGCAAAGGAGGCTGGGAAATTTAGTCTTTGGCTGGATGAGCCTGTGCTGAGAATGGGTGCCTGTAGGACGAGCAGAAGGCCCATCCCTGTCCATCTCTGAGGTACACCCCTTCCTCCTGGGTGACCTTCCAGTCAACCAGGGACAATCCTCAGGCTCCCCTATCTCTTGTCCACTTTTAATGAATCTGGAATGGGGGTCTGCGGATTCTAGCTTTGGGATTTCTTTGATAATCAGTCTCTTCTTTCTCTTCTCCCTGACTGCAAAGGAGCAGGCACCATAGCATCTGGCAGTTACTTTTCAGATACCCTCCCTCTGTTATCTTTCTTTCAGTCAATACTATGCCAGGCAGCCAGATGTGCTCCCCAACACTGGCACACCTCGTTTTACTGTGCTTTACCTTATCGTACTTTACAGATACCATGTTCTTTATAAACTGAAGGTTGTGGTATACAGCAGGTCCACTGGTGCCATGTCTCCAAAGGCATGGGCTCACTTCCTATCTCTGTGTCCCATTTTGGTAATTTTCACAATGTTTTTTTATTATTTATTTGCACAAATTTATTATTATTCTATCTGTTGTGGTGGTCTGTGGTCAGTGGTCCTTGATATTATTATTATAATCGTTTTGGGGAACCACAAACTGTACCCACAGAAAACAGTGAACGGAATCAATAAATGTGTATGTATTCTGACTGCTCCACTGGCTGGGCATTTCCCTGTCTCTCTCCCTCTCCTTGGACCTCCTTATTCCTTGAGGCACAACAATATTGAAATTAGGCCAGTTAATAAGCCTGCAGTGGCCTCCAAGTGTTCAAGTGAAAGAAAGGGTCACACGTATCCCACTTTAAATAAAAAACTAGAAATGATTAAGCTGAGTGAGGAAGACATGTCAAAACCAAGATAGGCCAAAAGCCAGGCCTCTTGTGCCAAATAGCCAAGTTGTGGATGCAAAGAGAAAGTTCTTCAAGTAAATTAAAAATGCTACTCCAGCAAACACATGAATGGTAAGAAAGTGAAACAGCCTTATGCTGACGCGGAGAGTTTGAGTGGTCTGGATAGAACACCAAACCAGCCACAACATTCCCTTAAGCCAGAGCCTAATCCAGAGCAAGGCCCTAACTCTCTTCAATTCTGTGATGCCTGAGAGGTATGAGGAAGCTGCATAAGCAGAGATTGGTTCATGACATTTAAAAAAAGAAGTCATCTCGAGAATGTAAAAGTGCAGGGTGAAGCAGCAAATGCTGATGGAGAAGCTGCGGCAAGTTATCCTGAAGATCTAGCTAAGATCATTGATGAAGGTGACTACACTAAATCACAGATTTTCAGTGTAGATGAAACAACCTTGTATTAGAAGATACTACCTAAGATTTTCATAGCTAGAGAGGAGAAGTCAATGTCTGACTTCAAAAATTTAAAGGACAGGCTTACTCTCTTGGTGGGGCTGGTGCTGCTGGTAACTAAGTTGAAGCCAATGCTCACTGACCATTTTGAAAATCTTAAGGGCCCTTAAGAATTATGCTAAATCCATTCTGCCTGTTCTCTAGAAATGGAACAAGGCCTCGCTGACAGCACATCTGTTTATAGTATGGTTTACTAAATATCTTAAACCCCCTGTTGAAAACTACTGCTTAGAAAAAACTATTCCTTTCAAAATATTATCGTTCAATATTAACAATGCACTTAGTTACCCAAGAGCTCTGATGGAGATTTACAAGGAGATAAATGCTGTTTTCATGTATGCTAATATAACATCCATTCTGCAGTCCACAGATAGAGGGGATAATTTTGACTTTCAAGTCTTATTTAGGAAATACATTTTATAAGGCTATAGCTGCCATAGAGAGTAGTTCCTCTGATGGAACTGGGCAAAGTAAATTGAAAACTTTCTGGAAAAGATTCTCATTCTAGATGTCGTTAAGAACATTCATGATTCATGGTAGGAAGTGAAAATATCAACAATAACAGGAGTTTGGAAGAAGTGGATTCTAACCCTCAGGGATGACTTTGAGAGGCTCAAGACTTCAGTGGAGGAAATAACTGCAGATGTGGTAAAAAAAAAAAAGCAACAAAACTAGAATTAGAAGTGGAGCCGGAAGACGTGACTGAATTGCTGCAATCTCATGATAAAACTTTCACACACAAGGAGTTGTTTATTATGAATAAGCAAAGAGAGTGGTTTCTTGAGATGGAATCTACTCCTGCTGAAGATGCTCTGAACTTTGTTGAAACGACAACAAAGGATTTAGAATATTGCATAAATAGTTGATAAAGCAGTGGCAGAGTTTGAGAAGATTGACTCCAATTTTGAAAGACGTTCTGTAGGTAAAATGCCATCAAACAGTATTGCATGCTAGAGAAATCTTTCATGAAGGGAAAAGCCAATGAATGCAGCAAACTTCACTGTTGTCTCAGTTCAAGAAATTGCCACAGCCACCCTGATTGGTCAGCAGCCATCCACATCCAGAAAGACCACCCACCAACAAGAAGATTATGACTTGACAAAGACTTAGATGATTATTAGCACTTTCTAGCAATAAAGTATTTTTAAATTAAGGTATGTACATTGTTTTTTAGACATAATGCTATTGCACACTAGATAGACTACAATATAGTGTGAATATAACTTTTATATGAACCGAGAAACCTGAAATATTTATATGACTTTATTGCGATAATTGCTTTATTGCTGCAGTGTGGAACTGAGCCTGCAATATCTCCGAAGTACACCTGTACGTTCCTTAATGTTATTCTCTGCCTAAAAACACTCAATGCCTCTGCACTGCTCTTAAAATGAAATCCAAACAGATGGGATGACTTTCATCTGTGCTCTCAGCCTCTTCTTCCAATATTCCCCTCCGCATCACTCTCCCAGAAGCCCCAAGATCCAGCCAAGGGAAAGGCAAGAGAGTGTGCAGAAAAGAAAACATATGTCCATTGCAATTTATTGGATATCCACTGAGGGCAAGGCCTGCTATGTACACAATTCTACGGTCATGTCTGCGTTCTCTGAACTGACTCCTGGGTCTTATCTCCTGGGCGATAACGGTCAATTTTGCTTGACTGTTTCTCCCTCGTGATTCTACACTTCAGGTCTCAGAAGAATTCCCTTTCGCCAAGGCCTTGAGTATTGAGGGTGAAGGAAGCACTGAGACCTCTTAGAGGAGTCACCAGGAGGCTGATGGGAGAGACTGAGATTGAAACGAGCTCCACAAACTCAGGTGGCTGAGCATAGAACTCCCTTTTCACTCCCAGAGATGTCCAGAAGCAGCAGCAAGGCCTGGGTTGTGCTCCTGGCTACTTAAACCTGAGCTTTTCAGGACTAAAAGCCATAGGCAGCCACAAAGAGCACACCTGCTATGGATGGCTGGCGACACTCTGGTCTGGTGAATGGGCCTCACCTGTGCCACCAGGATTGAACCTGGAAGCCCCTCAACCAATCCTGATGTCCATGTCTGTTCACAGACCCCGAGACCCTTGAAGGACGTGTTGGTTCTCTTGTGGGAGGACCTCACTTCCAGCAGCCATGTGCATCTGAGCCTTCCAGCCAACCTCCTACAAAGGGAGGTCATTTATTTATGAGGTCATTTATCAGGAACTTATGCACTGGGGAATGAGTGTTCCTCAAACTTTTAGGGATCAACTGGACACAGATTCTCTGCTAACACCAATTGCGGGGCACTCAGTTACCCTGAAGCTCTGTTGGAGCAGAAGGGGCTGCCTTAAAGGGTCAGATAACAGAGTCATGTGACAACAGAAGCTGTGATGGAGCCCTGACTTTGCCACCTACCACGTGATCCTGTGCAGAGCTTCCTTTCTCCTGTCTCCATCTCTTCTATCACACCGAGGTGGTACACCTTGCTCTGTCCATTATACAGACACTGAAAGAACTTGCCCTCTCCCCTCCCTTCTCCTCCCTCCCATCCAAAAACAAGTGCCTGCTAAGGGCCAGGCCCAGTTCTAGGCAGCCTGGGATGCACTGATGAACATCATGGACAAATATCTCAGTCCTCATGGAGTTTATATGGGAGGGGAACACACATGGTAAACAATAAGCATAATTAATAAGTCAGGTACATAGGAACTGAAATGGCAGTAAGTACGAGATGGCTAAAAAGAGAGAAAACTGAACAAGGCAAGGGAGATCCAAATTCCAGAAAGTCCAAGGACCCTTCAAGATGATGGTTGTCAAAGTTTTTGGTTAGTGGTTATCAAACTTTTGGTCTCTGGATCCCTTTACACTCTTAAAAAGTTTTGAGGATCCCCAAAAGCCCTTGTGTATGTGATTTTACCAATTTTTGCCATATTAGAAATCAAAACTAAAAAACACTTAAAATATGTATTTAAAAGTAACAACAATAAACCTTTTACATAAAATCATGAGTAACATTTTTCAATGAAAAGTGACATATTCTAAAGCAAGAACAAAATAATTAATGGGAAGCATGGCATTGTTGTACATTTCTGCAAATGTTCTTCATTTCTGGTTTAATAGAAGGCAGCTGGCTTCTCCTATCCACCTCTGGATTCCATCCATTGTAGCATCACGTGTCAGGAAGCCTTTAGAAGATTCCATTGTTCAAGCATGAGAGAGTGAGAGTGAAAAAGGCAAACCATACTTGTGAAAGTAGTTTTGACCTCACAGATCCCCAGAAAGAGGCTCAGGGACCCCCGAGGGCCTCTGGACCACACATTGAGAACCATGGCTCTGGTGTGTTCCAGTCTCCTCGTCCTTTCAGATGAGACACTGTGGTCCTGAGTGGACAGTGAGTTCTGAGTTCTTACAGTTGGTCAGCAGCACAGACTGAGACCAGACCCACGACTTCCTACCTTAGCCAAGATTCTCTCCTCAGCTTGATGTGTGTTTGTTGCTTTATTATTTCAACACAAATCACATGTGCAGGTATTTAACTCTGCTTATAATGAAGGAGCAATTTTTAAAAGAAGAAAGGTACAAGCTCAGTGGCCATGGTGCGGCCACAGATAAGTCTTGCTGGCCTGCAAAGCCCGGCTGTTAACTGGCGTGTCTACGCCCCCATCCATCTCACTGGGCAGGGGCTTGCACAATGCTCCTTTGTGCTTTCTGAAAGGCCTGTGTGTTTCAGGTGTAGCCTTGTGTACTGTGAGAAGAGTCATTACAATAACAGTAAATATTCCTCTTTGATGAATGGAACGAAGGTGGTTTAAACTGAAGCTGCATCTTGACGGGAGGAGGGGAGGCAGTGAGCCGTGCAGGCCAGCCAGTCACACTTGGAAGAGCATCCACCCTTCTGCATGAGTGTCTTTGACTCACCTTGACCTTCAGTGCCGGGGTTGCCAGTTGAGTCTATGTTCTGGGAGGCATTGGTTGCCTTAGTCGTGAGCCAGCTAATGTGAGTGGGTCGGCTCTTCTGTTAGATGGAACTACAAATGGAAGCTACCAACTTTTAGTTTCTATTCCAAAAAAGGGCTGGCCCTTGGAGTGAGGGTGGCCTGAACAAACCGTGCCTTCCCTGAGCTCTCCAGGTGGTGTAGGCATGAGTCATTTAGATGTTATCAGGCGGGAGAAAGTCCTGAAAGGGACGCCAGTGAGTCACTGTGCCGGGCAAAGACTGGTGAGACACACAGAAACGAAGTCCAAAAAATCAATATGGTGCGCCTCCCCCAGGGGCCCAGAGGGGATTGTGCAAGCCACGATTCCACCTCCAGGAGGGGAGGGCTGGGCCGGGTGGGGGTGGGTGGGGGCAGATGGCTGCAGCCAGCCCTGGGAGCATGGAATCTGTGGGGATCTCTAAGCCGGAGCCCCAGCACCTGTCGCCTTAGCCTACTATTAACATGCCAATCTTTCACGGTGGTCTTCCTTTTAACATTTAAAAATGTAAAACCAGGTGCATGGGACAGGCTTGAGGGTCTTCTGGAATGGAGGAAAGGAACTGAGCTTTGCGAGAGAAGGCCAACAGGCTGCTCCTGGAACCAGGAAGGCCAGCTCCGGAGAGTTTAAAATTTATCCTTTTAATAGACAGCTCTAACTGAGAACCTATTTTTAAAAATTTTAGTTCCTCAATTTTTTTCAGATAATTTTGACGTCATAAAATAATTTGGTTGATAGAGTTTTTATGGCGGTTGTAAATGTGAATTATTACATACTTACCATGTTTATTGAGACTCTGGACTAAGTTTAAGAGAACTTTCATGTATTCAATACCGTACAGTTAGAAATTCATTTTCATGTTTCTTCTTTTCAAATGTTCAACTCTTTAATTGATCTTATTGATAAAACAGCGCTACAATTAAAAATAGGTGGCAAAAATCTTATGCTATAAATACTGTCTCATGTTAGGGCTTAATACTAATGCGAACTTAGACAAGTTGTCATTTTAAAATCCAAAAAAATATATAGACGAGAATTAGGGTATGTAAATTCCTTTACACCATACTTAATGCTGTTAGTAAATAAATCATTTAAAGAACCATATACATATTTCTCTTGAATTAACACTTGAATGCCCTTATCTCTCTCACAATAAGAATTTGCCATTCTTATTAGAAACATTCACTATCTGGTATAGAGATGTTAAGCTCTCTGTACTGGTTGGTAAGGGGGTGATGGTGCAAGGGAGTTTAGATGAAAAGCTTGGCTTTTATTTGTGTCTGACCAAGCTAGGGCCTTTCTTATCATGTATCATAAGAACCTGGATCCCTTGCTCCACCTACCATATTCATAAGAACATTCTAGATCTACCCAAATCAGGAGCATGCATTTTCTCTCTGTGGTGTCAAATGGGGACTGAGAAAGTACAGGCTTTTTAATGATCCGCACTCCTGGCTCCCCTTCACGTGGGTTCATTCAGCAGGTACGAGGTGCTCAGCAAATGTTTCTGAATGACTGCCAGCATCCAGAAACAGACTGCAGAAGGAAAAATAAGGTTTATTATAATGCCATTGCACCATGAATTTTAAAATAAAATTTCCAACTTGACAGACAACATTTAAACAAATTTTGTGGCCACTTTGTGGTAGTCTCGGACTTGTCAGGCCACACAGAAATTTCAGAAAAAAAAATTTAAAAAGTCAGTCAAGATACAGACACAGAGGCCAGAGCTCAGCAGTGTTCCCCTCTATTTCAGCCGAGGCCCTCACAGAAAAACATTTTGTAAGCTGCCCCCACTGACCCCCAGCCCAGAATCTGCAGCGCCCCTGCCTGGAGGGCCAAGAGGATATTATGCCCATAGCTTTTGTCCAAAACTGCCAAAGCTGGGATTAGAAACCAACAAAAACTTAATGTTAGGATGTAATCTTAAAAGACATAGTTGGCCAAAAAATGCAGCCACATTTGGACTGATAAACAGCACGCAGACCCATTATTTATTTATTATTTAATTTTGCAACTGGATATTTTAGTTTGTGTTACACTAGGGCATAATTCAATGCAACAGCAACCCATAGAATTAAAAGCTCATGCTATACAAAAAGTAAGTTTTGTTTTGGGTGTATTTTGACAGGCAGCCTAGCAGCATTGATCAAATTATGGCTCTGCTGTTCACAAGCTGTGTGACCTTGGGTGAGCTACTGACTCTCTCTGGGCCTCGGCTGTAATGTGGGGGCCACAGCACCTACCCCAGTTGTGTTGTGAGGATCATTAAGCCTCCTGACAATCTCTCTCTCTCTCTGTCTCTCAATCATCTGTCAATCACACAGGCTACAGACCAGGCCACATACACAATGCATCAGCACAATCTATGCTGGGAAAACAAATGCTGTCATTGACCACACTGCATCCATAAAGGATCAATTTGGTGTTTTTATGTAAAGTAAGATTGTTTTCTCCTCTAATTTGAGAATCTGTTAGAGTGATGGAAGTTTGAGAATCTAGAAACACAAAGTAAAAATGAAAAACAGTCGAAGCAGAAGATATAATTTCCTTGTTTCTGCGCTGCCCCACTGCTGTGTAGCGAAATAGAAATGACTTTTTAAAGTTCAGTTTAATACATCAGACAATCACAACCTATTATAGCAAGTGGGGGCTTACTGCCCCTAGACTGGGTAGCCAACTGAGGCATACAACGGCTTCTTATCTCCTAAAATGGAACTCAGTAGGTCAAACCTCCTTGTTGGGTTGTGGGGAGGATTAATGAGACAATGTTTGCTCAGAGAGGGCAGCAAAGTCTGTTTCTACCTTCTCCAAAGGGCTTCTTTATGTTATGTAAATAGAGACTGTTTTTTGTTGTTGTTTGTTTTAAGACAGGGTCTCCCTTTGCCACCCAGGCTGGAGTTCAGTCGTATGAACATGGCTCACTACAGCCTTGACCTCCCAGGCTCAAGCCATCCTCTTACCTCAACCTCCCGAGAAGCTGGGACTACAGGTGCATGCCACTATGCCAGGCTAATTTTTGTATTTTTTTAGAGGTGGGGTTTGCCATGTTGCCCAGGCTGCTCTTGAACTCCCGGGCTCAAGCGATTTGTTTGCCTCAGGCTCCCAAAGTGCTGGGGTTGAAGGTGTGAGCTACTGCACTTGGGCAATTGTTAATATTTTGATTTACATAGAAACCAATGATTGGTTAACAGTGACTGATTTTCCTGGTAAGCCCAAAGTAAACCATCAGTGAAAAATGAATGGCAGCCTTGAAACCTGCCCTCATGATAAAAACTTGATCAACAGCCTGATTTGAGTTTCTGCCAAACACAAGTGACAGTGTCTGACTCCTATGCTACAGCAAGCTCTGAATGGATCGCCTCTGCCTGCTCTCCTTTGGGTAGTCTTTGTTTATTTCCACACACGTTTAGTTGTTTTGGTTATTTTAACCACCATTTTCACTTGTTTCTTAAACAGTGACTGTAGAATACATCTTCTGGTCAATTTTACCAAGAATATTTTCCAATATCTTACACATACATAAAGGCTAAAACGGAAGCCTCAACCAATTTCAAATGCTTGATACATGACAGACCACATTCTGTAGTCGCCATGCTATTAAATTAGAAACCCATGTGATTGAAGTTTAACAAAGATAATTATGGGCCAGGCGTGGTGGCTTATGCTTTTAATCCCAACACTTTGGGAGGCCGAGGTGGACTGATCATGAGGTCAGGAGTTCGAGACCAGCCTGACCAACATGGGGAAACTTTGTCTCTACTAAAAATACAAAAATTAGCCAGGCGTGGTGGTGCACACCTGTAATCCTAGCTCCTCAGGAGGCTGAGGCAGGAGAATCATTTGAACCCAGGAGGCAGAGATTGTAGTGAGCCGAGATCGCGCCGCTGTACTCCAACCTGGACGACAGAGTGAGAGTCCATCTCGAAAAAGAAAAAGAAAAAGAAAGGTAATTATGAAGAATTCATTAATGTATGGATTAAAGATAATGTATTAGTTTGCTAGGGCTGCCATAACTAACGCCACAGACTGGGTGACTTAAACATTAGACTTATTTTCTCACAGTTCTAGAGGCAAGAGGTCTAAGATTGAGGTGACGACAGGCTTGATTCCTTGCGAGGCCTCCCTCTGGCTTGCAGATGGCTGCCTTCTCACTGTCCTCACATGGGCTTTGTGCCTGTGTGTCTGTGTCAGAAACTCCTCTTCTAATCCAGTCATGCTGGACTAAAGCTCACCCTAACCACCCCATTTTAATTTAATTACCTCTATAAAGGCCCTACCTGCAAAAAGTCATGTTATGAGGTTCTGGGGGATTTCAACATATGAATTTTTGGGGGACACAATTCACTCCAAAAAGAATGATCAGAAATATTTTTCCACTATTCCCATTCAGCAGCAGGAGCTGTGTGCCTTCCAATGATCTGGGAGACCTTTCTGTGTTGCTTCAAGCAACAGACTATGGTGGAATTGTGCTTTGCTAATTTCTAGATTCAATTCCCAGACTGGCCAGTTCCTCTCTCTCTGGGGATCTGAGCTGCTTTGAGTTGGTCCAACCATCCTGAGCCTGCCAAGCTGCAGAGGCCAGAGGTAGCCACTGTCCAGCAGTCTCACTGAGCATGCCATCCAGCCATCTGCACCCAGATGCCAACATGTGAGTGAAAGTCCTTGGACCCTCCAGACCAGCCCATCTACCAGCTGAAGATCACTAGTTCCCTTAGTTAATGTTCAGAAGAGCAGGAGAATCATCCAGCTGAAGCCTGTCCCAATTCATGACCCACAATATCATGAGATAGAATGAAATGATTGTCATTTTAAGCTAATTTTTTTTTTTTGGAATGCAGCAATAGATAATCAAAACAAAAGGTGGAAGAAGAAATCATAATGGACATTAAAATATTTACAACTGAATGATTAGGAAAATACTAAATATGAAAAAGGAGGCTGAGCACGGTGGCTCACGCCTGTAATCCCAGCACTTTGGGAGGCCGAGGTGGGTGGATCATGAGGTCAGGAGATCGAGACCATCCTGGCTAACATGGTGAAACCCATCTCTACTAAAAAATACAAAAAATTAGCCAGGTGTGGTGGCGGGCACCTGTAGTCCCAGCTACTTGGGAGGCTGAGGCAGGAGAATGGCATGAACCTGGGAGGCAGAGGTTGCAGTGAGCCAAGATCACGCCACTGCACTCCTGCCTCCATCTCACAAAAAAAAAAGAAAGAAAGAAAGAAAGAGGACGTGCAGCTAAAGCAGAACTTAGAAGCACATTTATAGCTTGAAATTGTTTATACATATTGGGGAAAAAGGGCAAGGCTGAAAATTAATAAGAAAAGCATCCATCTTAATATGCAAGAAGAAGAACAGAAAAATAAATAAGCTTGAGATCTAGGCCTGCACATCAGATCTTCAAGAAGTCTTCAGGGCTCCTAAAATGACAAACTTTTGGTAGCATGTCAGGGAAAGTCCATACATCTCAATGGGTTCACAACATTTCTGTTTGCTGGTTGCACAGGCTCCTCCAACTTCTCTATATAATTTCCTTAGTTGCTGCCACCACTAGGGCTGTGGTGATGAGGGCTATTGTTTCTCCTTCTTTGTGTGTCTGTGTTTGCATTGTTTGCATTGTTTGTTGCTCTCTCTGCTAAGAGGTGGTGATTCTCTCAATCTAATCATAAAAGTCACAAAGGCAGTCCACGGTGCTGCACACTTTGCCCTGTCTGTGCCTGAGGATGAACTCTCTAACATTGCCTACTCTTGGCCATCATTTTTTACCTGAGTTCCTAGAAGGTCCCAATGACACACCCTGGCACCATTGGTCCTCAAAGCCCATCTACTTCTGGCTGCCTGACTTTGGAGCCATGGCTTCCTACTCTGCTGTCCTTCAGGATTCTCAAGAATCTGGCCCCTGTCCACCCTCATAGTCCTCGATTCTGAATGCACCTGAGCACATCCTACGCTTGCTAGCCTCTACCTCTTGTTGTGCCCTGCGTGCAGCCCTCAGCTCCCACCACTGTCTCTATTTCATGTACACTAACGAGACATCTTGACTGAGTGCAAGGACAGGGGCTGTGAATCAGAATGGCTTGACTGTAAATTCCACTCCACCTCTTATGGGAGTGTCACCTTGGGCACATGATCACACTGATTTCCAATTCCCATATTGCTGTTGAAAAGATGAAAGGAATCATTCCTCAAAAAGTTAAGCACAGACTTATCATATGATCCAGCAGTCTCACTCCCAGTGTGTATACTTAAGAGAAATCAAAATGTGGCTGGGAGTAGTGGCTCGAGGCTGTAATCCCAGCTCTTTGGGAAGCTGAGGCAGGTGGATCTCTTGGCTCAGGGGTTCAAAACCAGCCTGGACAACGTGGCAAAACCTTGTCTCTACAAAAAATACAAAAATTAGCTGGGTATGGTGGCACATGCCTGTAGTCCCAGCAGCTTGGGAGGCCAAGGTGGGAGGATCACTTGAGCCCAGGAGTTCAAGGCTGCAGTGAGCCATGATTGCACCACTGCACTCCAGAGCCTGGGTGACAGAGTGAGACCCTGTCTCAAAAAAAAAAAAAAAAAAAAAAAAAAGCCCATACAGAAACATGTATACAAATGTTCACAGCAGAATTATTCATAGTAGCCCAAAATACACACAACAAAATATTATTCAGCCAAAAAATGAGGGAAGAACTGACATATGTTACGACATGGATGAACCTTGAAAACATGCAAAGTGAAAGAAGTCAGAAACAGAAAGTCACTTGTATGATTCTGTTTATATGAAATGTCCAGAATAGGCACATCTATAGAAACAGAAAGCAGATTGGTGGTTTCCAGGGGCTGAAGGGAGGAAGGAGTGGAGAGTTCTTGTTTGACAGTTATGGGGAATTTTTCTGGGGTGATGAAAAAGACTGGAAACTAGAGATAGGTGGTAGCTGCCCAACACTGTGAATGCACTAAATTGTGCATTTAAAATACTTACTTGTATGTTACGTGAGTTTTACCTCAAATTTTTTTTTTTTTTTGAGATGGAGTCTTGCTCTGTTGCCCAGGCTGGAGTGCAGGGGTGTGATCTTGACTCACTGCAACCTCTGCCCCCTAGGTTCAAACGATTCTCCTGCCTTAGCCTCCCAAGTAGCTGGGACTACAGGCGCCTGCCATCACACCCGGCTAATTTTTTGTATTTTTAGTAGAGACGGGGTTTCACTGTGTTAGCCAGGGTGGCCTTGATCTCCTGACTTCATGATCTGCCCGCCTCGGCCTCCCAAAGGCCTGGGATTACAGGAGTGAGCCACCACGCCCAGCCCTCAATTTTTAAAAAATGATGTAAGAAATAAAGGACACATGGTAAGTGTGCAAGGAATATGAGTCACTGTTATTACCACCATCATCCACATTACCTGTCAGCCACACCCCATTCCTTTCTGCCCAGTAACTAACGGGGCTGCTTTAAGCCCTGGGTAGGCTGTAGGGTCTCTCAATTTTGGAGGCTCCATGATACATTCCATCACATATGTTAAAATGCATCTACTTCTCATCTTAAATATTTTCAAATGTAAAGTAATTTGAAACAATTAAGAGAAAACATTGCTTTCAAAATTAGTTGGCGAAAAGTAGTTATTTTCGTTCCTGGTGCATGCTTGAGAATTCTGAATTCTGATGAAGTGAGAAAAACAAACTTACACATTTTTTGCAAATGTAATGGAATTTGTATGTATGCAAAATTCAGTTAATGAGTTGAGATAAGGTTACATTTTGTAGACATTTGATGAACCTATTTTAACTTCCTGATGTTTCTTTCTTGTCTAGGCTTTCAAATATTTTCATAGGCGCTAGAAAAGCTATAGGCTCAAAGCAACAGCCCTGATGCCCAGTGGAGAAGCTAGCCTTACAGAAAGTGTTCTTTTCATTTCTTTTCTATTATTCACAAATTCCTTTCCATATCATTCTTTCAACCTTCTTATTAGAATTGACTTTCAAGTTGATATATTAGTTTCCAAAAGAGGAAGATTCTCCCAGCCTTAATTAATGAAGAACTTACATTTCATTCCTCAAATACATGACTTCTGTCAGGATACTTCTGTACCCACCATGGATGTTATTTAGCTAGCTAAAGGGATAATGGTATGGTTACATTGAAAGAATAGACAAATCTTTACCATTCAGCTGTGCAAAAGTTATTTATAAGACATAGAAGATATACGCTACATACCCTAGTAAATGTGATCGTATAAAATAAAGGAGAACAGGCTGGGCATGGTGGCTCACGCCTATAATCCCAGCACTTTGGGAGGCCAAGGTGGGCAGATCACCTGGGGTCAGGAGCTTGAGTCTATCCTGACCAAAATGGAGAAACCCTGTCTCTACTAAAAAAATACAAAATTAGCCGGGCATGGTAGTGCATGCCTGTAATCCCAGCTACTCGAGAGGCTGAGGCAGGAGAATCGCTTGAACCTGGGAGGCAGACATTGCAGTGAGCCGATATCGCACCATTGCACTCCAGCCTGGGCAACAAGAGCAAAACTCCATCTGAAAAAAATAAAAATAATAAATAATGAAGGAGAACAAACCAGATGCTGATAGAATTCAGAAAAGGGGTGTTCAGGGAAGTGTATCTTGGAGGAGGTGGATCTGCCATTGAAATGAAAGGGTAGGCAGGATTTCAACAGGCAGAAGAGTGAGATCAGATTGAGATTTCAGATGGAGAAAGGAGCATCAGCAAGGAGAGATATGCTGGTTTTCTACTGCTGCCAAAACAAATGAACAGACATTTGCTGGGTTAAAACAACACAAGATTATCTTACAGTTCTGGAGGTCAGAGGTCTAATACAGATCTTGCCAGGCTAAAATCTAGGTGTTGGCAGGGTTGCATTCCTTTCTGGAGGCTCCAGGTAGAAATGCATTTCTTGCCTTTTTCAGCTTCTAAGGCTGCCCATTCCTTGGCTTGTGGCCCCATCCTCCATCTTCAATGCCAGCAACGGTTGGTTGAGTCTTTCCTGCATCTCATCGATTTGACACTGACTCTTTCAGTTTCCCCCTTCCACATGTAAAGATCCTTGTGTTTACATGGGTTCCCACCTGGAGAATCTAGGATAATTGTATTAGGCCATTCTTGCATTGCTCTAAAGAAATACCTAAGCCTGGGTAATTTATAAAGAAAAGAGGTTTATTTGGCTCACGGTTCTGCAGGCTATGTAGGAAGCATAGTGACTGTATCTGGTTGGCTTCTGGGGAGGCCTCAGGAAGCTTCCAATCAGGGTGGAAGAAGATGGAGCAGGCATCTCATATGGTGAGAATGAGGGCAAGAGAGAGCAAGTAGGGGGAAGGTGCCACACACTTAAAAACCAGATCTCCTGAGAATTCACTCATTATCACAACAGCACCAAGCCATGAAGGATCCGCCCCCATGACCCAATCACCTCCCACCAGGCCCCATTTCCAACACTGGGGATTACAATTCAACATGAGATTTGACAGGGACATATATTCAAGCTGTATCAATGATCTCATCATTTCAAAGTCAGCCGATTAGCAACATTAAATCTATCTGCTACCTTAATTCCCCCTTGCTATGTAAGGAAATATATTTACAGGTTCCTAAGATTAAGATGTGGACATCTTTGGACAGCCATTATTCTGCCTTCTAGAAGAGGGAAGCATGAAGTAACAAGTTTACTTAGGTGTCCAGTACTGACTCCCCAAAAACATCACCCCAACAACCTGCTGGTCAGGCAAAGCTGAGTTTACTGCTTCCCATGGTAAGCAACACAACTATCTCAACAAAGTCTGCATAGTATTTTCTGTGAGTATGACAAAGTTGGGCTATTTGTAAGGTTTAGGGGGTTTGGCAGGTCTTTCAATGGGGAAAGAAGTTTGAATAGGATTAAGGATCATGATATAATGGTTCAGGATTGGTGAAGACAGCAAGGTGAGGGTTTTAAGGCAGGGTTCTCAGAAGTGTATTGGAGAGTAAATAATCCTTGATACTAGTTATTGAAGAGTTGAGTAGTTTGATAATCACTTAAATTAGTTTTTCTGGGAAGTTCCTGAAACAATACAATTAGTAACTTTTATTTCCTGGGCAACGATTTCTTAGAATAGTAAAGTCATATTAGAGAGGGCAACTTAATAGTGAAGTTCTGCCAACGCAGACAGGAAAGCATGTGGGTGTTGGTGGTTTCTGCTCGAGTGATAGACTGAGGCCATAGAAGGCTTTCGACCAAGCTTGTCCAACCCACAGCACACAGACCACATGTGGCCCAATACTTTTTTAAGATATTATGATATTTTTTTGTGTGACTATTTTTTTTTTAGCTCATCAGCCGTTGTTAGTGTTAATATATTTTACATGTGATCCAAGACAATTCTTCTTCTGATGTTGCCCAGGGAAGCCAAAAAGAGCTATATGCTATTTTAAGGAATTTGAATTTTATTTGGATGAAATGTACATAACCACTTGCATGAGAGGAAGACCCTGGCAGCAGGTTGGAATGGAGACAAGATTGGAGCCTGGAGGCTTATGAGGTGGATATTGAAATGGTTCAGGCAAGAGGAATTGAGGACTTCAACCAGAGAGAGATTGCAGCATTTACTGCTTATTTGCTCATTCATCCAGAAAATACTCTACCAGTTTCATCTGTGTGATGCACTGTCATCCACGCTGGGGTTCTTGGGGACCAATATGGGCAAGGATGTGTTTTGTGGCACTTAAGGAGAGCTCACACTACACACACATGAAGAATGACTGATTTCATGACTCTGTTGAAAGACCTTCTGAGTCCAAGACTCTGATTTTTTGGCAGGTTAAAGTCTCATCAGCTTCAAATTTGAAATTGTCTGCATTCATTTCTTCTGGCCATGGTAACAAATGACAACAAGCATAGTGGTTTAAAACAACACAAATATATGATCTTACAATTTTAGAGGTCAGAATTCCTAAAAGCAAGGTATCTGCAAGGCTGCATGCCTTCTGGAGGCTCCAGCAGAGAATTCATTTCTTTGCCCTTCCCAGCTTCTACAGGTACCTGCATCCTTTGGCTCAGGGCCCCCCTTCATCTTCAAGCAGTATAGCATCTTGAACTCTCTCTCCCCAACCTCTGCTTTCATTACCTCATCTCTCTCTTTGAGTCTGAGACTTGTCTCTCCCTTCTAAAGATGCTTGTGATTACATTTTGGGAACATCTGAATAATCTAGGATCATCTCCCCACCTCGAGGTCCTGCATTTAATCACATCTGCAAAGTCCCTTTGACCATGTAAGGCCACATATTTACAGGTTTCAGGGATTAGGACTTGGATACCCTTGGAGGGCCATTATTCCACCTACCACACCCTCCAAGACTGGCTCTTACTCTTCTTCCCCTCGAGCCCTTCTTGTCCATTCCCCAGTGGAAGTTTCTACTCCAACCAAGCTGGTTTTCTCGCCATCCTTCCCCACATTCATCCTGGCCTCTAGAATTCTCTCCTAATGTCCTAACTTCTCTCTTGACTCTTCTAAGTTCTTAGCATCTTTCAGGGCCCCTGGAAGCCCACTTCCTCTGGGAAGCCCTCCAGATTGGAGCTCATGTCTTCTTCTTCACAAGGTCCTTCCCATTCATTGTAACATGTAACAATATCCTGTTAACTTTTTAATGTGTCTATCTTACCTCTTTGAAGGGAGAGACTGAGCCTTCTCTTCCCTGGAGTAGAGCTGGCTGCATAGTCAGGAATTGCTGGATGGATTAAATAAATTTAAGGGAAATGCATTATTTTACTTCAAGAATAAAGAGTGATGGGGAATTCATATGATGTTAGTAATCAAATAAATGCAGACACACCATATCAAAATTGTAAGCAACAGTCTGTTTCCTCAGGGAAAAGGAGAAATGGGAGCAAGATACAGCCCAGCAAGGGGCTTGGATTGGCCCTCAGAAAGAGCTCCCGGGGCCCGGGTTTCGAGTCACTAAATTACTAGTCTGGGCTGTGGAATTTCATGCTTGGCTGCATTTGGGAACAGGGAACAGACTGTCCCTCAAGGATGATCTGGGCACAGCTATGCTCAGAATTAGAGAATGAACTGAGTAATCCTTTCAGTTTCTTGTTACTCTAGGAATCTAATGGCACTCGGTCCCAAAGTGAGCAGCATCATACTCCTTTCATTCTCGGGCTTCTCTTTCTCTTCCCAACTGTGATTTTTTGGGGGACTGATTTTAAACTATACACTTGGTCTGGAAAATGCCAATAAACGAACTACTTCAAAGCACCTTGCTTGGTGGTATCCATCCGTACTTCCCAGAAACAAGGTGCATGCATCAGAATAGTAAATGCTAGCTGCGCTAACAATCTCCTAATCTCAGTGTTGTAATGTCACAAAGGTTTGCTTCCCCTCATCCCCATTCCAATACAGCCTGAGCAGCTCTGCTGGGTTCTTCTCCATGTGATAACCCAGGGATCTAGTCTCCTTACGTCTTGTGAAGCCACCATGGTCAATACACAGCCTCCAGGGTTGTCACAGAAGGGGAAGAAGGTGTGTCAAAGATCACTCAGAGTGCTTTATGGCCAAGTCTACAGGACTCCCATCACCTCTGCCCACACACCTCTCACCAGAACCCAATGGGAGGAAAAGGAGGCTTGGAAAGGTGGTCCTCCTGTGTGTCCAGGAAGAGAGTATGGGGTGGCTTATCTATCTACACTACATCTACAAATGCCAAGCGTTGCTTGTGGCCTCATGTGAATGTCTGATTAATATGACATTTTATCCTAATACTCACAGATGTCTGGCAGCATGGACACCAGACTTTGAGATCGCTGACTGATTCTGGTATCCGCCTGACACAACCAGTGACGGCTTTTGCAACTTCTGACAGCCTGCCCAGCCTGTGTGCTCACAACTGAGTGGTCGTTTCTAATCACTAATAGTGCTCAGGCCCGGGAAGAGTGTGACATGTGTCCTGAGGTGATTTGTGATGGGGGCTTTGTTTTGACATTTTTTTCTGACCATTTGAGAAAGAACCAAGTTCCAGATCATTTGGCTTCATGACAAACAACAAAGGAGCTAGGCTTTTCTACCTTAAACCTCGGCCAGCCGGGGTGCCCCCTCCCAGGTGATGTCAGAAAGGCGGCCATGCCCTCGGGGTGAAGGGTACTAGCCATCCTCCCCCTGCCTGTACCACAGAGCCTAGGATGGGGCCTGGGATGGAGCCTGGGATGCTCTGGCTGGGGCCTGGGGCGGGGAGTGGCCTGCCAGCCTGTGTTATCTTCTAGCATTGGCACCCCCAATTTAGTCCGAGGAACCCTCCAAAGCAGCTACAGTTTCCTTCCCTTCCTGGGAAAGCTTGGCCCAAAGGCCAGGAAGGTCTTTGCCTCGGCTTCTCAGAAGGAAGGGAAGACCTGCTTTGGGCATATGGGGTAGAATTTTCTACCATGTAAAGGGTGGTATGGTCAAAATGTGAACTTGCCTTATGTCACTAATTCCTGCGAAACTTTAAATTCTTCATTGCATCCCTCACATTCAACGAGGGAATTTGTCAAAATGCTTTCTGGCAAAGTGCCTGACACAAACAATGTGAATTTCTCTGTGTAGAAATGACCCTTTCTGCCTGGTGCTAGCTTTCCTGATAAGCTCACTGGGAATGTTCCTCCTGCCGAAATGCAGATTTGTTGATCATCTTTTGGATTTCAGATCCTTGCTCTGGGAGAACGAGATGCAGGCCCGTTCCTACTGAGGACCATTGTCCCATAGCCCACTCTTGCTCCAGAGTCCTGCTGGCTTCTAGTTTCTTCTCCCATGGACCCCCAAATTCCGGGGACTTATTTCCTAATGCCTCCCACTTAGTATTCCCTGAAATAATATTCTGAGGAGTTCTGAATAGGGGAGTCTTCAAATAAATCAGCAAGTGCCGTGAGAATGCATGAGTAAGGGAAGGCGTCATGACCCAGGCCTCTCGAGCAACACTAGGGAGGCAAGCGGACGCCATCCTGCATGTGTGCAGCTCACACCTGCCACCCACGGCACAACACACCTTTCCACAGGGAAACACAGTGTTCTCTCTTCCACCCCTCATTGTCATAGCCCAGTGAAGATTCACCTATTGGGAAAGAAATGAAAACCAACATGTCTTTGAACTTAATTGTTTTCTTAACATTTGGGGCTGGGACATCTGTCTTTGCTTAAAAACACATCTATTTATATCAACAACCGTTTACATTGAGTCCTTGGAGACTGACTTAAGCAGATGTTGCCTGATGTGGGTTTTCGTACTTAGAAAAAATGTGGAATTCATTTCTACCCCACTCCCTCCTCAATAAAGTTAAATTGCAGAAATTTGCAAACCTTAGATTTCAGTGTACACAAAATACATCCTCCTAGCTTTTCATAACATGTGACTCATGTTATTGTGATGAAGGGACTAATGAATCATTTTCGTACTACGAGGGCTGGAAGACGGCAGTCCTGAGGGAGCCGACTTGCTTAGAAGGTTGGTAATGCGATTACTCATTCAATGGAGACCAGTGTAAAAGCTGAGTGTTGTACATACAGCTATGTTTATACAACCACTGCCTTGGCTTGGAGGAAGGGGCAAGGGCAAATTGGAAGTGGGTGGGAAAGACTGGAGGTGGCTTTCTGAGGCAAAGCGATGCCCAGGAATCAGACATGGGCGTGAACCAGAGGAGGAGAGACTGAGGGTGAAACCACGCTCCATCTGCATCTCGAAGTCACTTAGGCAATGACATTCATGCAGAAGGCAGACTCTGGCCACGTGGTGAGAAGAGCTCTGCTGGATTCAGGAGGAAAGCCTTCCTGCTCTCAGGGGCCCCAGGCAGGTCTGCACCACCTTTGAGGGAAGTTCCATTTCTGTCTGTTTGATTCTTCTTCTTCTTCTTGCCTTCTCTTCTTATTATCTTCCTTCTCTCTTCATCCCATTCCTCAGTGGCACACAGGCACTTTAATCCTATCTGACAGATGTTTATCCTGTGTTTGTGCCCAAAGAGAGTTCACATTGATGCAATATAATTTGTGAAACCATTTCTTCCTTATTCTGTGAAATGACACATGTAAGTTTGTATATACATAGACCTCTGTCTTCAAAGAGTAATTTTTACTGAAAAGTGAATTTACTTAAAATGGGGAACATGATTTCACAGAACCAACAAGGGCAGTGTGACAGCTGAAACTTTGTCTTGAAAAATAAAACTTAAAGTAAGAAAAGAAGTAATTTGGGATTATAATTATTATTTTGAGACAGAGTCTCACTGTGTTGCCCAGGCTGGAGTGCAGTGGCACGATCTTGGCTCACTGCAACCTCTGCTTCCTGGGTTCAAGCGATTCTCCTGCCTTAGCCTCCCAAGTAGCTGGGAATACAGGTGTGTGCCACCACACCAGGCTAATTTTTGTATTTTTAGTAGAGACCAGGCTTCTCCATGTTGCCCAGGCTGGTCTCGAACTCCTGACCTCAAGTGATCTGCCTGCCTCAGCCTCCCAAAGTGCTGGGATTACAGGAATGAGCCATAGCACCCAGCCAATTTGGGATTTTATTAATGAATTTTAGATTATTACAGTAACATCAGCTTTCACTGCACACTGAACAATCATGGTAGTTCCTCCATCACTTTCTTTAACTTCAGGGAACCTTATATCATAGGCAAGATTTGGAGTTTCATGTTGTCATCAGTTTGCACTGTATTTGCAGTGTTTTCAATTTTCATTTGTTACTAAGACTGGCATAGACATTGACCCAATAGACTACCATTAAGGCTGATGGTAGATGTGAAGGGGGTTTGAGTGTCAACTATTTCTCTACATGGTCAGTTCATTAGGGGATATTTAAAAATTATGGTTACTTTGACTTTGCTATCCACTGCTATCATAATGTTCTCATTTCAGTACAAATGCTCAGATAAAAAAGACACTCTCTCCCTTTGACACCTACTGGTGTTTATTATGAGTAAGATGTTTTGTCTCCATTAATTAATTTAAACCTTACAATGATTCAATAATTTAAGTATGACTGTCTAGTTTTATGGATGCAGGGAATTAGAAGCTCAGAGAGGTGGTGTAACATGTCTGGAGTCACAGAGTGAATAATGGAGGAGCTGAGATGTATAATCAGGTGTGTCTGATTCCAAAGTCTGTGGCTCCAGACAGTGAAGATACAATAAATACCTAACTCTTCAAGGCCCAGACACCAAAGAATATCTACAAGATCAACACTACCCAGGAAAACATGACCTCACTAAATGAATTAAATAAGGCATCAGTGACCAATCCTGGAGAAAGAGATATGTGACCTTTGAGACAGAGAATTCAAAATAGCTGTGTTGAGAAAACTCAAAGCAATTCAAGATAACACAGAAGGAATTCAGAATCCTATCAGATAAATTTAACCAAAGTCTGTGGCTCTAGCCTCTCTACACATTTCATCCAAGTCAACTGGGCTGGGTGGCCAAACACCTAAAGGTCACATCTGTCCATGGACAGCAATCAGCTCTTGATTTTCTGAGCCTCCCAAATTCTGACCTTGACTGCAAGGACCCCCTTTCAATTCAATTGACAATTAAGGCCAATGAGTGAGACCTGGTGAAGACCACACCTGAAATGAGACATAATTTCAATTCTATCCACTGCTAATTCTCTATCACTGTCACAGTACATCTTAATCTGCCCATTGAAGCATCCGAAACATAACCCTACAGGGAAAAATTTGCTAAAAATAATAGAGACCCTACCCTGGAAACGACTGTCTCTATTGGTCATTTGTCTTATGCCGCTGGATTTGAATGGGTCAATATCTGCTCTGACAGACGGCACTACAAGCACATCATGGCAACAACAGTTTTCAAATGAACTCCCTGACAATATTTCACTGGATCTGTGTGATCAACCAATGGATAACGTATTCTGTAGCACAGCACTGAGGACAGCTTGTGTTTGCTTTTATGTGTCCTGTGAGAGGCCGTTGGGAAAATTTCAAATCCTTTGTGGGTGTTAAGTGTCCAATGTGGACTGATGGGCAGGTGGAGGTGTGCAGGTGGAGAGCTGAGTCACGGCTGTGTTTGTTATGGTGGCTCCTGATTGGTTTCTAGGTTGGCTTGCTCTGCCCATGTAGAGTGACAAGGTGCATGGATGATGCTTTAATCCAAGAAGTCACAGCCCCATGGGTCAGGCAATTGCAGGTGAAATCTCAAGCAGGTGATTCTTAAGCCCAGCTCTGCCCCAGGAGATCCCAGGCTGATCAGATAACCTTTCAGAGGTTCGATATCCTCACCTCTCATGTGTAAAAAGTGGCAATGTCAAGCTCTCGGAGGTGTTGGAAAATCAGGTGAGATTTAGGGGAATCGGAAGCTTGAGAGTGCTTGGTCAGTGATCAAAAGCTGATTTCTAGGGAAGGGCTAAAGAGGAGCAATCGGTCTTTACATTGAAGGTGAGTTGTTTGTTTGTTTTTAGTTAAGATTAGTGCTTCTTAAATGATAGTTATTTTGCCATGTCAGAAGACACTTTTAAAGAAGAAGGCCTCTGGGAATATAAATGCAAAAGAAAAACCAGTACATTCCAACTTAGAGCTAATTTAAGAAAACAATCTTTCAGCAAACTTGACAACTGCTCTGAGAATGTAGCTTCTGAGACCAGTGGTGGCTCTAATCCTAAATGACTCTAATAAACAATTCTCTCTGCCATTAGAGTTATCAGAGAAATAATTTATATGATACGTTTCAGCTTGATAGACACCATCATCCCATTGCAAACCCCTATTTAGTGAACTAGATTCCAAGCTCTATTAATCATTTGAGTAGGGTGTCTGTTTGGATGTGACGTATCTACAATTAGGCTTAATTAAAACCACCCACATAGAGCATGCTGAAAGACCAGCATTTAAAAATAGGAGCTGAATAATTAGGGTCATTAATAGGAACTGATTATTTAGTTTATGATGGCTTAAACACAAATTAGGCTCAGCAGTTTTCTGGTTTCTAATGAAAACGCAGAGGGCAGAGCAAAGCTCACTTAAAGGGAATCCCTCATTATACTCTGGGAATGGCCATCGTTCTTCATCATCCTCTGTTTTAGGGTAGCCCATTCACCAAAGCATTTGCATCGGGCTGGTACAAGTAACCTGCGCCTCTGTGAGGGGTGGAGGAAAAGTGCTCTGCCCGGGGCCAAGCTAGGTAAGCCAGGGGCAGGCTGGATTCAGCCTTCCCCAGGGCCCTGGGAGGAGCCTTTGTGCTCTGCCTGAACTGCACAGGGTAGGTGGCCACCCTCCCTGGGCAGAGGCCTCCTGCAACCGACTCTTTGTCATCTCTCTGTTGCGGTTACTGCGTGGATTTTTCTGAGGCCACAGGAAATCTACTGATGCATCTCCCGGATCACCCACAGTCTATGACTGCCCGCTCTTAAATAAACAGTTTATGTACATGATGCTGTGCTGTTTGTGATGTTTCACATTCTTTGGCCTTAATGGGGGGCTTATAGAGCTTCCAACTGAGTAAGACAAGGATATCTTTCAAAGCAGGTATGAATAAGGCAATGAGATGCTCCACCTCTACCAGGGCCTGAGCTGAGCTTACGAGTGTAAAATCCAGAGCTGGCGCTGATTCGGTGTGGGGGTGGGATGGGAGCAGGGTAGGAAAGTGAGAAGCTGAATTCAGTAGAGCATCAGAGGCTAAGATTTATTGGCTGGTACCCAGTGAAAATGGAAAGACTTTTCTGGCCATGATTTTTTTTTCCCATAGACTTGAGCTGGATTTTATTCACAAGAATCCAAAATAAGTATTTTAAGTGTGTGTGTGTGTATGTGTGTGTGTGATTTGTGTGCGAGTGTGTGTGTGTCTTATTAGGTGATTAAGCACGTAAGAGGCTAAGTTCCTGTTCCTTTCCTTTATGTTGGAAATAATTTTAACCTTGTTCTCCTGGCTCAGAATCCTTTTCAAGCTACAAGCAGATTTCTTGTGAGTTGCAGGATGGTTTCTGGATTTGTTGCGTGAGACGTGACCTACCCTCCAATGTCTGAAGTCATCTCTTGCCTGCCTGGAAGGCCTGCTGTATGTTTCGGGCATTACTGTTTATCCTCACGTCATAGTTTTACATGTGAGTCACTCTCATACAAAATGTTCACTTCTATTTTGTTTTGGAGGAAGGTTAGGGTGTTTTAAGCTAGACTGGTTTAGATTCACAAGAAAAGGATGTGACCTATGTTTCTGATGTGTTTGTGAAGTTGATTAAATAAGAGAATGAAACAGAAAGCAGTCCCTTTAGGAAAGTATCACATAGAGTTTCTCGGCCTCAGCACTGTTGGCATTTGAGGCCGGATCATTCTCCGTGGCGGGGGTCGTCCCGTGCGTTGTAGGATGTTGAGCAGCATCCCTGGCCTCCACCTACTAAGACTAGCAGCACATCCTCCCACCGTTTGCCCCCAGTGGTGACAATCAAAGATGTTTCCAGACATTGTCAAATGTCCCCCGGGGGTGGGGGGCAAAATCGCCCCCAGTTGAGAACCTCTGATAGAATGATTCATCTGGGTGGGGAAAATTAATTTTGTTCTTCCAAATATCTGAAGTAGCTTGAACGAATTTTGTTTTTCTGAGACATTCAAAGAATTATGGAATCTTGAGATTGTTTATCCTCTGAAAGAAGATGAAATCTTCTCTTTTAACTCCTTTTTTTTTTTTGGATCTTTTTGGTTTTCTTTGTGATTTATCTCCAGCAATTTTAAGATTTAGGATTACATTGTATATCAACCATTCTTACACTATGTAAATTAAGTTTATTTCCTACTTGACTCAAGATAAAAAATATAATTTCCAATGGTTTTCCAACTGTTTTCTACGTTGGCAAAATTTCAAATCATCTGTAACTGTTGACCTTTATTGAGGCTTCTCTAATAATCACTTTCTCCAACTCACGGAAGAGACACTTCATAGATTTGTGGTGACAAACCTTAGCTTTAAAGCTAGCTGAATGTTTTGTATACTTCTCTTCTTGACCCAATCTATTGATAACTGTCCAGCCTTTGTGGTGTGCCGAATTAATGTACTGCAAATTGCGTCCATAGAAACAGGTGGTATATTCCCCCAAGGCACGTTGTGAATTTATAATCACCCATGTATCCCACAGAGTTATTCTGAAATTGATTCAAGATTACGTTCTGAGATAAATCTGTATTCATTGCTATGAAAAGTTGCCCATAATATACTAGTGAGTAGAAAAGCAAGTCATTGAATACTGTGGTTTTAAAATAAAATGAAGTGAAACCAAATGATGTTAGAGCATGCTTTTATGCACAGCAGAGAAAGTTCTTCTAAATATGTTTACCACGCATTAAAACAGTTGCTTCTGTGGAGTCTGAAAGTGGAGGGCTGGCTTGTGGGCAGGGGAGGAGGTGGAGGCAGACGCAGTTCTGTTTCTATCTTATACACTTCTGTATCTTTTAAGTTTTTTGAATCAGCACATACTAACTACTTTTATAATTTAAATAAGTGAAACCTATTTTCTCTTTCTTTTTTGTTTGCCACTACACAAGTGACAATTTCGTGCTTTTACTTCTGCCCTTTTTTCCTCAGAGGGACCACGCTGTCTTTCAGTTTCAGTTTGAACAGTTGGCTCTATCTCAAGTGATACCAGTCAATAGTTTCACCTTGCCTCACTCAGCCTGCACAGGATATGCAATTGCGTTTCAGGGGTAAACTTGGTATCATTTTCTAAACACGTCCACCGTTTCTTCTATGTGGCAGCGGGGGCATTGGTTGAGCAGGATCAACAAAGGCCTCCCCTCACCTGCTTCCAGCCCTGAGGCTCCAGAGCTGCAGAGCCGCGGCTACCTCTGTGGGTGGAGACGTAGGGGGAACAGGCAGACAGATGCAAGCCTGGGAACATAGGACTCCAGCGAGATAGGCATGTGAGTGCTCACCGGAAGTTAGCACACAAACACTCACTATCACCTAGCTTTGGGTTTAAAAGCAATTACTCTTTGTTTTTTTTTTGTTTTGTTTTGTTTTGTTTTTGAGACAGGTTCTCACTCTGTTGCCCAGGCTGGAGTGCAGTGGTGCGATCTCAACTCACTGCAGCCTTTACCTTCTAGGCTCAAGCAATCCTCCCACTTCAGCCTCCTGAGTAGCTGGGACTATAGGTGTGTGCCACCATGCCCAGCTAATTTTTGTATATATATACATATTTTTTTTTGTAGACACAGGGTTTCTCCATGTTGCTCAGGCTAGTCTTGAACTCCTGGCCTCAAGCCATCCACCTGCATCGGCCTCCTGAACTGCTGGGATTACAGATGTGAGCCACTGCACCCGGCCTCCAGCTACTTTTAATAAGGGGAATCAAACTAAGGACAAAAAAAGTGATGCCATGCAGAGCAGCAGAGCTAATTCCAGGTCACACCCTCATGACACCTCACGGGACATTCAATTACCTTTCCAAGGGCTGCTGCAACAAAGCACCATAAACCAGGTGGTGCAACAAAGCACCATAAACCACCAGAACCCCCTTATGGTTCTGGAAGCCAGAAGTCCAAGATCAACATGTTAGCAGGGCCTTGCTCCTTCTGAAGACTGTAGGGAAGGATCCTTTCTTATCTCTTTTGAGCGTCTGGTGTTGCCAGCCATCCTTGCATTCCTTGGCTTGCAGACTCATCCCTCTAGTCTCTGTCTGCATCATCACATACGTGGCTGTCCTCTTCCCTTTATGTCGGTGTCCCTTCTTCTCTTCTTATAAAGACACCAATCTTCTTGGATGAAGGGCCCACCCTTTCTCATATGACCTCAACTTAAGTAATTTCACTGGCAAGGATTCTATTTCCAATTTCCAAATAAGGTCACATTCTGAGGTCCCAGAAGTTAGGGCTTCAAAATATCGATAACAGATGTCCTCTGCAGGTTTCCTTTTCTCACAGTGGCCATTGCTGCATCTTCCTGATTGGCTCTAGATGTGGAGTTTCGGAGAGATCTTAGTCCTTTGCAAGGTTTCCTACTCAGCCCCATGAGCTGGCATTTCGTGGGCCCCTTCCCCAAGCCCCCTCCAGGCTCCTGAGCCATCTTTCCCCCACATCTTCCTGCTCTCCCCACAAAAATGGTTCCAAAGCTGCTGCTTACCAGCCTTGCACCTTGAGTCTGGCCTTTGGCCTCTCTGAGTTTCCCCAAGAGAAACATGTTGGTCTAGAAGGTCTCCAGGTCCCTTCCAAGGTGAAACTTCATGATTCCTGGATTCATTAACAAAGGCTATCAATCTAGCAACCTGTGATCTCCACCAATTATCTCTGGAAGCAATTTGGCTATGAATTGTTGTAGGGAGGGCATTTCAATGGAATAGAGATTGAAAATTGTTATAATAGAAGTCACAGAATCTTCAAGAGCAGTACTCATCAATGCTCAAATAGCTGCAGTTCTCTATTGCCCCCATTGGAGCTGAGCAGACCCCCATGAGGAGGAGGATGCTCCCACCCTTACCCATGTCCTGTTTAAGTGCCTTGGCACAGTGCTGGCTCAAGACATCCTTCCAATTCTGCACTGCCATTCGTCCCCTCTTATCTCTGATGACCAGGGCTGTCACTGGGCACAGCTTCCCACTGCCCATCAGCATGGTACCCTGGACATTGCAGGTCCTCCTCTCCCTGCACGAGGAAGTGCTGGTTTCACTGAGCCACTGTGGCAAAGCCTAGCCATGAAGTAACTGGCAATGACTGCACCGTTTAGTTCAGGACTAGTGCAGGCTCCGCAGTCAGACATCTGGGCTGAAGTCCCAGCTCCACATTGCCATGTGCAGATGCGGATGCCTCCCTGAAACTTTGTGAGTTTCAATTTCCTCTTCACTGGGAGGTGACTACAGCATCTTCCCCAGAGGTTCTCATGAGGATTGTCTCATGAGACAATCGTTGTAAAACATGGAATGCAATGTGAAAATTAAAGACATCACTAGGAAGGCTCCTAGGTAAACGTGGTGAAGAGGGAACTCGACTATCTTCAATAAAGAGATTATTTTTTAAAGTTGTAAATCCCCAAGGATAGATGGGAAGACCAGGAGAAGAGAGAACAGGGTGCAGATTTTAGAGGCTGGAGTGCAGGTGGATAGTGGAGCTGGGCTTGGCCAATTTAAGAAAGCCAAATCCTACACTAGCTGTGCAGAAATTGCCTGATTTGCACGACAGAACATTGATGTTCAGGACCCAGTGCCTCCAGAAATGGGAGTGGAGGAGGCCTAAGGAAGGAGGACGGGATGAAAGTTGTTTGGGGGCCGGGTGCAGTGGCTCACACCTGTAATCCCAGCACTTTGGGAGGCCGAGACGGGTGGATCATGAGGTCAGGAGATTGAGACCATCCTGGCTAACATGGTGAAACCCCATCTTTACTAAAAAATACAAAAAATTAGCCAGGCATGGTGGCGGGCGCCTGTAGTCCCAGCTACTGGGGAGGCTGAGGCAGGAGAATGGCATGAACCCAGGAGGCAGAGCTTGCAGTGAGCCGAGATTGCGCCAGTGCACTCCAGCCTGGGCGACGGAGTAAGACTCCGCCTCAAAAAAAAAAAAAAAGGTTGTTTGGGAGGCAGTTGGATCCCTGGATGCCCGCTCCTAATTTTCCCTGGCTGAACTTGGGGATTTATTCTTTGGAGAAGCTGTAACTGCAGTTGCTGGCATGGAGGACCACAGGCACAATGGCAGGTGGGACTATACAGAAAACAGGGCGTTGAGGAAGCAGACACACAGCAGAATGCAGAGCCCCTGAGCTCCCTAAGATGGCAACTAGACATTTACCTTCCAGGCTGCAGACTGGAAGGATCTTCTCTGGTCCAGAAAAAAAAAATTACATCAGGAGTCTCCTAATAAATGGTTCAGGCAGAGCATGCTACAGGGGAGCTCTTGGTGGATGGGCCCCTGTGCAAATGCCTAAATCTGCTTTTGGGTTTCCCCAGATTAAAAATGAACAGACAGGCTGGGCATGGTGACTCTCACCAGTAATCCCAGCACTTTGGGAGGCCAAGGTGGGTGGATCACTTGAGGTCAGGAGTTTGAGACCAGCCTGGCCGACATGGCAAAACCCACTCTTTACTAAAAATATAAAAGTTAGCAGGGTGTGGTGGCGCACGCCTGTAGTCCTAGATAACACAGGAGGCTGAGGCACCAGAATCACTTGAACCTGGGAGATGGAGGTTGTGGTGATCAGAAATTATGCCACTGCACTCCATCCTGGGCAACACAGCGAGACTCTTTCTCAAGAAAAGAGAAAAAAATGTTAATTTGCTGAGAATGATGGCTTCAGAAAACCAAACACCGCATATTCTCACTCATAAGTGGGAGTTGAACAATGAGAACACATGGGCACAGGGAGGGGAACATCACACACTGGGGTGTGTTGGGGGGTGGGAGTCTAGGGGAGGGATAGCATTAGGAGAAATACCTAATGTAGATGACGGGTTGATGGGTGCAGAAAACCACCATGGCATGTGTTTAACTACATAACAAACCTGCACATTCTGCACATGTATCCCAGAACTCAAAGTATAATTTTAAAAAATTAAAAAAGAAAAAAACCATTTTGACAACTTAAAAAAAATGGACAGCAAAGCAGCCAAGGACTGGCTGACCACTAAGGACCTGCTGGAGGTAACAAATGTGAAAGGTAAAAGCACATGAAAAAGTTATAAAACAATTTGGGCTAATAAGCCCGTGAAAAGATATTGAGTATTGTTACCATTAGCTACCAGGGAAGCACAAGTCAAATCCGCATTGAGTTTGTGCGCCCGTGTTCACAGCAGCACGATCCACAACAGCCAACAGGTGGAAAACAACCCAGGCGTCTGTCCAGAGATGCATGAATAAGCAACATGTGGTCTCTTCGTACCATGGACCATTATTCAGCCTTAAAAAGGAATGAAGTACTGACACAGGCTACAACATGGATGAACCTTGAAAACACTATACTAAGTGAAGAAGGCCAGACACAAAAGACCAGAAATTGGCTAGGCGCAGTGGCTCATGCCTGTAATCCCAGCACTTTGGGAGGCTGAGGCGGGCGGATCACCTGAGGCCAGGAGTTTGAGACCAGCCTGGCCAACATGGTGAGACCCCATCTCTACTAAAAATACAAAAAATTAGGCGGGCATGGTAATGGATGCCTGTAATCCCAGCTACTCAGGAGGCTGAGGCAGGAGAATTGCTTGAACCCAGGAGGTGGAGGCTGCAGTGAGCTGAGACCACGCCACTGTACTCCAGTCTGGGCAACAAGAGCAACATTCCATCTTAAAAAAAAAAAAAAAGACCAGAAGTTGTATTATGTCATTTATATGAAATTTCCAGAATAGACAAATCTATAGACATGGAAAAATGGATTAGTGCTTCCCAGGGGCTGGGGAGAGGTGGAGATGGGGGATGAATATTAACAGGTATGGAGCTTCTTATTAAGGTGATAAAAATAGGCTGGGATAAATGATAGTGGTGGTTGCACAGCTGTGTGAATATCCTTAAGAAGGCCAAATTTCATCTTATGTGAACTGTATCTCAGTAAAAATAAAAGTCAAAAGAAACCTGGAGGAAACCAAGACTACACCTACTGTTAACACCTTTAGAGAGATGAGATGAGTTTTCTTCTATGCATCAAGAATGAGAGACCATACAGGAGATCGAGACCATCCTAGCTAACACGGTGAAACCCGTCTCTACTAAAAATACAAAAAATTAGCCGGGCGTGGTGGTGGGCGCCTGTAGTCCCAGCTACTCAGGAGGCTGAGGCAGGAGAATGGCGTGAACCCGGGAGGCGGAGCTCGCAGTGAGCGAGATCGCGCCACTGCACTCCAGCCTGGGCGACAGAGCAAGACTCTGTCTCAAAAGAAAAAAAAAAAAAGTGAGAGACCATAAAAAAGCAACATTTGGAAAATAACAAGCACTGGGCAAGCTTGGGGAAAGTCACATGATAGCCAAAATGAAAGACCCAGTACAAGGATTAGAAGGCATGGCTGGAAAATTGTATTAGAAAATAGAGCAAAGTGAAAAGAGAGAAGAAAAGGGAGAGAATGTATGAAATTGGAGGCCCAGACCAGGAAATGCAGCTTCCAGATGAATTCCAGGAGGAGAGAACAGAGAAGCTGGTAAGTCTTTAAAATACAATTCAAGAAACTTTTCCAGAAATGAATAACACCAGCTTGCAGGTCTAAAGGGCCTAGTACAAGAGATAAAAATAGACCTACACGAAGCCTCGTTGCTGTGCAATTTCAGAGCAGTGAGGACAGGAAGAAGATTTTACAAGCTTCCAGGGAGAAGAAAAAAGGCAACACATGAAGACTCAGGACTCAGAATGGCTGTAGCTTTCCCTGCAGCCGCTCTGGGAATGACAAGAGGATGGGGCTTTCTGCAGGAAGGTGGTTTTCGACCTGGGCTTCTACACCTATAGAAACTATCAATCCAGTGCACAGGCAGAATAAAGGCATTTTCGGAAATGTTGAGGTGTCAATTAGAAGTTACAGGTTAGGCCAGGCGTGGTGGCCCACACCTGTAATCCCAGTTCTTTGGGAGACTGAGGTGGGAGAATTGCTTGAGGCCAGGAGTTCAAGACCAGCCTGGGCAACATAGCAAGACCCCATCTCTATTAGAAAAATAAATAAAATTAGCTGTGTGAGGTGGTGCATGCCTGTAGTCCCAGCTACTCGCGAGGCTGAGGTGGGAGGATCACCTGAGCCCAGGAGTTTGAGGCTGCAGTGAGCTGTGTTCATGCCACTGCAATCCTGCCTGAGCGACAGAGCGAGACCTTGTCTCCAAAAAAAAAAGTAACAGGTTAAATATTCATCTTGCAACAAGGATTGATCTTGAAAACTATCCAAAAGGAAAAGAGTCAAATCATGACGAGATAAATAGCATGAGTTACGTAAATTAAAAGCGTTTACGTGAAACACAGTAGGCACTTTGCAGATGGTTGGCAAACATATCCCCCTGGAGTGAAAGAAGGAGAAAGGGAGAGGGAAGATGATGAAAATAGGAGGGAAAGTGAGGAGGAATGAGAGGAGCAGGGAGTGAGCAGGTGGCCTGTGTGCCTTCTACCAAAATCATCACAGAATATGAGGTCAGCTTTGCAGAATCCGAAGAACTTTCATCGAAATAGCAAAAGCCCCATTCTGCCCTCAGAGAACTTACCTTAATGTATTAGTGTGCTAGGGCTTCCATAATAAAGTACCATAGGGTAGGCGGCTTCAACAACATTTATTTTCTCCGTCCTGGAAGCTAGAAGTCTGGGATCCAGGTGTGAGCAGGGTTCGTTCCTTCTGAGCCTCCCTCCTTGGCTTACAGACGGCCGCCTTCTCCCTGTGTCCTTACATGGTCATGTCTGTGTTCTAATCTCCTCTTCCTGTTAGGACACCAGTCAGATCGGATTAGGGCCCACGCTAATGACTTCACTGCATCTTAATTATCTCTTGAAAGACTATCTCTGAATAAAGACATGCTTTGAAGTACTGGGGGTTAAAGCTTCAACAGATGAGCTTGGGGGGAACACAGTTCAGCCCCTTCCAAACAGGTGGATAGACAGCTGTCAGAGATTGGGTTTCCTCATCTCTAACATGTACACGAGAACACCACCTAGCTCTCAGAGGTGTCTGAGAATCAGGTGAGAGCCAGCTGGAAAGGGCACGTGAGAGAGCACTGCCAGCAGCGAAGCACCCAACAGGCCTCAATTCTTATTTCTGCAGGTCGAAGCCCAGATCTCCAACTCAGACCTCCATTTGATGCATTGTTTGATCTTATTAAAGCTGTAAGTTCCCAGAACCATTTCCCACTTTGCAGCAAAAGCCACGTTAGCAGAGTCTTATCGTAACATGCCTGTCCATGATGCCATTTCATGATTTGTTGTTTTGAACGGATTGAGCTGAATCATTCGGATTGGCACTGTTTTCTCTTTCTGGGTCTGACTGGAGAGTCTGGCCAGGGTCTAATCAGTTGAATTCCGGTTAAGAAAGGACCTAGTCTCTTCTCCCTACAACTCTTCTTAAGATGCTTTTATCCCAAGAAAAATGGGCTTTTTATTTAATATAAACAGAAGCACACGTGAAAGTTTGAGCCTTTTTGCAAGTGTGAAACAAAGACTTCTATTTTTATCTTTTGCCAAACTTGACATTTTGTTGTGAGCCCTGGAAGGGGCTCCTTTTTTCAGAAGGGAGAGGCCCTCCCTGCCTGGTCTCCACAGCCTCTCAGGGAATGTGGTGTTTAATGATGAGTTATTAGATAGTCAGAGGCATTTGCGGAGCTGTATGGGAGTGCCAGATCGCCCTCTGATAATAAATTGAGCTAAAGTCTGTTGGCATCGCAGACAGGGCTGTGTTTAAGTGAAAATCTGAAACCTGACCAAGAATATGGAGCTAAAGTTTGAGGCCTCAGCCTCCAATGTCATTTTTCTGAACGACATCCAGCAGATATCGGATAAGCAGAAATGCCATTAGGAAAGCCCCAGGAACTACTCGCTGAGTAGACAGAAGATGCCTAAAGGCAGAAGGGATCTCCAGAGAGTTCAAGAAACTTCCAGGAATGGCTGGTTGGCCACATGAAATTAATGGAGACATCATGAAAAGATTTTCTTTGGTTTAACAAAATTGTGTCAGTCATGCATAGCTGTGTTCAGCTTTGGGGGTGCACAAAGGTGAGATAGACGTCACCACTGTTGTCAGGGGTTTACAGATGTGCGTGTGTGTGTGCATGTGTGTGTGTGGGAAGAGTGTCAGGAGGAAAGGACAGCAGAGGGATTTCTTTTGATCATAATACAAGGTAAGGTGGAAGGTATAATTCAGTTTAATATGGTTTTTCTCCCCACTCCCATCCCCTTTCCTGGTCAGTCTTTATTTTTCTTCAGGGCACAACCCATGTTCTGTTACATTATACATTCATTTGCTTATCATGTTGGTGGTTTCTTGCCCCAGCCAGACTGTACCAGGTACAGATGTTTCTTTATTCCTGGCACTCAGCGCAGTGTCTGGAATGCATTAGGCTCTGCAAGTCTGTGTCGGGTGAACAAATACTAAATACAGGAGAAATCCCCACGAAGGCACGGGACGAAAATTCCAGGAGTCTCACCCCTCAAAAGGCTGGGGGTTTGGTTCCTCCAAACCATGGGGTGGCATGGGCTGACAAAAAAACAAAATCATGTGGATCTTCAGGTCACATTATGAGAAATCAAATATTGTATTATCCAAAGATTGTTTCCAAAATCTTTGTTGGTTAAGTGATACAGGCACACAAAAAATGTTGACTGGGCATTGGGACATGAATGAAAGAGGAAATGCATTTACTGACTAAGAGAATTTGCTTGAAACTCTTGAGGGCTGTTTAATCTCTTTCAGCACAAAATCAATATGCCTATAAAGAGTTTAAAATATAATGGAACATTCTTAAAGTGAGAATTCAGTAAAATGAGCATTTAGTGTTAAGATGTACCAAACTGCATCTGGCAGGAGGAGTAAGATAAATTTCATTCCTCCCCTTTTCTTACTCTACAGGTTTGCACTCTTCAGGTTTTCTTTTTAAAAAACAGTATAGAATTAAACAGTGGAAGATGTTATCTATATTTTTAAAAACCAAAAGATTTAATTGTACATTTAATTAACACCAAAACTCAGGAAAATTGTAAGATATAGAAATATGTCATTTTGAAAACACTTCACTTGAGCACAGGAGTTCGATACCAGCCTGGGCAACATAGTGGGACCCCTGCTTCTACAAAAAATTTACAGAATTAGCCAGGCATGATGGTGCATGCCTGTGGGAAGAGTGTCAGGAGGAAAGGACAGCAGAGGGATTTCTTTTGATCATAATACAAGGTAAGGTGGAAGGTATAATTCAGTTTAATATGTTTTTTCTCCCCACTCCCATCCCCTTTCCTGGTCAGTCTTTACCTTTTACTTTACCCTGTGGTCCCAGCTACTCGGGAGGCTAAGGTGGGAGGATCACTTGAGCCTGGGAGGTTGAGGCTGCAGTGAGCTGTGATCATGCTATTGCACTCTAGTCTAGGTAACAGAGCAAGACCTCGTCTCAAAACATAATAAAAGGAAACACTAAAAATCCTAAACAACAACAACAAAAAAACCAAAACAGGAAACGCAACTAGTTAATAAGAAATAGTCCCAGCAACAATCTTTCCAAGGAAATGGAAATCAGTATATTGTATGTTTTAGTCTGGTGTGGTGGTGCAAGCTTGTAATCCCAGCTACTCGGGAGGCTGAGGCAGGAGAATGGCGTGAACCTGGGAGGTGGAGCTTGCAGTGAGCTGAGATCGCGCCACTGGACTCCAGCCTGGGTGAAAGAGCAAGACTCCATCTCATAAATAAATAAATAAATAAATAAATAAATAAATAAATAAATCTCCCCAAATAATATTTTAAAAAGAAAAATGGTCTGTAGTCCCAGCGTTTTGAGAGGCCAAGCTGAGAGGATTGCTTGAAGCTGGGAGTTCAAGACAAGCCTGGGCAATATAGCAAGACCCCCATCTCTACAAAAAATAATAATTTTACAAATAGCCAGGCATGAAGGCTCATGCCTGTAGGCTGAGGAGGGAAGATCACTTGGAGTTTAAGGTTGCAGTGAGCTTCACTGCGGTCCAGCCTGGGCAACAGAGTGAGATCCCAATTCATAAATAAATAAAATAAAATAAAAGACAGAAATGGATGACACTTGAAGATACCTGGCAAAGAACAATATTCAAATGGTCAATAAATATAGGGAAAGGGGCCCAGACTCTTAAGTAATCAGAAAAGTGCAAATTAAAAACATTGAGATTCCAAATACACTCACCAAGGTGGCTAAGATTAAAGGGAATATCCATGCCAGGGGCTGGTGACAATGGAGAGTGATGGAGACTCTCTCATATCATACATTTGGTTCTAGTCACTAAAGGAAGAGGTTTGGTATTATCTATTAAAGTGAAGATGTGCATTCCTTCTTTCATAGTAATTCCACTCCTAGGTAGATACTCAGCGGAAAAGCATGCCTATTTTTAGCACGAGACTTGTACAGCAATCTTCACAGCAGCAGTGTGTATAGCAGCTTTAGACTGGAAAAAACCCAACTGTCCATCAACAATGAAATGGATTCATGAAAATGTTTTTTAAAATATAATAAACAACTTCACTGCAGTGAAGAAATTGGACCACAGTTACATGAACATGAATGAACCTCATAAACAGAATGACGTGCAAAACAAGCCAGATACTAGAGAAAACATATCACAGAATCCCATTTATATACTTTAAAAAACAGACAGGGGCTGGGCGCGGTGGCTCACGCCTGTAATCCCTACACTTTGGGAGGCCGAGGCGGGTGGATCACGAGGTCAGGAGATCGAGACCATCCTGGCTAACACAGTGAAACCCCGTCTCTACTAAAAAATACAAAAAAAAAATTAGCCGGGAGTGGTGGCAGGCGCCTGTAGTCCCAGCTACTGGGCAGGCTGAGGCAGGAAAATGGCGTGAACCCGGGAGGCGGAGCTTGCAGTGAGCCGAGATCGCGCCACTGCACTCCAGCCTGGGCGACAGAGCGAGACTCCGTCTCAAAAAAACAAAACAAAACAAAACAAAACAAAAACAGACAGAAGTAAACTATAGTATTGAGGGGTCATGCTTAGGTGGGTATAGCTGAAGAAGAGCAAGGAAATCTACGTGCTATTCATTGAGCTAGACATTTCTGATTTGCACAGTTTTCTGTTTGGGAAGTATATTTCACAATAGAAGTGGCTAAAAATAACATAACCTCTATAACTTTTAAAAATACGAAGTTATTTGGGTCATTATTGGTGATTTAGATATAATCAGTGAGCAGGAGTAGATGAACTATCCCAGGTGCTTTGGTGAGGCTGGATTCCACCTGTGGGAGCTAGTTGTTATGTAACCATAGTGATAAGGAACACATTTCATTGGTTAAAATGGAGGGAAATTAACCAATCATCATAATCCTCATGTTTGCTACAGCACTTTTTTTTTTTTTTTTGCAATGACTAGAAGAGGAAGGCCAGGGATGAAATGTTTCTAATGTGTTTTAAAATTTAATGTGGCCTAAAGAAAAAGCGGTGTTACTGCAACACAACAGGAAATAGCTGAGGGAGCCTGTTAGCAAATTTTGAGCAACGGGTCGTTGCTGCCAAGGCTAAGAGGTGAAAAATGTGCCTTCTATGAGTCATTGACTCCACACAGTATGAAGCTAATAAACTACCACTGTGGCCAATGGGGAGTCTACATTCCGGGCAAATTTGTATAGGGTTTTTTCGCACGTGGGATGGTCAACAGACCCCAGGGAGAGTAAGTGTTTCTATTCTAATGATGGTGATGATAGACTATGGTGATCAAATTGACTAAAGCTGCAGGCAGCAGTCCTCTGCTTTGCTGGGATTACGGACCCAAGACCTATGTTTTATTATAGTAGCAAAAATAATCTATATGTGTATGGTTCTTTGTAGTTTACAAAATGTATTTGCATATATACATATCATTCTATTTTCAGCTATGTCGAGTAGGTAAATCAGCTATTATTACTCCCATCTGCCACACAATTAAACCAAGACTCAGGAAAATTAAGTGGTGTTGTTCAGAGTTACCTAGCAGGTACAGGTTAAGCATCCCAAATCCAAAAATCCAAAATGTTTCAAAATCTGAAATTTTCTGAGTACTGACAAGATGCTTTAATGATAGGTTCATTGGAACATTTAGATTTCAGATGTTTGGATTTGGGATGCTCAATTGGTAAGTATAATTCAAATATTCCAAAATCCAAAATAATCTGAAATCCAAAACACTTCTGGCCCCAAGCATTTCAAATAAAAGATGCTCAGCCTGTAATAGAATCAAGTCAGTCTACGGCACTTCAATTTAGTACTTGTTCCCCCTGATATAGGTGGTTCTCAATCTCTGATCCTTGGAGTTACTCCCAGGGGTTCAGAAACCTATAACAGAGATTAAATAACGCATACACTTACATGCCACCATTTTTATATGTATGCATTAATTTCATGCAATAAGACAAAATATTTTTAATGTTAATGAATTCACAGTGCCTTTTGTCACTCCATTTCTTAATAAGTATCACCACAAATATTTATTGAGCACCTACCATGTGCCAGGTGCTTTTCTAAAAGCTTGGAAACAGAAGTAAGGCAGAAAAGTCCCTGTCCCCTTGGAATTTATTTTCTTGTAAAGAATATAGTTGAGTGAATATTAAGTGAAAAAAAATTAAAGCAGCTTAAGGGAAGAGGGTGCCTACAGTGGAGTTGGGGGTGGAGACATCCCCTCCTCAAGAAAGTTGAGAATGACCCTGCACTCCACAGAGCTTCTCAAGGCACAAGTGGTGCAGGAAGAACATTTTATAAAAGTGAACATTCATTCATGATATTTTCGACCTCCACAAGTCCTAGATGGCGGGAGGGAGGCATCTATGGGGAAATTACTTTGTTAATGAAAGGCAATAAAGAAAGTCATCACCAATGACTTTTTTTTAAGAGACAGCATCTCGCTCTGTCACCCAGGATGGAGTGCAATCCTATGATCATAGCTCACTGCAGCCTTGAACTCCTGGAATCAAGGGATCCTCCCGCCTCAGCCTCCTGAGTAGGCAGGACCACAGGTATGTGCCACCACCCCTGGCTAACTTTTAAATATTTTTGTAGAGATAGGGTCTTACTTTGTTGCCCCCTAGGCTGGTCTCCGATTCTTGGCCTCAAGTGATCCTCCTGCCTCTGAAAGTGATTGGATTATAGCGTGAGCCACTGCACTGGGCAGAGCTTCTTTCTCTTGAATGAACCAGGACCATATTCATAGTTTGAAAAGATTGTGATATGCATTTAATAAAAAAGGGGCAGTTTATGGAATAATATTATCAAAATGCTTTTAGAGTATAGAAGGATCTCAAAAACATGGTCTTGGACGTCGTTTAATGATTACTGATTTTGGAGATGACATGTTCTGAAAAGTTCTAAATGTAAGACTTTATAAAAAACCTACTTAACAAAATGTCAACACTTGAAATCTTTGATTCCCTTGCCCAAGGAACTCTGACGGTTTCCCATGATAATGATTATACGGGTGACACCCAACTTGGCAATTTGCTCATAGCAGCCTAGAAGAGGAACTGCCTGCCAGTGAAATATTATCAAAGAAATGGATACATGTTAATTTTGTTTAAGAACGATTGAGTAGGGATCATCTTGGCTTTCAGCTAGAGATTTCTCCCAGCCAGAATTTTCTCCAATTACATAATAAATAATGGAGGCCTCATACTTTAGATTATTTCCACATTCATTTTACAAGCTATAGCTTGTCTTCTAAACGTAAAGCACATTCAGTTATAAACTGAAGCCCAGGGAACAGAATGTTCCCTGGACTTGGAAACACTATGTACTTTGCCTTCTTCTTCTTTTTTAATATTTTAGAGCTTGTTTAAACAAATTTAGCCCTGTCTTTAATTAATCCTAAAGACAAGAAAATGATAAACTATGCATTGCATTAAAGAGATAGAGAGAGAGAGAGAGAGAAACTTCACATTTTTAGCAAAATCAACTTGGCTTTTTCTTTTGAAGTTTTCCGAAATTGTCCATTGTGTGCCAGAGAGGCACAGGCACAGATTGGTCATGCAGTCCCTATTTCCAGAAAAGGCAACGTGAGCTGTCTGCCTGGTTGTGGGCCACCTGGCCTGTCCTCTGCACTGTCCATTCATTTCCTCTGCTCTCCCTCACTGCCCTCACTGCAGCCCCTCTGCCAATGACACCTGGCCATCTGCTTTTTCGAAAACAAAGGAAATGCATTTCTCCCACAGATACAAACAGCAGAATTGCCTTGGGAATTAGTGGCCCACTGTAGGTTGAGTATTGGGTGTGGTTTTCCATTTTGCCTCCCCATGGGGGCCTCCGAGAAAGCGTACCCACCCCTGGCGGGCGGTGGGTTCTAGTCCAGGGCTGATTTCTAGTCAGCTGTGTCCTGGGGAATCAGGTGGGACGCTGGGATGACAGCAGGAATGCAGAGGAGACCATCCTGGGAGGAAAGGGTGTCGCCACGTGTAGAGCGCTTCTCCCTGCAGGCCCTTGTGTGCACAGGGTCTGTCTGCTTCTCTCATGGGACCGTCACAAGGACATGGATTTGTGTGCCATCCCCACTTTAGATAGGAGGCCACCAAGGCTCCTGGGGGGAAAAGTGGCTTCATGAGTGGTAAGGGAGGAACAGGATCCTGCGGAGACTATACCTGAGAGATATCTGGAACCTGCACTCCTAGCCACTAATACCCCAGGTCGCTTATGTGTGTGATGTAAGTGGTGCTGGATGGAGACCTCTCTCCTCTCCCATCCCACCGGCCATGAGAAAGGCCCATCCCAGTGCCCAGCCGCAGAAGGTGTGGAATATGCAAGTTTCTGCTCTCCCTGCCTTCCCCTAAACATCACTCCTTTTGCTCACTGGGGTCTGAAGTGGCCCCACACAAGGACAGCTTTTCCCTTCAGAAAGGAGAGGAGGCAAAAATGCAAACAACTTGGCAACCAGGTTGTTCATATCCAACGTCGTGGCTTTCATCCCAAGAATCGTTCTCAAAGATGAGAACTGGATGGAGAGGCGCTATTCCGCTAAGGTGGAGGAACAGGGCTCGGAACAGAGAGAAACCACACAGCCCAAGGGCAGTGTCATCTCCTGCCACGCACAGCCTTCCTCCATCCAATCCATGCAGACTGACGCCTACCCTGAGCTCAGCCAGACCCCGGGAGGGAAGCTGCCCTTCAAAGTGCTCATGTCCAGGTGGGAACTGGAGCAACACAGCCCTCTCTGCAGAGCTTATGTGGGCTGAGGGGAGATTCTCGGGTGGATGCCTCCCTGTTTACATGAGGCAAAATATTAACCCTGGCTGTCAGGAGCAATGGGAGGGAGAAGAGAGAAGCCGGTGGCTTTGACTTGCGACTGTGGCAGGTGAAAATTCACCCCATCTAGCTTGCCAGGCCATGGGTGTGGACCAGGTCAGGTCTCCATCAGGGCCTCATAGATACTCCGTGCAGTTTTCTTGGACTTTTCGCCTCCAGAGCTGTGAGGAAATCGGTGTCTGTGGTTGAAGGCCCCCGTCCGTGGTGTTTGTTTTGGCCGCCCCAGGGAACTCACACATTGTTCCTCATTTAGCTGCGGCCACACTGGCTTCTCTGCTGTTCCTCAGATATCCTGGCTCACGTCTGTCTCAAGGCCCTGGCCCTGGCTGTTCCCTCTGCCTGGAGTGCTCTCCCCAGCCCGCTCCTTGCTAACGGCCTTGCTTGCTTCAGCTCTTGAGTCTGTTCCCACGCTGCTGTAAGGAACTACCTGAGACTGGGTAATTTGTGGAGAAAAGGGATTTCATTGACTCGCAGTTCTGCAGGCTGTACGGGAAGCATGACTGGGAGGCGTCAGGAAACTTACAACCATGGCGGAAGGAGAAGGGGAAGCAAGGGCCTTCTTCACACGGTGGCAGGAGAGAGAGGGAGCAACGAGAGAAGCGCCACACGCACTCTTTTTTTTTTTTTTGACAGAGTCTCGCTCTGTTGCGAGGCTGGAGCGCAGTGGCGCGATCTCAGCTCACTGCAATCTCCGCCTCCCCGGTTCAAGCGAGTCTCCTGCTTCAGCCTCCCGAGTAGCTGGGATTACAGGTGCACGCCAACACACCCAGCTATATTTGTATTTTTAGTAGAGACGGGGTTTCACCATGTTGGCCAGGATGGTCTCCATCTCCTGACATCGTGATCCACCTGCCTCGGCCTCCCAAAGTGCTGGGATTATAGGTGTGAGCCACCACGCCCGGCCGGGAAGCGCAACACACTCTTAAAGCATCAGATCTCATGAGAACTCACTCACTATCACAAGAACAGCCGGGGGAAATCTGCCCCCATGATCCAATCTCCTCCCACCAGGCCCCTCTTCCAGTTCCACATGAGATTTGGGCAGGGACACAAATCCAAGCTGTCACTCATATACCCCGCGTCAGTGATGCCTTCCCGTGTCCCAATCCGTTTCTCCAGCTCACTTCTTTCCTCAGCTCTCATCACCCTGAGCACGTTACATCTCCATCTCCTGCTTCTCCCTCACAAGATGTGAGCTCCATAAGAGCAGGACCTTTGTTTGCAGCTGTATCCCAGGGTCCAGAACAGGGCCCAGCACATAGTTGCTGCTGCATAGTTTTGTTTGTTTGTTTGTTTGTTTGTTTTTGTGACAGGATCTTGCTTGGTCATCCAGGCTGGAGTGCAGTGGTACAATCTCAGCTCACTGCAGCCTCAAATTCTTGGACTCAATTGATCCTCCCACCTCAGCATCCCAGGTAGCTGGGACCACAGGCACACACTACCACGCCTGGCTAATTAAAAAAAAACTTTTTTTAAATAGAGATGAGATCTCACTATATTGTCCAGGCTGGTCTCCGACTCCTGGCCTGAAGAGATCCTCCTGCCTTGGCCTCCCAAAGTACGGGATGACACGCATGAGTCACTGCCTGGAGCTATTTTTTTGTTTTGTTTTTTGTTTTGAGTGAATGAATGTACAGGTCATACTCCATGTGCCATGTGTGAACTCAATCCAGAGGAAAGAAAAGAACTTTCATGTGAGGAACGTGAGCCCTTTCAAATTATCAGGCCCAGAGAGGCATTAAAATGAGATAGCAACCATTCTCCACTTTCCCACTTTGAGCTGTGTGTTCATCTCTTTAAACTATTGCTATTGCCACAGATAGCTGTAGATTAACCTAATAATGCCACAGGGGATGCTGTAACCCACAACCTATAGCTTAACCATGTATAACCAATTGCTCTTCAATGTTGTTCGTGTACACCAATGAGAATTCCTGGCAAACAACTTTGTAGCAGCCAACTCCCTGCCTCTTGTTTTTAAAAATCCACGTCTACCTGCGCTCTTTGGATTGTAGATTCAGGACAACTTGAATCTATGCTCTCGGGTTGCAATCCTCAAGCTTGGCCAAATAAATTATCTGCTTGGATTAATTTTGCCCCACCTTCTTCCTTTCAGGTAGGCAATCTTCACAAACAGCCCCTTGAAGCAGGCATGTCTGAGATCAGCAAGGTTAAGTAAGCCCCCAAGGTCATCTTTTTACTCGGCAGGAGAATGACAGTTTGAATCCAGGCAGCCTTAGCTCTGATGTCTTTCTGCCTTGGACAAGGTGCCCGAGCCTGTCCCTGCTGTCTGGAGAGGTGCAGCTGGGGTGGTCCCCGGCAGGAGCTGGACATGCAGATCCGGTTGTAATTGGTCTGGGACCATCTACATAGGAGCTATGGGCCCAGGGAAAGACAAGACCATGTTGAGGACTTGGTTTCCCCTTTTTCTTAAAGCTGAGACCCCTGCCTATGTCAAGTCACACATTTGAAAAGGCAACCACATTTCACATCACATGCATATGTATTTGGGCATAAAATAATTTGAAATGATTTTATCAATTTATTTAAAAACATAAGTAGGCTGGACGTGGTGCCTCACGCCTATAATCTCAACACTTTGGGAGGCCGAGACGGGTGGATCACCTGAGGTCAGGAGTTCAAGGCCAGCCTGACCAATATGGTGAAACCTTGTCTCTACTAAAAATACAAAAAATTAGCCAGGCGTGGTGGCGTGTGCCTGTAATCCCAGCAACTCAGGAGGCTGAGACAGGAGAATCCCTTGAACCTAGGAGGCGGAGGTTGCAGTGAGCCGAGATCACGCCACTGCACTCCAGCCTGGGTGACAAGAGCGAAACTCCATCTCACACAAAAAACAAAAAAGCAAACAAAAAAACAAACGTAAGTTATCCTGTGTTTGGCTGTGATGTCTAGCCAATTAACCTGTACACTAGGGAATGCTTTCAAAGTCATGTTATTTTTATAATAGAATGGAAATTTTTAAAAACCAAATTTAGTTATTTTTAAATGCCATAAATATTATATTGTGTACACACTTACTTAAATGGATTGGTTTTGTTTTTGCAGTTTTCATATTCTGGAGAGTATCTGTATTTTTCCTTTCCCCAATTTTAAATATTTTTTGGAAGTCTCATGACTAGCTTGTGCCCCTGGGCCCAATAGCAAAAATGACTGCAGGCAAGGACCACAGAAGGGCACCCAGGTGGGCCGGTCCAGCCCGCAGGTTCAGAAGCCAGGCCACCTGGGTCTGAAGCCTGCCTTGACACTTTCTGGTGGCCTGAACAAGTGACCTGCTTTCTCTGTGCCTCAGTTTCTTCTGCCAAATGGGAGTGATACTAGTATCACCCTGCTTGTCAGAGTTTGTGAGGGTGAGGCTAAAATGACTTACAAGCAAGCATGCACTCGACACGTTAGCTCTTATTGTCATGGAATAGAAGGGTGTTAAGAACAGCATGGAGCCGGGCACGTGGCTCACGCCTGTAATCCCAGCACTTTGGGAGGCTGAAGGGGGCGGATCATCTGAGGTCAAGAATTTGAGACCATCCTGGCCAACATGGTGAAACCTCATCTCTACTAAAAATGCAAAAATTAGCCAGGCGTGGTGGCATGTGGCTGTACTCCAGTTACTCAGGAGGCTGAGGTGGGAGGATTGCTTGAACCTGGGAGGCAGAGGTTGCAGCAAGTCAAGATCGCGCCACTGCACTCCAGCCTGGGCAACAGAGTAAGACTCCATCTCAAAAAAAAAAAAAAAAAAAAAAAAAAAAAAGGAATAGCCTGGGTTTGTTTCAGGAGCTTCAGGAGGAAGTGGAGGCAGGAACGAGACTGAGAGGCAGGAAGGCTGTGTAGCTAAGCCATTACTAGGGAGTGTAAGGAAGGGGAGCACAGGAGAAGAATCACTTCTGGAGATGGAAGCCAGCCCAGAATGCATGGAGAAGCAGAACCCACCAGGGTCTGAGGAGCAGGGGAGGGGCACACTTTCATCTAGCATTGTGATCAGCCTTGTAGGAAATGAACACACTCCACATGTATAGACACTTAACAAATATAGCATTTACACCTTACAGCAGGGCCATAAAACTGATGGTGCAAGCTGAAACTGGGCAAAACAGTTTTAATAATTAACGGGAAATTTGTGAGTGTTCTGTGACCTTTAAACCATTTTGTCCAAACATTCAAGGTTGTCTTAGCGTCAGTTATAAATGTACAGTACAGGGAAATAAAAAGAAATGGAGTAACTAACATTCGTTTCATACACTGTGATTGAAACGTTCCAAACATTAAAGTGTTTTATTTATCTGTAAAGAATTTATCAAGAGTAGTTCAAAAAATGCCTGGCTGCTTCTTCTCATCCTATGATGTTGATATGGTTTGCATCTGTGTCCCCACCCAAATCTCATGTTGAATTGTAATCCCCAGTGCTGAAGGTGGGACCTGGTGGGAGGCGAATGGGTCGTGGGGGTGGAGTTCTCATGAATGGCTTAGCACTATCCCTCTTTGGCACTGTATAGTGAGTGAGTTCTCACGAGATTTGGTTGTTCAAAAGTGTTTACCAGCACCTCTCTCCTCCACATGTCCCTGCCACATACGATGTGCTTGCTTCCCTTTTGCCTTCTGCCGTGATTGAAAGTTTCCTGAGGCCTCCTCCGGAGTGGAGCAGATGCTGCCATGCTTCCTGTGCAGCCTGTGGAACGGTGAGCCAATGAAACCTCTTTTCTTTATAAATTACCCAGTCTCCGGTATTTCTTTATAGCAATGTGAGAATGAACTGAGGGAGATGTACACTACTAAAGCATCTTTCTAGGCATTGGTGACTTGTCCTACGTTTCTAAGTCTGGTTCAGCTTCCATCTGAAATTTCCGCACATGGGACCAAAGCAAAGACTGCATACCTTTATTATCTAACAGTGAACAGTGATGACAGGAGTACATGACACTGCTTTTTGAAATGTGGTCGTGAACTGGGGTACTAGTGCTGCTTCCTTGCTCTGGAGACCACCTTTCCCACCTACCAAAGAAATGATCTAAGCTCTTATCATGTGGTTCAGGAATGAGGGGTTTCTATGCAGGCCTAGCCATGTACTGGACGTATGACACTGGTGTGTGTATTAGTCCAGTCTCACACTGGTATAAAGGATTGTCTGAGACTGGGTAATTTAGAAAGAAAAGAGGTCTGATTGACTCACAGTTCCACAAAGCTGGGAAGGCCTCAGGAAACTTATAATCATGGTGGAAGGCAAAGGGGAAGCAGGCATGTTTTACATGGCGGCAGGAGAGAGAGAGAGAGCGAAGGAGAAAATACCACTTTTAAAAAACCATCAGATCTCATGAGAACTCACTCACTATCACAAGAACAGCATGGAGGAAACCGTCCCCATGATCCAATCACCTCCCACCAGGCCCCTCCCTTGACACAAGAGGATTACAATTCAAGATGAGATTTGGGTGGGGACACAGAGCCATACCATATCAGCACATTACCAAAAGGTTTTGTGCCTCAATTTCCTCTTTTGTAACATGTGTGTGGAATTAAATATACCTGCTCACAAGATCACCATTAGGGTTAAATGAGGTAACGTAGATAAAACATTTACGACAGTGCCTGGCATATAGTAGGAGCTTGGGATGTGGAAACTATTATTTTTATTATTTATTTATTTATTATTTTGAAACAGGGTCTCATTCTGTCTCCCAGGCTGGAGTGCAATGGCACAATCATGGCTCACTGCAGCTTCAACCTCCTGGGCTCAAGCAATCCTCCCACCTCAGCCTCCAGAGCAACTGGGACTACAGGTACATGCCACCATACTCAGCTAATTTTTAAATTTTTTTGTGGAGACAAAGTCTCACTATATTGCCCAGGCTGATCTCGAACTCCTGGGCTCAAGTGATCCTCCTGCCTCAGCTTCCCAACTACTGGGATTACAGGTATGAGCCACTGTGCCCAGCTTATTTTTACTATTTAAAATAGTGACTATGGGCATTTCCTAAGTACCAGGGCACTGCTGAGCAAACAATAGGTATGGCCTTATCCAATCCCCATAACATTCCTCAAAGGTGGTTCTAGAATCTCCATTTTACAGATGTGGAGGCTAAAATTTAGAGACAGATTTAACATGCTTATGGCCATGTTAGATCCAAGTTCATCTGACTCCAAAGGTGAAGCTTTTAATCACTGTTATATTTCTCCAACCGTCAAACTCTGAGAACATCTGGCTATAACTGTTCCTATATATATATATCGTTAAACATACATGTTCATTAAGGATTTTTTGGTTGTTTGTTTGTTTTTGTTTGTTTATGAGACAGAGTCTTGCTCTGTCACCCAGGCGGAATGCAATGGCACGATCTCAGCTCACTGCAAACTCTGCCTCCCGGATTCAAGCGATTCTCCTGCCTCAGCCTCCTGAGTAGCTGGGACTATGGGTATGCACCACCACGCCGGACGAATTTTGTAGTTTTAGTAGAGACGGAGTTTCACCATGTTGGCAAGGCTGGTCTTGAACTCCCTACCTTAGGTAATCAATCCACCTGCCTCGGCCTCCCAAAGTGCTGGGATTACAGGCATGAGCCACTGTGCCCTGCCCATTAAGTCTACATTATACCTAAATGATCTATTGTATAATGTGTCAGGTCATATCTATACCCATTTTTATATTGTAATTACGTAAGACCACAAGAACTTTTCTGTCCATATCCTGAAAAGTAGATCTCTACCCCGTGTTTATTCTTCAAGGTTTATATAAATTTAGGTGATAGAATGGGTGCTCTTATCATGAAATCATGAGCTTACCACCCTAAAATGACAGAAATAACTTAGTTCTGTAGTAATTTCTGGGCAGCTTCAGATTAGATTTCCTTCAATCTATTTTGAGGTGTAAATATTTCTCCTGGGGAATCATTGAGTTGGGCTTTCTAATTTGATTTGGCAGAAAAGGAAGTGGAGTCTTTCTGCCTCACAGGGAGCAAAGCATTTCAGTGCATTTGGGAGATATTTAGATATCTGTGTAGGTGTTTTTAATAAGTTAGTTCACCTAATTGTATTTCCTCTCCACTAAAGAAGAAAAGTCCTACCTTAATGGGTTTAATCTTCCTAAATTATTTTCTGGTTTTAATTGTGCTGTTTCCCACAAGCACCTAATTTAATTATAAGATTGTAACGCTTTTCTGTGAAAGGCTTGCTTGCACGTTGGGAATGCTGGGATTCAGTGTTTTGGGGAGGGGGGAGGAGTGCTTGTTCACTCTGTCAAGAGTGAGCAGGGGCCGGATGCAGTGGCTCACACCTGTAATCCCAGCACTTTGGGAGGCCGAGGCAGGTGGATCATGAGGTCAGGAGATCGAGACCATCCTGGCTAACACGGTAAAACCCCGTCTCTACTAAAAATACAAAAAAAAATTAGCCGGGCATGGTGGTGGGCACCTGTAGTCCCAGCTACCCGGGAGGTTGAGGCAGGAGAATGGCGTGAACCCGGGACGCAGAGCTTGCAGTGAGCCGAGATCACGCCACTGCACTCCAGCCTGGACGACAGAGCGAGACTCCGTCTCAAAAAAAAAAAAAAAAAAAAAAAAAAGTGAGTAGGAAAAATGCCCGAACACTTAGCTGCCTCAGTTGTTCAGGTCTTTGCGAAGTTTGCAATGTGAGAGGGCCAGACCCAGACAGGTGCTGTGAAGGACCACAGCCCTGTCCCGGGATGCGTCCGGTCGTAAGCTGCAGACGCACACTCCGAGGGCTGGGATCGTCCTCTGTTGCCAGGAAGCAGCTTCACTTCAAAAGCCATTTACTTTTGCACAAATAATAATAAATCAACTGACCTATAACCCTGCAATGAATTCAGGAAATGTGTGTTCCCACTAAACAATTAGTGTCCTGGAGTGACATATCGAGCAGTTACTTTTGCAACAGCTTTTAAAGACATTATACTATACGCAGAATAAGAAAGAAGGAAAAGGAATTACGTTTTTTTTTACCGTAGTGGGGAAAAGACGGATCTTTTTGCAGTGGGAGGGTTTTAGCTTATAGGAAATTCACTCTCAAGAGCAGCTTCCAGCCTTTGAGATGCCCAGGTATGCAGGAAGCTCAAGCCAGCTTGGCTCAGTGGCTCCAGCGTGCCTCTGGTCAGTTCCTCATGCAAAAGGAGCCGCTTTGGATTGGCCCAAGAATGGGGCTGCGGGCATGCAGAGCACACCGGGCTTCTGAGAGAAGGGAGGAAGGTATCTGGTAGATCCCTCCCATGGCATGTCCAGTGTGTGCATGAAAAGCGTGATTTGGGGCTGGGCGTGGTGGCTCATGCCTGTCATCTCAGCACTTTGGGAGGACGAGGAGGATGGATCACGATGTCAGGAGTTCAAGACCAGCCCAGCCAGTATGGTGAAACCCCGTCTCTACCGAAAACACAAAAATTAGCCAGGTGTGGTAGCACGCACCTGTGATCCCAGCTACTCAGGAGGCTGAGGCAGGAGAATCACTTGAACCCAGGAGGCAGAGGTTGCGGTGAGCCGACATCGCGCCACTGCACTCCAGCCTGGGAGACACAGTGAGACTCCGTCTCAAGAAAAAAAAAAAAAGCATGATTTCAGAACAAAAAGCAAAGAAGGAAGACCAGGAGAAAGAAAAATGCCAACATTTTAACTGGTGGGATTCCCAATAGTTGTTTTCTTCTCTGAATTTTCTAATCTGAAAATAATTTTTAATAATTATGGCCATGCATCATTGTGTAGGTGAGTGTGTGTGGAAGAGACAGAGAATGAGAGAATGAGAGAGAGAGACAGAGACAGACAGAGAGAGAGACAGAGACAGACAGAGAGAGAGACAGAGACAGAGAGAGACAGAGAGACAGAGAGAGAGACAGAGACAGAGAGAGACAGAGAGAGAGACAGAGAGAGACAGAGAGAGAGAGAGAGAGAAAGAGAGAGAGAGAATGAGAGAGAGAGAGAATGAGAGAGAGAATGAGAGAGAGAGAGAATGAGAGAGAGAGAATGAGAAAGAGAGACAGAGAGAGAGAATGAGAGAGACAGAGAGAGAGTGAGAGAGAGAGACAGAGAGAGAGAGAATGAGAGAGATAGAGAGAGAATGAGAGAGAGAGAGAGAGACAGAGAGAGAGAATGAGAGAGAGAGAGACAGAGAAACAAAGCAAGATGGCTATCTTGACTGATGATGACGATGACATTTTTAGTTTAAATAAATTTTAGAGGACACAAGTTCCCTACAAGAAAAAAGTACCAAATATAATAATGAATTCTAGGTTCTTCCATATTAGGTAAAGAACCTGTACACATCATAGTTTTGTTGTCATTTTTTCCTGAAGCAGCATTCCTTAGAAGCATTCCTAAGGGGTCTGTTCTTTAGCAAGAGTCCAAAGATGTGTTCCATGAAAAAAATATGAGAAGTTTGGAAAATAATCACCTGCTGGTGACTCCTTCATTTATTTATTAATAAGTATTTGTTAATAATTGAGATCTCACTATGCTTGAGACACCATTCAAGACATGCAATATTTAAGATACAATCTCTGCCTTCCTAGTACTTATATAGTACTCTAGATAGAGACGAGAAAGCAGACCAGCAGAGTCCAGGGACATGGGACCAACATAGCTGCCATGATGATCCAGAGACTCCTGCCCTGCAGTTGCCGATTAAGGTCTGAGAAGTCCTATAGTCAAGAGACCTACTTAATTTCTATAAACTCCATATTGCCAAACCTTTATGTAATAAGTTTTGATACCTCTCAAAACTTCTGCAGTCTACACTTGTGGAAACACTATCGTTTCATAAACCCAGCAATTCAATGTAAATTTATCATTGGCTTCCCTAAAGTAATTGCTTGGGAGCTCTTGTGCTTGGAGAGTTTGGAAACACATTAGTCTTTTGCAGAAACGAGTTAGGGCAGCTGGGGAAGATGACCCTGTTTTCCCTCCCTTCTCTACTTCTTCCTCAAATGACTGGTATCTCGAATTTGCATAACGGAGGCCAAAAGGTTTTGTGCTACAATAAAAGATAAGACTTGAAGAACAAGTCCCAGATATGACCAGGAGCATGCTTGAGAGTCAGCGACATGCAAGCGAATGATATGAGAAGTAGCTTGAGGGTGGATCTTTGTCCAGGGAGGAGAAGGGTTGAGGGGCTCTTGGAACCTAGATATTTGCAGTGGAAGCAGCACTGGGCTCCTTGGCAGATGACTGCTCTTTGTACTCAGGATAAAACCCACATTTGCTGCCCAGCATCTGAGGCCCTGCCTACCTTGGGGATGTTGTAATGTTTTTCTTCCCCCTTAGTTCCAGCCACACTAAGGTTTTGAGCCTGAGATCACCAGGCTCCCTGAGTCCTTGGCCTGTACCCTCACCTGCAATGTTGGTTTCCTCAACCCCTCAGATCTCTTACTTAATGCCCCTTCCCTTTAAGGTGCCCCTTCACTTAATTTAAGGGCACCTCCCTTCCTGCTATCTTTTTATTTGTGTGCTCTCTTGTTTCCTGTTTCCTGATTGAGAGTCACCTCCTGGATGGCAGTTCAGCTCTACTGTGTCCCCATTGGAGACGCAGGCCCCACTGCCAACCACACAAGAAATAGGCTCTGAAATATTTGTTGGATCCATGAATGGTTGATTGGCTTTCATTGGGCTGCTGGGAGGATTAAATTATGAATGTATAAAGGTGATTACATCTCATTCCTATATACCCATTACATTGATGGATAAGTATTAGGTTCTCTCTCCTCTTGCCAGGGACTTTAAGAAGCTGCTGAAGAACCCAAGAGGAAGGTGGGAGCTGTTGATGGTGAGCGACTCATACCACCATCCTTCAGGGAGGGTGTGGTTGGCCATAGCATGGTTAAGGAGAGCCAAGAGCAGAGATGCTTCTGAGTACAACCCAGCAGGGTGGAAAGAAGGAGGGGTCTACCCCAGTGCACATTTGTTGGAGGAAGGCAGCTTTCGTGGGCTCCCGACATTCCATTATTCTAGAACTACAAGTTAAGAACGAGAGGAGACTTGGGGAGACTCTGGTCCAATTCGTCTTTCTTTTTTCCAGGTGTGGAATTAGAGGCCTGATGGAGTGGAGAGCTTTCCTCCTCATCACCTGGGTCAGGACCATGGAGCTCCTTGAGCCTTGAGATTCCAGGCCCAGGAGCACATCATCATTGTGCTTCTTGGGGCCCAGGCGCATCTCCTAAGAACTTGTTCTTAGACATGTTGTGCTCAAACTTGTGGCATCATGTGAGTTTTAATGTTAAATCTGGAGCAAGGAAGGAGAGAAGGAAGGAAAATGGGAAAGAAGAAAAGAAAGAAAGAAGGAAAGAAAGAGAGAGATTGAGAGGAAACCAGATATATAAAGACTTTATATATATAAATATATAAATATATATGTATAAATAAATATATAAATGTATATAAAAATATATGTATAAATAAATATATAAATGTATATACAAATAAATATATAAATATATATATATAAATATATAAATATAGATAAATATATTTATATATTATATATAAAATACATTATATATAAAATACATTTTATATATAAATATAATTATATAAAAATATAATTATATAAAAATGTATATATTTATATATAAATATATATAAATATAAATATATAAAAATATATATAAATATATATATAAATATATAAATAAAGACTTCTTGGCATCTCACCACAACCATTTTTTATCTACAGAGCAGTAATAGTTTACAATATACCTACAGTTTCCTGGGCAGATCATCGTGTGCAGACCGGCTGCAGAGAGAAGGGAACTGTTTCACTTTCATCTTCCTGGTAAGGCTGGAAGACAAAAGCCATCCCTTGTTCCAATTTTGAAGGCTATAGGGAAGGCAATTTGAAGGGAAAGACAGCTTCTTTGACTGATGCAAATGGAATGAACTCCAGTGGAGTCCTTTCAGAAATCACTGTGCAGTTGTAGGATGGCTGTAGCGTAATTTGATTAAACAAACAGGCAAAGAGAAGCAAGAGGAAAGGCAGGGGGGCATTGTTTCATGTCAAGGTTCTCCTGAGTTAGTGATGGTGTGTCCTGCTTTCAGACTTGGCTATGTTTTAATTCTCAAAATGTCATTGCTTGAATGGTGCCACTTATTTTAGGTTTATTTCTGGCACATTGAATGGGTAAGGCTTTCCCAGAATCTTTCATAAACTCAGTTGCTAGGCTTCTCCCCCCATCACCATCCAAACCCTCACCTACTTTGTGCCATCGTCTACCAAGATTTTTCAAGGAGAATTCTTTATGCTTCCCATTTACCTTTTCAAAGGAAAGCTTTGTCCAGGGTTGACACTGGAAGGTTCAACATATCCCTGATGTCTGGTTTCCTTAGGTCTAAACATCTGTAGACTCTGTAGACTGAGTAGGCAATTCAAAAAAGAATTTGCCAAATGCTTTTAAATCTTAGATCCGTGGCTGGCACAATGGAAGATGTCCAGTAAATATTTGCTGAATGAAGACATTAGAATATCAATTGACAGAGGCGAATGCCCTTGGTCATTGTAATCTGTCATAATGGTGGACTCTCAGACCAATTTGCCGCAATTTTTTTTTAAGACTTTGCTATGCTTCACTTATGATGTTAGATTAAATATATTTTTAAATAAATAATTATTTTCTTCTACTTCTTGGTTCAAATTCTTAAACTTGATGTTTAAAGAAGATAGAAAATGAAGTAAACCTTGGAATTTAATGAAGCCTTATGATTCTTAAATAAGTAGAAGTCAGTCCTCATTACCTACTCATCCTGTAATTCTCTTCTCCACAGGGCCATTTCCAGATATGAATTGCAGAGACATATTTCAATATATCCTCACCCAAATATGCTTTAGAAGTACATTTCTTTTAATGTAATAAGATTTATGTCCTTTGTGTTTGTTTAGAGGGTAAATCTGGATTTGTATTTTTAGAAGTTACTTTCACCAAAGAAATTCGAAAGAAATAGTGTTTCAGAAAAATCAAAACAAGCCATAGAAATCTAATATGTTTCAGATACTATATTGGGCTGCATGAAGACTAAATCCATAATATGTATGAATAATGTATTCTAAAGTAAATATCATATTTTGTCAAATTATTTGTCTGGCAAAATTAAGTTCTTTTTTCTTTAAAATGAACTTTTTTTCTTATTTCGAAGTGATGTGTATGTAAAGAGGCAGTGTAGACTGGTGGTTAGGAGCACTCTGGAGTCAGAAGCCTGCTTCAGAATCTTGGCTACCTCACTTACCAAGGATAGAGCTGTGGGGAGTTTACTTGTTCTCACTCTCTCTTCTTTTTTCCATCTGTAAAATGGCAAAAATAAACCACCTAAGTAAAATGGCCTCTGCGAGAGAGAAATAAATTAATATATGTTGCTATGGTTTAAATGTGTCTCCTCTAAAATCCATGTAGCAGCTTAATCCCACTTTGATGGCTGTGTTAGTCTGTTCTCACACTGCTAATAAAGACATACCCAAGACTGGGTAATTTATAAAGAAAAAGTGATTTAATGGACTCACAGTTTCACATGGCTGGGGAGGCCTCATAATCATGGCAGAAGGCAAAGGAGGAGAAAGGCACGTCTTACATGGCAGCAGGCAAGAGAGCTTGTGGAGGGGAACTCCTATTTATAAAACCATCAGATCTCATGAGACTTATTCACTACCACGGGAAGAGTATGACAGAAATTGCCCCTGTGATTCAATTAATAAGACTTATTCACTATCACGAGAACAGTGTGAGAGAAATTGCCTCCGTGATTCAATTATCTCCACCTGCCCTTGACACACGGGAATTATTAAAATTTAAGGTGAGATTTGGGTGGGGACACAGCGAAACCATATCAATGGCATTGAGAGATGAGGCCTTTGGGGATGTGATTAAATCCCAGTGGATTAGAATAGATTAGTACCTTATAAAAGGCCTGGCGGGGACTAGTTTAGGCCCTTTTGGCCTTTCCATCCCTTCTGCCATAGAAGACCCCTCCAGAGAAAGCAACAAGGCACCATCTTGGAAGCCAAGAGAGGAGCCCTTACTGGACACCAAACCCGCCAGCACCTCCGTCTTGGACGTTCCAGCCTTCAGAACCATGAGAAGTAAATTTCTGTTCTTTATACATTATTCAGTCTGTGGTGTTTTATTATAGCAGCACAAATGGACTAACACATGTGAAACACTTAGAGCTGTGCTTTGCCCAGAGTAAGTGCTCAGTCAATCTTGTGAAAAATTTGGCAAGTCAGTAAAAGTAGAACTGAGAAAACAAAAAGTACCCACTTTCCACCACTTGCAGAAGCCATTAGTAGCATTTTAGCATATTACTTTCAGTCGATCCCTATCCATTTTATAATCTGAGAGTTTACCACTTGTAAAATATTTACACTTTTTGCTTCACTTGACACACCACAAGCATTTATTTGTATTATTTAAATCCTCTGCCCCTTCTGCAACTTCTTTTCTTTTTTTTTTTATTTTTTCTTTTTCTTTCTTTCTTTCTTTTTTTTTTTTGAGATGTAGTCTTGCTCTGTTGCCTGGTCTGGAGTGCAGTGGTGAGATCTTGGCTCACCGCAACCTCTGCCTCCCAGGTTGAAGCAATTCTCCTGCCTCAGTCTCCCAAGTAGCTGGGATTACAGGTGCGTGCCACCACACCTGGCTAATTTTTGTATTTTTAGTAGAGACGGGGTTTCACCATATTGGCCAGGCTGGTCTAGAACTTCCGACCTCAAGTAATCCACCCACCTGGGCCTCTCAAAGTGCTAGGATTATAGATTTGAGCCAGTGCGCCCATAACATATGGCCGTCTTCCATAACTTTCTTAACCGTTTCCTATTTCCCTGTTGTAGGATATTTAGATTGTTTCCAAGAACATCAAAACATATTAAAAATATTAACAGTTTTATGCTTATTGTATGGAACGTCTCCAAATCATATAGCCATTTTACCCTTCTTGCTAGTGAAGTGACATACAGTTTTGAAAACCCTACAGAACATGGTATTTTAGACGTGGCTGTTGAAACATGATGAAAGTAAAGTATTTTACCTGTGTGTTGAGAAAAAGTGATCAGTTAAAAGGAACAATAATATGGTAAAATACGCTGAGCAGTTTATATTTTCCTAGCACAGAACCTATCCCAAATACTTCACAAGTATCAACCCATACCACACAGCTATCTCAAGAGGCAATTTTCTTATGTCTACTTTGGAGGTTAGGAAATTGAGTCACCGAAAGGTTGAATGACTTGCCCAAGGTCACCACTCTAGTAAATTGAAGTGTTGGGATTTGGACCTACGAAATCTACTTCCAGAAACTGTATTCTCTACCACTGAATCTACACTGTCTTTTTTACATAGAGTATTTATTCTGGGTATTTAATCAGAAATGCTCTACCGCTGATTTCTTTTCATTATTCTTTATTTGGAAGAAAATAGAAAGATCTGTACATGATATCCAAAGCCTGGATGGACTTTCCGTAATTAACTATTTAGGCATTTGTTTTTCTGGACTCTAATTTAGAGCTGGTTCAAAATTTCAGTGGGTTGCTTCCCACCCTATTTTAAATTGGGTTATGGTATAACTTTGGAGAGAATGACTACACTGTTTTAGAAATAAACCTTTCCTTTTTACAGACCAGCAGTATTTCACCAAAGTGTACATCTGTTGTGAAGAAGGGGTGCAGCTGGAAAAAATAGAGCGTCAATTGTACTTTCTGTGTAGGTGTTTTTCAAGCAGCTCCCCAGGACACATTTGAGGAATATGCTTTCCATTTTGCTGCCCTTTTCCAAATCACACAATTAATAGATAACAACCCAACATCCACATATGCTCTGGGGGTTGTGGGAAAGTTGAGTGAAGGAAGAGAATTCCTGTGCACATGGGCTGAATGGGTGGTAGGGAGGAGTCCTAGTTTTTCATTCTATCTGGAGAGGATAGGACTTGGCTTCTCTCAGAGACATGAGCCCTTATGTGCTGGAAAAGGAAGTCACAGAGAATTTTCCAGGGACTGGTACAAAATGAAACAGAAAAATAGGACATGAAATGACAGACTCAGGTGCTCTTACTGCAAAGCTTGTCTTGAACTTGGGCATTACTGGGAGAGGTGTGGGATATGATTCTGTTAGTTGCTTCATGGCTCAGCCTCATAAAACATAGTTATTCCTGAAGGGGATGCTGATCTTTTCTTTTCTTTTTTTTTTCCATTATTCTTCCTTATTGCCCCATTGTAAATCATAATCTTCTCTCTCTGTCTGTCCCCAAATTTCCAAGAAATGGAATGAGACTTTTATAATTATGACTCCATTAGAGGTTCTCTAGAAATTGAAAATGAACCTATGAACCCCAACTATCTGAGATAAGTCTCAGTCAATTTAGGAAGTTTATTTTGCGATAGATAAGGATTTGCACCAGTGATACAGCCTCAGGAAGTCCTGACGACATGTGTTCAAGGTGGTCGGGGCAATAGCTTGGGTTTATACATTTTAGGGAGACATGAGACATTGATCAACATATGTAAAATGTATCTTGGTTCGGTCTGGAAAGGCAGGACAACTTGAAGCAGAGACAGGGCTTCCATGTCACAGGTAGTTAAGAGACAAATGAGCAGGTGTGGTGGCTAATGCCTGTAATCCCAGCACTTTGGGAGGCTGAGGCAGGAGGATCACGAGGTCAGGAGTTCGAGACCAGCCTGGCCAACATGGTGAAATCCCATCTCTACTAAAAATACAAAAATTAGCCAGGTGTGGTGGTGTGCACCTGTAATCCCAGCTACTCAGGAGGCTGAGGCAGGAGAATGGCTTGAAAGTGGAAGGTGGAGGTTGCAGTGAGCCGAGATAGCGCCCCTGCACCCCAGCCTGGGCAACAAGAGTGAAACTCCATCTAAAAAAAAAAAAGAGACAAATGATTGCCTCTTTTGAGTTTCTGATTAACTTTTTAAAATGAGGCAAGCAGATATGCATTCATCTTAGCAAGCAGAGGGATGGGAGGCAGGTTTGACCTAAGCAGTTTCCAGCTTGACTTTTCTCTTTAGCTTAGTGATTTTGTGGTCCCAATATTTATTTTCCTTTCACAAATCCAAATGTATTTGTCTCTAGATATTTTATTTTATTCTCGTAAAAGGTGGGAATGCAGAATATGCTTTGCTTTATTAAAAAGACTATGTATTTGCCTTTAAAATTTCAGGTTTTAGAAACATTTCGTTTTAAAAGTCTTTCCTTGAAAAATATGCAGATTGAAGCAAAATCTACTTACCCTAGCTTTTAGGAGAACTTCCTTCCTCAAAACGAACTTTTGCCTACGTGGCCTCCTTTTGTTTTTTCAAGTTGATTTAAATAGGAATGAAAATTACCCGTATTTAACCAGCAATCCAAAGGACAGAAGGTATTTTTCCTTGCAAAGGGGTGCTCATAATTTCGTAAAGTAATAAGACACCAGTGAAAACAATCACCCCAAATTCATTTCCATATGAAAAGAGAACCAGTGTAACTTGAAAACGCCTTTTATTAAATCTCAAGGTCAGAACTGGGGGAAAATTCTAAATGTTGAATCACAATAAGGCTCACTAGGATTTTCTCCTATTTACCCGCAGAGCCTGCTCTAGACTTCAGTGCTGGGCAGGGGGTTGCCCTGCGCCTGCACCGCGGCTGCAAAGCACCCTGTTTCCCTTCTCTGACCCGCCTGGCATTCCCGCCGCCGAGCGGCAGTTGAGTGATTTTTTTTCTTTTCCTTTAGCCGGCCCAGGGCTGCACTCGGTGACTGCTCTTCGTCAAATTCCTTCTTAAACAGTGGTCAAGTATTCTTCCGGTGCAGCTGTTATTTTCGGGTCCTGTATTCTGCTTTGTGCTGACCCTGTAATCTCAGCAGTACCCATTCGCCTAGCAGGGCTTCGGGATGCTTCCCCGACTCTCCTCGCACCTTCACACCAACGCACTCCGGGAATGTTTCTGATGGGTGTCAAGTCCACTCTCTGATGAACGGACTCGTGCTTTGAGAGCATCTTCAGGGTCAGTGCATCCAGTGACCGTTTCATGACACCGTTTGCCTCGAGCGCCACCGCCTGGCCAAAACTGGAACGACCTGTGCCCGTTGCTGAGGAGGAAAAACACCCGGGATGGAATTTCTAGTTTTTGTGCAATCCTCATCCTTTTCCATTTTCTGTAAAGTGACGATGACAGATATTTTCGCTTACTAATGCAAGTATTTTTCATCTGAATAAATATACCAATTTCTCTGGCAATAATTTGGGTTTAAAAATACTGAGGCTGGCCCGGCACAGTGGCTCACACCTGTAATCCCAGCACTTTGGGAGGCCAAGGCGGGCGGATCACGAGGTCAGGAGTTCGAGACCATCCTGGCCAACATGGTGAAACCCCGTCTCTACTAAAAATACAAAAATTAGCCGGGTTTGGTGGCGTGCGCCTGTAATCCCAGCTACTCGCGAGGCTGACGCAGGATAATCGCTTGAACCCGGGAGGTGGAGGTTGCAGTGAGCCGAGATTGTGCCACTGCATTCCAGCCTGGGCGACAGAGCGAGACTGCGTCTCAAAACAAAACAAAACAAAACAAAACAAAACAAAACAAAACAAAAAAATATACTGAGGCTGGGCATGGTGGCTCACTCCTGTAATTCCAGCACTTTAGGAGACTGAGGTAGGAGGATGGCTTGAGCCCAGGAGTTTGAGATCACCCTGAGCAAGACCCTGTCTCTACAAATATAATTTTAAAAATAACTGAGTCTGATGGCATGCACCTGTAGTTCCAGCTACTCAGGAGGCTGAGGAGGGAGGATGGCTAGAGCCCAGAAATTCGAGGTTGCAGTGAACCATGATCACGCCACTGCCCTCCAGCCTCGGTGACACAGCAAAGCCCTGTTTTTAAGAAAGGGAAAAGGAAACACAAAGATACTGAACTGAGCGCCATCCTATACCCTCAGCTATACATTACATAAATTGTATTCTTTAGAATTCTAAAGGCTGAGTAGGATGGGCTTTGGTAATGTAAAAATACAAAAGCAGATACAGGCAAAAAACATGAGAAAATTTTTTTCCTCTAGCATTCTGTCCATGGTGGACAGGATGGGTGAAGTGTGCCTAAAGTGCTTGTTTGATGGGTGCCCACCCCTCCCCACTCCCCAGTGGTCGACGCAGAGCACTGATGCTACAGACCCAGGCTCCAGAACACGCTGGATGGAAAGGTTCTGAGAAGAGTGTGCACACCTCAAGGAGTGTGTGTATGTGTGCGAGCAAATACCTCTGTAAGCAGTCTCCTGGGGGTGCTGAAAGAAAATATTAGGATTTCTCTTCATACCTATTTTTATCTCAAATTTCAGTACTTTTATTTTTATAGGACACATAAAAATTATTTGAACACTTGTATATTATTTACAAAACAAATCAATATTTTAATAGATATTGGGTGTGTGGGTTAAAAAATTGGAGTTTGCCAAGGAGATGGTGGAAGGTTGATGATGGCTTCCCTTGGACTGGGCAGAGGTGGGGTGAATAGGGCGTGGATCTTTATCTTTCTGCCTAGGGGGCAGCCCTATGCCCAAGGAACTGGCTCCCTTTTCCTGCCCATGTGTACAAGTGAGGGCTGCAAGGAGTCACCGTCAGGAGAGAGTGCAGGTGAGGGGTGAGGGGTATAGGGAGCTGGCACCTGGTGACTTTGCACTTGGGGGTTGAAGGGGACAGGATGGTGGGCAGGTGACCTCTCCAGGGAAGGGTCCTGGCTACTGGTTGGGCAGCAGGGTGGAAAGGAAAAGCCCTACGCTCTCCTCTAGAGAGGAGAGGACTGGAATTAGGACATGGGTTGGGTTTTGAAGCATTAACTATGATTTTTAAACAAAGTTGAAAATGTTTTTTGCAAGTTCTCCCAAAGCTTGAACAAATAATTTTCTAGTAGAAAAAATATTTTCTAGACAACAACCCACCAGTCTAAAGTTGTACCGAACTAAGGATGTTCTTAACATGGCCCCCAGTGCATTGCAAGGCAAAAAAAAAAAAAAAAAAAAAAAAGAATTGCATGCAGCTGGAATAGGGCCTGGCCTGCAGGTAATTTAGCAATTTAGCTAGGCTTTCTCTCTGGGTAGGGAGGTTGGGACGGGATTTGATTCAGAAGAAGGTTCTGGCCCTGCCTCTGTCAGTCTTATGATGCAGCCTAGGTAAGTCACTTCACATCTGTGAGGCTTTCTTCTTTGCTAAACAGATGACAAATGTGTACCGAGAATTGGCTGGGCATCAGATGCCGGTGGGGAATGGGGTTCTGAAGACAATATGTGAGCAGGAAACTGAGCTCATCTTAAAGTGTTTGCAGTTAAGTCTAACTTTCATTTCAACTAAAAAATTAAATGAAAGTTCGAAATAAGAGTATAAAGATTAAAAGGAAAAAAAATCTAAATATCTAAAAGATAACAAATTGTAGAGACCTCTCAAGCTCCGTAAAACCCTGCATTTAGTTACAGAAGTTTGCTGCTCTTTATGTAGTTGATCCTAACCAATTAAAAAAGAATTGGAGCCAGGCGCGGTGGCTCACGCCTGTAATCCCAGCACTTTGGGAGGCCAAGGCAGGTAGATCACCTGAGGTTGGGAGTTTGAGACCACCCTGACCAAAATGGAGAAACCCCGTCTGTACTAAAAATACATAAAAAATTAGCCTAGTGTGGTGGCACATGCCTGTAATCCCAGCTGCTCAGGAGGCTGAGGCAGGAGAATTGCTTGAACCCAGGAGGCAGAGGTTGCGGTGAGCCGTAGTTCACACCATTGCACTCCAGCCTGGGCAACAAGAGTGAAACTCCGTCTCAAAAAAAGAAAAAAAAAAGGGAATTGGAAACTTATGCATTATATCTATCTTTGAATATATCTGTTTCCAAAGTGGATGATGAAAACAGAATTAATGCATTATATCTGCAATGGACTGAATATTTATGTTCCCCTCAAAATGTATATGTTGAAACTCTAATCCCAAGATGATGGTACTTGGTACTGGGAGCTTTGGGAGGTCATGAGGGTGGAGCCCTCATAAATGGGATTAGCATCTTAATAAGAAGAGGCCAGAGAACTTGGTAGTTCTCTTTCTACCGTGCGAGGATGCAATGAGAAGTTGGCAGCCATCTGCAACCTGGAAGGGAGCCCTCACCAGAACCCAACCAACCATACCAGCAGCCTGATCTCCAACTTCCAGCCTCCGAGGCTGTGAGAAATAAAGTTCTGTTGTGTATGAGCCACCCAGTCTATGATACTTCATTATAGCAGCCTGAACGGACTAAGACAATCTCTACATTTAAATATATATATATATTTAAAGTAGATTGAAAAAAATAAAATTAATGATTCAAGGGCTAAGTTGCTATTCTTTTAAAAAAAGATTATTTTTGATAGACATTTGGAAAAAGAAATGAGAAACTCCAAGTTACAAAAGGAGAAGTGGGAATATTTTAATATGCAGCCCAGCTTTGGCATAGCAATACAAATTGTTCTTCCAGTGATAGCTTTGACTGCAATCCTAAAACAAGCTGTGGTCCCTCTGCTGTGGCTCAAATCACAATAGAGGACAGAAACCCCATCTTGTTTTAAGAAAAAGGCAAAAGACAATGACCTGAGTTTCTAGTTCACGTACGTCTTGCTGACAGCTGTCAACTTTATGTATTTATTTTTAATACGAGGTTTAAAAACAGAGGCTTTCCTTTGAACAGCCCGGGGCCAGGACATTTTATTGGTGTTGGATCTTGTCTGCCATGGATAGCAAATTCCTCATCACATGGGTCATTTGGTGACTGTGTGGGTGAGAGAAATTATAATTTGGCCATGATTTGGAAATGTTCCGGCAGGTTCCAAGAGGCGAAGTTTCTGGAATCGCTGAAGACATAGTATGCTGTGTTTGCTTTGCAAGAGAGTCTGTGGGTGGCCAGGGGCTGGGGTGGAGTTGGTGGGCGGAGAGGTGACATTTCAAGCTGTGGTATCTCTGCCAGTTGGGTGTCACTTGGTTCGTGTCTCTTTCTTCTGGTTTGGAGGAAACACAATTTGTTGTCCCTGCTTGGTTTTGTCACTAATCTCACATAAGTCACCCAGTTGGTCTAAGCCTTATTTTCTCGTCTGTAAGATCCATTTTGTGTATGCTGGGGAGGCAGCATGACTCAGCCAAACAACCTCTAGCAAGGGAGCACCGGGGTCTTCTCTACCACTGGGGGAATGCATATTGGTCAAATACTTTGGAAGCACCATTTGCAAGTATAAATCAAGCCCCATATCAGCCACAGGCATGCCCTCCGAATCAGCTGTTCTGTTACTAGGAATTGTCCTAATGAGTAATCCAGCAACAGACACAGAAATTTATGTACATGTTCATTTACTCCAAACCAAAACCTAAGACAAGCTAAATACTTAAGGGTAAGAACATTTCTAAATAAATTAAAAGACATGTTCACTGCACTATTGTGTAGGCATTTTAAATTCTATTTTCTAAGAATATTAACACAGCAAGTGTTTCCTGACACAATATTAAAATTGTAAAAAGTAAGACAAAATGTAAAAGTATATTGCGTGATACTAATTTTGCATCAAATATTTGACATACATACTTAGATGAAAAAAATTTGGAATAAAATCAACCACATATGAACAGCATTCCTAAGAGATTAATATTCTTCATTTTTTTTTCTTATTCACATTTCCTACAATGAACATGTATTGCTTTCACAATTGGAAAAAAAATTACCAAAAAGTAAAAATTCAAGCCCCCAAAAAAGAATGGAGTTTGTGGTCTGATCAGCTGTCTAGTGTAATTGTGGACACTTCTGGGACTCAGAAAGAAAATGGCAAAGACTGTGGACTCTAGAACCAAACTGCCTGGGTTCAAATTCTATCTCTCCTCTATCTTGGTTGTGTGGCTGGGGTAATCCACTTACCCCAGCTGAAACTGAGGCATCTCTGTGCCTCAGTTTCTTCAGCTGTGAAGTGAGGATAGCAGTAGTACTTGTCAAGAGAGTTAAAGGAGTCAAAACATAAATCCCTCAATAAGTGCCATTGTCATTAATATCTTTAAAAATATAAATCTGTGAAATAAAATCTGTAAAAAAATAAAATTTGTAAAAATATCTGAAGCAGGTAGTAGGGATGAGACACATTTTTTGATTCTGCATATATTTTCAAGGAAGCACCAAGTGAATTTGCTGATGAATGGGATGTGAGAAGTGAGAGAAAGAGAGAAATTAAGAAATATATTAATTCAACAAATGTTTATTGAGCACCTACTATGTGCCAGGCACTGTCCTAGGTGCTGGGAATGAAATGTACAGCAGTGATCAATGCAAGCAAATTCTCTGCTCTCACACAGGGACGTTTTAGTGGGGAAGACCACCAACAACAAATGAACAGGGTGAAAGTGTTAAGAAGAATAATGAGGCCAGGCGCGGTGGCTCATGCCTGTAATCCAGCAGAGGTGGGCGAATCACGAGGTCAAGATATTGAGACCATCCTGGCCAACATGCTGAAACCCTGTCTCTACTAAAAATACAAAATTAGTCGAGGGTGGTGGCACGTGCCTGTAATCCCAGCTACTCGGGAGGCTGAGGCAGGAGAATTGCTTGAACCTGTGAGGCAGAGGTGGTGGTGAGTGGTGATCGCACCATTGCACTCCAGCCTGGGCAACAAAAGCGAAACTGTGTCTCACAAAAAACAAAACAAAACAAAACAAAAGAATGAGAATAAGAATGAGGGAAAGTGTGCTTGCTGGGGAAGGCCTTGGATAAAGTAACATTTGAGTGGAGACCTGAGTGAGCATGGGAGTGAGCCATTCAGCTATATGGAAGAAAAGCATTAGGGGTAGAGTTAAAAGTCAGTGCATAGGCCCTGCAGTATACTTGGCATGTTTAGGAAACAGCAAGAAAGCTATATTGGATTGGGTTTTTCTCAAAGCAGACTCTGAGACAAGGATTTGAGTATAAGTAGAATACTTGGGAGGTGATCCCAGAAAGCCTGGTAGAGAAGGAAAGTGAGACAGGGAAGGGGAGAAGAAAATACTAGGTGCATTAATGAGCAAGCTGTCACCACGGGCACAAGTGGCTCAGTCCTGCTGAGGACCCAGGCCAGTGTGTCAAATAAGCTCTCAGTATTTTCCCACCCAAGGGATGAGGAAGCAGAGATATTGATTCTCCAAATCCAGTCTGACATCAGCTGAGGGCTGCTTTGCAGCACTGTGCCTTTCGTGAGCGCGGGTGCAGTATGCCAGAGAAAGTACTCAGGTCAAGAGCCACAGGTACTTATAGCAGGAAGGCACAAATGAGTTGAGAACCTGTGAGTATTGTGGGGATGTGGCCTTAGTCCTGACAGGGTCTACCACAAAAACTCGTGCAACTGCAGTAGAGCCAGCAAGGGTGACTGTGGTAAGAGCTGACGTCAAAGAGGTAAGGGGCGGAATCTAGATCTCTTAGGTCTCCGTGGGCCGTTGTAAGAAATCTTATTCTAAGTGATGGGGGGGAGGGGGTCGGTCATCGTAAGGTTGTGAGAAAAATAATGGCATGATCTGACTTCTTCTGGAAGAATACTGGCTCTCCTCTGGAAAATGAAGTGTAGGGGGGCACATGAGAAGCAGGAAGGTGTCAGGGGTGGCCAAAGGATGGCCAAAGTCAAGACCAAGGATGATTATGGCTTGAAGCAGGTAGTAGGGATGAGACACATTTTTTGATTCTGGATCTATTTTAAAGGAAGCACCAAGTGAATTTGCTGATGAATTGGATGTGAGAAGTGAGAGAAAGAGAGAAATCAAGGATGACTTTAAGGTTTCGACGTGAGCAACTGGTAGAATGAAGTTGCCATTTTTCAAGTTGGTGAAGACAGTGGGAAGCGGTGATGGTGGAAGGGTGGGAGTGGGAACAGGAAATTAGCTTTCATTACATTAAATACGAGGCATCTGTCAATACTCTATCTCATCTTATTTTTTACTAAGAATTAAAAAAAGTACAATGTTATAAGCCATCATTAAATATTATTTTCCCTCCCCTATTAATTCTCCTAAAGCTTTTTCCAGCTTACTTCTTGTATAGATGTCCTATGCTCACAAGAATGTTGTATCACAAGCAATCAGAAAGTGATATAGTTTGAATATTTGTCCCCTCCAAATCTCACGTTGAAATTTGATTCGTGGCCGGGTATGGTGGCATGAGTCTGTAGTCCCAGCTACTCGGGAGGCTGAGGTGGGAGGATGGCTTGAGCCTAGGAGGCAGAGGTCATGCCACCACACTCCACTCCAGCCTGGGTGACCAAGCCAGAACCTGTCGAAAGAAAGAAAGAGAGAGAGAGAGAGAAGGAAGGAAAGAGGGAAGGAAGGAAGGAAAGAAAAGAAAAAGAAAGAAAGAAGGAAGGAAAGAAGCAAGGAAGGAAGGAAAGAAAAGAAAAAGAAAGAAGGAAGGAAAGAAGCAAGGAAGGAAGGAAAGAAAAAGAAAGAAAGAAGGCAGGAAAGAAGGAAGGAAGGAGGGAAGGAAGAAAGGAAAGAAAGAAAGAAAAGAAAGAAAAAAGAAATTTGACTCCCAATGTTGGAGGTGGGGCTTGGTGAGTGGTGTTTGTGTCAGGGAAGGAAGGAAGGAAGGAAGGAAAGAAGGAGGAGGGAGGGAGATATTTGACCCTCAGTGTTGGAGATGGGGCCTGCTTAGTGACTTTTTTGTCTTGGGTGCATATTTCCCATAAAAGCCTTGGTCCCTTCCTTGCGGCAATAAGGGAATTCTTACTCTATTAGTGCACATGAGATTTGGTTGTTTAAAAGAGCCTGGCACCTTCTCTCCTTTCTCTTGCTCCCTCTCTTGCCATGTGATATGCTGGCTCTTCTCTCCCTTTCACTATGATTGGAAAGCTCCCTGAAGCCCTCACCAGAAGCAGATGCTAGCGCCATGCTTCTTGCACAGCCTGCAGAACTGTGAGCCAAATAAGCCTCTTTTCTTTATAAATTACCCAGCCTAAGGTTTCCTTTATAGCAACACAAATGGACTAACCCAGAAAAAACTCAACTTTATACAACAAAAAGCTTATTTATTTTGCATCATGTGTCTGGGGATAGATGATCTAATCTAGGCTCAACTTATTTGGCTTGGCTTTTCCAATCTTGCCTGGACTTGCTCATGCATCTATGAATTGGCGGGTCAGCTGATCTACACTGGGCTGATCTCCACTGCCTTGTGACTATTGCTTTCCTTATGTGACCAGCAAGCTCACCTGGACATGTTTTCCCATGAAGAAAGCAAGTGGAAACACATGAGACCTCAAAAGGGCTAGGCTCAGGCCTGATACACCAACAATTCCACATTGCTCTGTTGACCAAAGCAAGTCATATGGCATTCCTAAAGTCTAGAGGCAGTAATACATGCTCTGCTTTTGTGTGTGTGTGTGTGTGTGTATTGGGGGAGGAGAAAATGAATGTCTGAATAATAAGTTGATACAATCACCCTCTTATTAATAATATTAATCAAAATACGTTAACCTCAATAGGAAGATTCCAAAAGTTTCATCCAATCACGGTGTTAGACTCAAAGTTCAAGATCTCATGGTCTACATCAGGGCAAGATGTAACTCCTCTTCACTCCTTTCGAAGTAAAAGAACACATTGATTTCTCTCCTGTACACACACATTCAGAATAATATAGTAAAATGAGGACAGGATACTTATAGTAAGCACACCTAGGTAAAAGGGAGAAGAATGGGAGGCACATATTAGTCACTGGTCCATAGCAATTTTGAAATCTCACTTGGCAAATGTTGCCAGGCTCCCCTGCATTGATGACGTTGAGTGTTCTCTGATTAGCCCCAGGTTCAGGTCACTGAGTCTAGTTCCTCATTCTGTTGTTTGGCATAAGTCTTGGCTCTGTTCTCTGAGTTCCTCTCCCTTTTGTATCATCTCCTGGGGCACTTCTGAAAAAGATTTCAGAAAATGTGCTCTATTGGTGGCCCAGAAACTTTCCCAGTTGGCTTTCATTTTGAAGAACGTTGGGACTGTGATGGTTACTTTTGTGTGTTAAGTTAGCTAGACCATGGAATCCAGATATTTGGTCAATTTTTGGACGGGAATGATATTTAAACCAGTAGATTTTGAGTAATGCAGATGACCCTCTATAATGTGGGTGGGCCTCATCCAATCAGCTGAAGGCTGATAAAAGACTATTTCCTCTGGAGAAGAGAAAATTCTGTCTGTAAATTGCCTTTGGACTAGAGCTGCAACACTGACTCTTCCCTGGGTCACAAGCCTGCTGACCTTCCCTACAGATTTTGGACTTGCCAGCTTCCACAATTATATGATCCAATTCCTTAAAATTCCTTAAAATCAATCCTTCTCCATCCCTCCATATCTATCATCTCTCTCTCTCTCTATCATCTATCTATCTATCTGTCTATCTATCTATCTATCTATCTATCTATCTATCTGAACTCTTCAGAGTTCTGGAGAACTCAGATTTTGGACTTGCCAACTTCTACAATTATATGATCCAATTCCTTAAAATCAATCCTTCTCCATCCCCCATAGCTAGCTAGCTGTCTGTCTGTCTGTCTGTCTGTCTGTCTATCTATCTATCTATCTATCTATCTATCTATCTATCTATCTATCCATCTATCGAACTATTCAGAGTTCTGGAGAACTCAAATACAGGGGCCCAGGGATCCTTTTATATTTGGAACAGTTTCTGGCTCTCTCAGAAAAATTTGTGTATTTTATATATATTTGGTTTCCGTCTAGTCTATGTACCAAAAACCATATCCGTAATTCATTTAAAAATATTCCTTTCTCGATGTGCTTACTGGTATTATAGGTGGTGTATCAGACTGCTCTCACATCCCACCCTTAAGTTTTCTAAAAATCTTTTTGAACAATTGAAAGGATTACTAGACTCCACCTTAATTCTTATGAAGTTCTTAACAATGTATCTTGCAACTGTGTGTTTGATTTGGTCTTTACTCTGAGGTCAGGCCTTGCTGGAAGCACCCTGGGGTTGATTATTGCTCCCAGGCTGTATCCTAATTTGAAAATATTTTGCTGACTGGAAAGGCTGGAAATGAGAAACAGTTTTATTTTCTAACTCAGCACGTTCCAAATTCTTCATATTCCCTCCAAATTCTGCTTACAAACTGGCCAGTTCTTTTCTGAGCTCATCTCCTTTTTGAAGTCAAAAGCAACCAACCCACACTTTCAGTATTCTGCCTGGAGATGTCCATGCCTAGATTCATAAGTTAATTGGGTACATTTTCTATTTCAGACTCCTTAACATGAATCATTACTGTTCAGCATCCTCAAGTTATTTTCTCTCATCATCTTCTCAGCCTCTTTAGGTTTCTCTACTTCCTTCCACTGGTCCCCAAACCAATTCAACATATCTTGGGTTTTTGTTAGAGTAGCACTCCACTTCTGGTACCAATTTCTGTTCTGGTTTCTTATGGCCATAGTAATGCTGTGTAAGACACAACCGCACAAGCTCAGTGGCATACAACAGTAGGCATTTATGTAATTCATGCATCTGGGAGTCAGCAGGGGGTCAGCTAATCTAGGTTGGGTTGATTAATCCGGGTCTGCTGATTTTGGTAGGTTTGCTCACACATCTGGAGGTCAGCCAGCATTTGGCTGATGTATAGTGGGTTCAGCTGGACTGGTTCAACTCTGCCTATGTCTCTTATCCTCCTGTTAGAAGCAAGAGTCCAACCTGGTAGTCTAGTCTCATGTCCATGGCAGAGCAAAATAATTTGAGTGGAAACCCATGAAGCCTCTTAATCCTAGGCTTAGAATTGGCACATCCTCAATCGCCTCATTCCACTGGCTGAGGCAAGGCACATGGACAAACTTAAAGTCAAGGAATAGGAAAATACACTCTATCCTTCATGGGAGGATGGGAGGGTGAAGAATGAATATTTCCAATCAATAATCTAACCTATCCACTCCCCGATTATTCTAATGAGGCCATGTTTCCATAACAAACTTCTTCAGAATCTACAGCTGAAAGGTCCCCGTGTGGTTTTGAGTTAGAGCTAGCCCAAAGGGAAATTTGAGTGAGATTTTAAAAGCAGACGTGAAGCCGTGGCCGTTGCTGTCTGGAGGCCTTTTGATCAGCCAGATGTGGTGGTGGGTAGATGTAGCGGTCGCTCGGGGTTTTCAGCGGGCGTCCTCTGTCCTCTCTTCTGCCGAGCCCGTGATGCTGACTGCTGGTCTTCCTAGGTGTTTGGCTGTAGACCCTAAGAGGTGACACAGTGTCAGCGGCAACCCCCTTCCTGCCCTCTACCTCTGTGGCCTCATTTGGCAGCAAGGTGTGTTTGGCTTCTCAAAGTGACTGGCTGGTATCGCCACCAAGGATCCTCTCCTCGCACCCCCTGCCCCTGAGACTTTGGCTTCTTCAGCTCCCTCCACAACTATACAAGGTCTAATTTCTACAATAAAAGTTTTTTTCTCATAACACTCACAGTGACTCTGCTCCCCTGCTCAAGGGGCACCTGGCTGACACAGGCCCTGAGGCTGCCACAGCCCCATGTTCCCACCACCTCCAGGGCTCAGCCAGGAGCCCTGTGTCTGCAGCTACCTCCTGAGCTCAGCAGCTCAATGCCAAACTCTTTCATGCTTCTGGTGTTTCTGCAGACAACTCACGCATCAAAGCTTGTCTACCCAAGCCCCTTTCCCCAGGCTACTGCTCTCTGCTTCCCACAGTTTATCTAATCAAGATGATAAAAGATGGTGGACTAATTTTGTATTTTTAGTAGACGGGGTTTCTTCATGTTGGTCAGGCTCCCGACCTCAGGTGATCCACTCGTCTCGGCCTCCCAAAGTGCTGGGATTATAGGCGTGAAGCAAAATTAGCCAGGTGTGGTGGTGCATGCCTGTAATCCCAGCTACTCAGAAGGCTGAGGCAGGAGAATTGCTTGAACCTGGGAGGCAGAGGCTGTGGTAAGCCGAGATTGCGCCATTGCATTCCACCCTGGGCAGCAACAGTAAAACCCCGTCTGAAAAAAAAAAAACAAAACAGACGGTGGACTCCATAGGGTGATGGGTCATTTCCTCATCTCATGACATGTCCATATATTGGGGCAGGCCCTCTGATAACACCAGACCTAAGCAGTGAATCTAATGGTGTGTGATTCGGCTCTGTGACAGTTAGTAGGAAGCCATTTGGGATCAGTTGGGACCTTGTAGAATCCTCTGTGGTACAAGTGGCTTTGGTTCCTCTGAAGCTGAGCTGGAGCAGAACTTCATTCATTTTCACACTTCTTTGCCTAAATGAATTTTGTGCTTCCTGTGAAAAACAGTGGTTTTGTCATAAACAGGTGGAATTATAAAATCAAGGTACTTTAAAAATAAATGAATGTAACAGGGCTTAAATTTCTAAATAAAAATTGGCCTCTTCTGAGTAGCTGGCTTGTGAGCTTACACTCTTGCTCCTACGACAGCTTAAAGCATGTGGCAAACACCTTTTTTTCAGGCCTTGTTTAGAATATTAAAGAGTGGTGACAACACATTCCATCTAAGGGAGAGCTCACCCTTTTGTAACAACGAGAAGTCAGTTTGCGATTAATCCGACGAATAAAGTGAGTTGTCAAAGTCAGTGAAATTATCCTAGGACTAAAAAGGTGGGTCTGAAAAGCTGTGTCAGGGAGGTTCTTGAGAGAAGTTTTGATGTTAATCCTGGAAAAAGGTCAGAGCCTTTCAAACAGACAACTTGAAAGAAGGATACATTAACTTAGATGTCAGATCGTGGTTTTAAAATAAAAGAATGGTGGTTGAGGTTCCCACAAGCCTAAGACCTCCACTGCATTTTTATTAGTAGGTGTTATTGAGACAGCCAAGTAAAAAGGGCTCCCTGGAGAATCTGCAACCGACTTGCTCACTGGGAAGATGGGGCGGGGTCTTGGGAAGTTCCAGTTGTTTGCAGCGGGGAGGATCCTGGCCTCTCCTGTTCCTGGGTGGTAACCTGGGGTTTGGTCTGTGAGATGTGGGCCTGTTTACAGAAACCTCTCTCGCTTTGCTGTGTTTTTTTTTTTTTTCCTTTTCAAACAATAAAATTCCATTTTTCTCACCCTTCTGTGTGTCTGCGAGCCTAATCTTTCCTGGTCATGTGACAAGACCCTGGTTTTAGCTGAACTAAGGAGAAAATTCTACAACATTATGATTTAAAACCATTAATGCAAATTATTATAAATCAAACCAATATTTCCTTCACTTCTTAAATAACATGCTGCTCCTGACAACGTCTGCTTCATTTCCTAGCAGTTTTAACAAGGCCGATTTGTCCTGGAGGGAATTAAAGAGTATGATCAATAAATTAGCCCACGCTGAACTAAAAATGGGTAGTTTTTACTTCTTACTGGGGAATGACTTTCAGCTTTGCTGGCCAATCTTTCTAGCAGGGCCAATCTTTACAGCTAAGCTCAATTCCTTATCAATTGAAGTCCAACCAGCAAAACAAAAACTACTTACAATTATATGAAATTGCCTTTTCAGGTTAAAAAAAGTTCAGATATTGGTGATTTAATATGACTAACCTAATATTTCAACCACTTCCCTGCCAGTGCCTTCCACCAGCCAAACTCAGCCAGAAGGCAGTTGACAAGAGAGTTCGGGCACCCGGCTTGTAGCACTGAACTGGGAAGGGAAGGAAAGGCTCTCGGGACCCAGGGAACGAGGCTCCACTCAGAGGCAGGGAACTTAGAAGAAATGCCCAGGGTATGACAGCTAGATGAAGACTGGCTGAGCATTGACAAAGAGCTTCTCTTTTTGGACATAGGGTCATTACAGACATAATTACATTATGATGAGGTTGTACTGGGTTAGAGTAGGCCCTAAATCCAATGACCAGTGTTCTTATGAGAAGACAGAAATTTGGACATGGAGAGACATGCACACACAAGGAGAAGACCACGTGACAACACGGGCAGAGACCGGCGCGATATGTCTATACAGCAAGGGATATTCAAGGGTTGCTGGCAGCCACCAGAAGCTAAGGGTGAGGGAAAGACCTTAGCAGAGGCTTCAGAGAGACCAGGGCCCTGACAACGCCTTGATTTCAGACTTCAAGATTCCAGAACTGGGAGAGAATACATTTTGTTGTTATTATTGTTTTTTTGTGTGAGATGGAGTCTCGCTCTGTTAACCAGGCTGGAGTGCAGTGGTGCGATCTTGGCTCCTAGGTTCAAGTGATTCTCCTGCCTCAGCCTCCCGAGTAGCTGGGACTATAGGCACATGCCACCACATCCAGCTAATTTTTGTATTTTTAGTAGAGATGAGATATCACCCTGTTGACCAGTCAAGTGATCCACCCGCCTCGGCTTCCCAAAGTGCTGGGATTACAGGTGTAAGCCACCGGGCCCAGCCACATTTTGGTGTTTTTTTTGTTTGTTTGTTTGTTTTTCTTTTTCTGAGACGGAGTCTCATTCTGTTGCCCAGGGTGGAGTGCAATGGTGTGATATTGGCTCACTGCAACCTCCACCTCCCGAGTTCAAGCGATTCTCCTGCCTTAGCCTCCCGAGTAGCTGGGATTACAGGCGCGTGCCACTGTGCTCAGCTAATTTTTGTATTTTTAGTAGAAACGGGGTTTCACCCTGTTGGCCAGGCTGGTCTTGAACTCCTGACCTTGTGATCCGTCCACCTCAGCCTCCCAAAATCCTAGGATTACAGGCATAAGCCACCGAGCCCAGCCACATTTTGGTGTTTGAAGCCACTCAGCTTGTGGTCATTTGTCATGGCAGCCCCAGGAGGCTAATACAGGAAGTATCTTAAGAAATTCGCTAAGGTGGGCGCCTGAGAGAAGTGATGTATGGGTCACCCTGGGCCTGTCCCATCAGCTTCCCAGATTCTCCCCTCTGCATCCCTCCTTCAGGGTCACCTGCTTCTGAAACGCATGTTGATAATACGGCTTCTTCCACTCCAGAGTTCAAGTGGAAGGCTGATTAAAGGTTACAGGTGCTGAAAAATTCCACAGAGTATTTTAAAGCAAGAAAATAAAGTATTTTCTTCCCCCCATCCTTTCCATTTAAAAATCTCAACGTCTTTCTCCCTCACTGTCCTTCATTTGCTGACATGGGCATTAGCAGGACAGGCTTTAGGTAGCAGGTTGCTTGGCTCTTGTTTTGATCTTTGAACATTTACCGGCTTATGGTGTATGTGCTTTGGGGAGTAAAAAAGCACGTTGCAATCCCCTTTTCCTTCTTTTTGGAATGCGTCTCTGTTACTTCATGACAGAATGTTCTGACTGGGCTGAGCTGATTTTACGTTGCTTTCAACACTGTGCAAAAAAGTGTGAAGAATGGATGGGAATCTAGTCCAAGCTGTTGTGGATTGCTGGCTTTCTCTTTTCTTCTGAAAGCAATTGTTGGACATTTTTACAGAAAGGAATACCTAGATCTCCATATATCTCTGTCTCTCTGTCATCTACGAGTAGCACTTGAAGTTCTTTGGGCTAAGTGAAGAGGAATTCATTCCAACCCAGCTCACGGAGGAAGGAAATACATTGGTTAGTCTGATGCAATGGCCTAGGAGGAGAGCGGCTTGGTCTCAGCCAGTGTTTCTTAAGGAGGTGCTTCTGGCATGTTGGGTGAGATAAATCTTGGTACAGAATTATCCCAAATATTGTGGGTTGTTCAACATACCCAGCTCCAGCCAATAAATACTAGTAGAAGCCCCCAATTATAATGATAATTAAAATCCATGTCCCGTATCCCACCACTTCTGGCCCAGCTATTTATCTCTAAGAGGTGCTTGTGGCAGATGCTGTTGTCCTTGGACTTTCCTTCTATACACCAAAGGCTTTTTTTTTTTTTTGAGATGGAGTCTTGCTCAGTCGCCCAGGCTGGGGTGCAGTGGTGCGATCTTGGCTCACTGCAAGCTCCGCCTCCTGGGTCCACGCCATTCTCCTGCCTCAGCCTCCCATGTAGCTGGGACTACAGGCGTTTGCCACCACGCCCGGCTAATTTTTTTTGTATTTTTAGTGGAGATGGGGTTTCACCGTGTTAGCCAGGATGGTCTCAATCTCCTGACCTCGTGATCCACCCACCTCGGCCTCCCAAAGTGCTGGGATTACAGGCGTGAGCCACCGCGCCCGGCCACCAAAGGCTTCTTACTGCAAACACCTGAGACTTTCTGCCTGTGGGCTTGCTGTCTATCTATGAATACCACTCTGACAATATGGAAGTGCTAGATAGCGTGCCTGGAAACAACCCTCAACCACAGATGACTGTGGGCTGGGAGACGAATGCCCCAGCTTTCTCACCTGGGATTGAAGCCACTTTGAAGCATGCCCTGCACTGTCTGTCAGAGCTTCCCAGCGGGATGGAGCTCCAGCTGCCCATACAGTCACTGACTTGACAACACACTCATGTTAGTTTCCTATGGCTGCTGTGAAAGATTACCACAACCTAAGTGGATTAAAATATTCTTACTTTATGGTTATGAAGCTCAGAGGTCAGAAATGGGCTAAGATCAAGGTTTCAGCGAGGTGCATTCCTTTCTGGAGTCTGCAGGGAAGATTTTGTTTCCCTGTCTTTTCCATCTTTTGCTGGCCGCCTGCGTTCGTTGGCTTGTGACTCCGTCTTCCATCCTCAAAGCCAGTATTACAGCATCTTCAAATCTCTCTCTGACTCTGACCTCCCTCTTCCACCTTTAAGGAACTTGTGATTGCATTAGGCCCACCTCAATATTCCAGGAAATTCTCCCTATCAGAAGGTCAGATGATTAGCAAACTTAATTCCATCTGCAACATTAATTCACCTTTGACTTGTAACCTAACATAGTCACAGATTCCGGGGATTGGGATGCAGACATTTTTAGGGGCCAAAATTCTGCCTACCGCATCATCCCTTATTGGCTTCATTCCCTTCTCTGTCTCACAGCCCCACTTCCCTATTAGTTTTCTTGGGATCATCTCCCAAATCAGTTACTTGTACTAGAAATCTTGTCTCATTATCCGCTTGTGCAGAAGCCCAAACCAAAACACTGCCTGAAAGAGAATTCCTGCTTAGAATCATTGGTCTTGGGACGCCGGTGAGTCATCAGGATTTAGTTTCTCTCTGTCTCTTGGCTCTTCTTTCACTGACTTTACCACTGGTGGCAAAATGACTATGGCAACTCTAACTAAAGCCAACAACCTTCCAGATTCAATCTCACTGGGAAAGTGTAGCTCCTGCCGATGTCCTGAGATTTATTTTAACAGGACTCCTTTAGGTCATGCATCCATCCCTGACCTAATCATCAAGGTGGAGAATGCCAGTGCTTTCATTGGCCAAGCCTGAGTTACATTCTCCACTCCTAGAGCTGAGTTGAGACTCACCCAGGGTCACGGACTAAGAGTAGAAGAGGAAGAGGGGCGGCTTTGCAATAAAAACAAATCAGGCCTTATGACCCAAAGAGGCAGCAATGAATACTGAGCAGGCAAATAACAAATAGCTACATTATCTTTTCTTTCTTTTTCTCCCTCTCTCCCTCTCCAAGTCCCTGCCTTGTGTGCGCATCTGTGCATATGCATGTATAACATAGGATGCCTGAGTGGATCTTAGGGAACATCCAGTGAGTACATTACCATCATTTCACATATGGCAAAACTGAGGCCAAAACAAATGCAGGGAATTGCTGTTGGTCACAAACTGCCATTGCCAAAATCTGCCTAGCAGTACCCTTCTTCTGATTCTCGGCTCTGGGACCTGCCTACCACAGTCTCATATCTTCCAGACTGGGTAGGCTTTGTGTCTCAGATCTACTTTGTATTAACTGGTGCATCTAAGATGGTGGTGGGAGCAATATCTTCACTATTAGCAATTTTTCTTTTGCCTTATTCTTGCCAAATGCACTTTTGTTTCAGAACACACAGGAAGACGTGGTGCAGAAACAAACTGAAATGTGCATTCAGCAAACCACATTGAGGCTGATGTGCCTTGTGTTGTGGATACAATGGCCCATTTTGTATGGCATAAAACACTATTTCTGATGATAGACGTGTAAACTTTTTCTGGAATGAATAGAGTGATAAATGATGAGTATTTCAGATTTCATTGATCTTGGGAGAAGCTTTTATCTTTATACAGGGATAGAGCATGGGAATTTGAAAGCAGACAGAATTGTGTTTGAATCTGAGCTTTGCCATTCACTACTTCTGTGGATTCTTGGACTATTACTTAGCTGCCGTAAACCCAATTTCCTTATTTAGTTTTTGTGCTTGTCAGAAGTAGACTAGACCAAACAAGGGCATAAGTGAAATTCACATGAAACATCAGTTCCATTCTTCCCCTAGGCCTGTTTTGTCTTTTTGTGTAATGGAACTCAAATTTTCTGCCTCTGTACTGTTGTTTTTAACTACGACGTTAGTTATCATTGCTCATGAGTTACAAGGTTACCCATTGATGCCTTTAAAAATCCCAAATTTCAACAGTAAACATTTACTATATGAAAGTTTTTGTGGATCAGGAATTCAGAAGTGGCTTAGCTGAGTAGTTCTGGCTCAGGGCATCTCCTGGGATTTCAGTCACAATGGCCAGGGCTGCAGTCTTCTGAAAGTTTGACTGAGGTTGGAGGCTCAGCTTCTAAGATGGCTCATTCATATGGCCCTCTCGTCTGGTGGCAGGATACCACTAGTCCTGTCTTTGTGAACCTCTCTAAAGGGCTGTCTTTGCTTGAGTGTCCTGACAACATGGTGGCTTCGTTTCCCCAGAGTTAGTAATCCAGGAGAGAACAAAATGGAACCTGCAATATATTTTGTGAGCTAGACTTGGAAGTCATACACAGTTATTTCTACAATATCCTCTTGGCAATACCAGTCAGCCCTGTTCAGGTTGCATGTGAATACCAGGAGATAGAGATCACTAGGGTAGCTACTGAACACAGGTAAATCATCTCTGCAATTGACCTGTGGCATATAAAGTATGATGTCAATTACTATAGCTACTGTTACTTACAAGTTATGAACCGTGATGAAATCAATAACTCTGGTGTGTGACTGGTGCAATCAGTGTATTCCTTAGTTCATCTTGAATGAACTTGCTTATTTCTCTGTTGTGCAAATGCCAAACCACGTGATGTACACTGACAGGAGAGCCTGGGGAATGACTGTTCTCGTACTCAATGAATCTACAGTGGCCGGTTCAACAGATGTTGAAGAAAATACGTTCCCAAACACACCCTAAAAGCCAAAAATCCTACACAATTTAGGCTCTTGTTTGATGAAGGTAGAACATTTGTAGCAGCTGAGTGATCTGCTTAGGACCTCAGCCAGGAGAGTGTTCACAGCATCAAGCCCAACAATCCTGACCCGGAGAGACTTTGCTCCAGTAAGATCTAATTTGCCTTTAAGTAGAGCAGGCAATCAAGAAATGTTACTTTTATTATGACAATGATGATGATGAATAAGAAATGGCTTGAACAAGATAAATGCCTTCCAACCTCAGAAACACCAGTAACTTAGATATTAATGCACAGATAAAGAATCTCCTTTGCAACCCTTAGATGATCACATTCTTTTCCAAGAGTTAACACCAGGAAATATGGATCCCGTCTCTCATTGCATCATTTATAATATGCATTGCAAACTCATGAGATATAGTCATGGGAGGAGAGTTGTTCCTCCCTCTGAAATGCATTAGTTAGATCAGCTGTAAATCAACTCAGTATTTCTTGGGCTTAATTTCTGTATAGACTTTCCACCCCCTTTGAGAATAATGCTATGCTTGGTTATTTGGCATTTTCTGGTTTCCTTACTACTTGATTGGCCTCTTTAGGTCACCCATTGTGTTTTTTAATCTTAATTTTTGGTGAGAAGTTTAGCCAATTGCTTCCAAGAACTACCTTCTTTAAAATAAAGAATAAAAATAGAAACAAAAACAAAAACCAGAAACAGCTTTCTGTTCTAGTCTCTTCTACATAACCCTGAGGATGCCGGGGAGGGCAGTGGGAGAGTGTGAACTTGTCGGAACATATGCTTTTGGTTGACTGTGTGAATGTGCATGGAACACTTACAAGTGATGACTGGAAGTCAAAGTTTCTATAAACTTTTTCCCACTGCCCCTGCCTACACATGGCAAACACCACCATGGGTGGAAAGAATTTTGCATTGACAGCTGGCAGACAGAGATCTTGGGCTCTGGGCTATAACTCGGGCAGCAGTGGGAGGGGAGCACAATTGGCAAAGGGGGAGGATATTTTAGTTCAATCTTATTTTCTTTCTGTTTTATTATCTTTGTGTTAGTAGAATATTGAACACGTGAATGCACCATAGTATCGTTTTGTATTTACTCATTTCAAGGCCAATTCTAGTCCAATGCAGGGAGACAGAACACAGCCAAATTACATTGTTTAATGTAACATACCAATTAAAACTTGGGGGAGAGGCTCGGGGATCTCAGCCTCTTTGGGTTTGGGGGTTTTAGTCTCTAAAATTAGAAAGTTGCTCAGGGAATCACTAAAGTCATTTTCAGCTTTAGCCCTTTAGAATTCTGGAATGGGTCCCTGTTTGTATGATTCTCAGTATCTTCTGCCTTGGATGATGGCAGTGAGTGAATCAGCAAGAGCATGTCCAACAAATAGTCTCAAGGTGGCTCCTGGAGAGACAATGGAAACGGAACAACACCGTGCATAACTAGCACAGTGGCAGAGGGTGGACACTCCCACCTGTGTTCAATTGTTGCACATCAATCTGCATCTTTTTTGGTCACCCCTGAGAAGTAAATCACTGGTGGGTTTGAAATATAGATACTTTATCATGATAAATCCTCTTCCACATCTATAATTCATAAATATTGAAGAAGTGGGTGAAGGAATAAAGAATTTGGAAAGTGTAATGCTTTTATGAAGCAGACTTTGTTGAGTTTATTTAAAGATTATGCATATTTTGTTGGGTTTTTGTGCTGTTAAACTCTTCAGGGAAGAAAGTTTGAACGGTTAATTAAGAAATACCTGTCAGAATTCTATGGTACAATGGAGGAACCATTCAGAAATCAAGAGTGGTTCTTCTAGATGAGTTAAAATTGCAGGGACCAGGGAGTCGGTCATGTGTCTGGATTTTGGAACTTCTTTAAGGAGCCATGAGATATGAATGCGCCCCCCCCCCGCCCCCCCCTCCCCCCACCAAATAACTCAGAGTATGGATTACCGAAGACAAGGCCAAGGGCAGTCTCTACAGATACAAATTATTTGTCCTTGGAGGAGATGGGGGAAAGTAAACTGACCCACTAAAACTAGGGGCTTCTATAGCAAGGAGAAGGTACTTCATATCCCTGAACAGATGTGCTGCTGAGGGCGGGTGGCTGTGCCCTCCCAGCCCCAGGAGCTTTATCTCCGCCTTTAGAGCTTTTGTCTGGGAGAGATATGAAGGGAGTTCAAAGGACCCTAGAAAGGACAGCCTCATATTAGGAAACAGGGCTGACAACTAGGCAGGACAGGGGACAAGCTTAGTCAGTACCTAGGGGTTTGCATTCATTTTACTGCTTGCAGTAAAACAATTTGAAAGCAGATGATACATTCAATGTATCAATACATAGGCTTCTTGGTGGTGATGCTGTATATATTTGCAGCAGACACCATCAGCTGCCCATCCAATGTACATGTCGTCCCCTTTCTATCTAACAAAACCCTCATATGGTTTGTGGCCTCAACATGCCTAGTTAAAGAAAAATAACTCACCCAGGCAACTCTGCTGTTTCCAAAAGCCATACGACATAACAGGGCATTCAAAAGAAGCTGTAAATCGCAGGAAAGGGAGGCCCTCCAGAATAAAAAGGAATTGCTTTTCTGCCTTTGTTCTAGTTATCTTTTTCTTTCTCTTTCCTGCTGGATGGTGAGCCTGAGGACTGTGGTGCAGCAGCACCTTGTGACCTTAAGGCAAAAGCACAGACAAGCACCTCTTGCTAAGGATGAAAAGCTGGAAACAGCCAGATGGCACCAGAGAGTCTGTCCTGCCTGAGCTGAGTTCACCCTGTGTCTATAAGCCACTGTTGGCTTTCCTGTTCCTTGCAGCCAGAGGCAATCCAAATTGATTCAATGTGCTTCTGTCAAGAAAGCTTAAGGTTGAATTTCTAAAAGCAGCATTATTGAAAGAAACTTATCTATCTTCTCTAAGACAGATTTTGCAAACTCAAGTGTTTTTAATGTCATGACATGTAACGCCAGGGTTTAGTAAACCTTTTCTGCAAAGGGCCAGATAATAAATGTTTTTGGCTTTGTAAGCCAAACACAGTCTGTAGCAACTGCACAACTCTGGTGTTGTAGTATGAAACGGCCACAGACAATACATTCATTAATATATTCTTCTTTGTGTTTTGGGAGATATGCCACACCTTTTCTCACTCTCCAAAGCATTGCAGGACGGTTGAATGCTAACTCAAAGCTGAAACACTTTTGACATTTTATTTGAGAAAAAAATAGAAATATTTCCCCTTTTGATCTTTACTTTTAAAGCCCCTTCAATTATTTTCTAACAATATTCTTTTAAAAATGTGGTCCCATCTTTCCGATTAGAGTAATATACAGGCATTGCAGGAAAAAATGGAAAAATCTATTTATTCTACTACACAGAAATTCACTTACTGACACACAAGACATACACATTAAAACAACAGAAGCTCAAATCCATTGAAATGAATATCTCACTAGACTCCACCAGCTTTGGGGCTGGTTTAGTGGTTGTTATAGGAGTTTCGCAGGAGCAGCTGATATAAAAACAGACAGAAATACAGGGATACTGGAGGACACTTTTGTGATGCCCTTCTTCACCTTCCTCTGAGATTGGACTGCTTATCAGAGCTGTTTTCTGGAGGAAGTACTCAGAATACAATGCAGGTTGATTACTTCTGCCACAGCATAATGTCTAGCAGGCATAGCAAAGTCAACCCATTTTCTTACCAAAGAAGGGATCTCTTGATATAATTATTACTACATCTTTTAATTTACTTTTATTCTGATGTTTTCAAAGAAATGCATGCTCATTATACAGAATTTAGAAACATACAAATACCAAGTAGTAAAAAAATAATAATGATATTTTCTCTCTATTCCTGAGCCAACTCATTATACATTGGCATATTTCCTTCCACTTTTATTTCTGGACATTTTCCCCCCTATACATTGTTGATTTTTTTTATTTTTTTTCCTGAAAAATCGTATTTCAAACATTTTCCTGCTATTTAGATCTCTCGATAATCATGTTTGAAGAAGGATATAGAACCCCATCAGAGTGACCCCTTCCCTCATGTTGGACATTTAGGCCTTTGATATTTTATTGCTATAAATAGCTGGCCAGGCACGGTGTCGCATGCCTGTAATCCCAGCACTATAGGAGGCCGAGGCGGGTGGATCACCTGAGGTCAGGAGTTCAAGACCAGCCTGGCCAACATGGTGAAACCCTGTCTCTACTAAAAAATACAAAAATTAACCAGGCATGGTGGCGGGTGCCTGCAATCCCAGCTACTCGGGAGGCTGAGGCAGGAAATTACCTGAACCCGGGAGGGAGAGGTTCCAGTGAGCTGAGATCACACCATTGCACTCCAGCCTGGGCTACAAGAGTGCAACTCCGTCTCAAAAACAAAACAAAACAAAATAAAACAAAACAGCGTTGCCCACAGATTATTTTCTCAGGACAGATGACGAGAATGAAATTACCAAATCAGAATATACGAAAAATGGTAAAGTCAAATTTTTTTCCATAAAAGTTGCTTATTTAAAAAGTTGTGCTGCTACATCCCCCCACAGGAAATCTTGCTGCACTTTCCCCCACACTAAATCACATGGTTGTCACTGTGGCTCTGTTGTTTTCTGATTCCAAGTGTGATTAAATGTGACTTTTTTTTACATCTCTTGATTTCTTTTTCTCCTTCTATTTTTCCTCCTCTCCTCTTTTCTTCCTCTGTCTTCTCCTTTCTTTTTCTTTTAAAAATACTTAGACCTTCTGCTGCGGTCTGAATATTTCTGTCCTTTCCCGAAAATTTATATGTAGAAATCCTAAACTCCAAGTGGTGTGTGTGGAAGTGGGGCCTTTGGAGGGTGATTAGGTCATGAAGGTGGAGCCGTCATGGATGAGATTAATGCCCCTATAGAAGAGGCCCCAGAGAGCTTCCTCAGCTTCCTCTATGTGAGGATGTTACTGTAACACCAGGGGGTCTAGGCCCTGCAGCTTCAGGCACAGAAAGCAAATCACTGAGACAATGAGTATTTCCAAGGAAGAAGGCTTTAGTCGAGTTCTTCAGCCAAGGAGATGGGAGCTCACTCTCAAATCCATCTCCTCCCTGATCCACTAGAACTAGGTTTTTTTTTTTTTTTTTTTTTTTTTTTAGAGGGAGTCTTGCTTTGTCGCCCAGGCTGGAGTGCAGTGGCGCGATCTTGGCTCACTGCAAGCTCCGCCTCCTGGGTTCACGCCATTCTCCTGCCTCAGCCTCCCGAGTAGCTGGGACTACAGGTGCCTGCCACCACGCCCAGCTCATTTTTTTTTTTTTATTTTTAAATTTTTAAGTAGAGACGGGGCTTCACCGTGTTGGCCAGGATGGTCTCGATCTCCTGACATTGTGATCCACACGCCTCAGCCTCCCAAAGTGCTGGGATTACAGGCGTGAGCCACCGCACCTAGCCAAAACTAGAGGTTTCTATAGCAGGGAAGCAATGTAACAATATGTAAGAAAATAGGAACTAGGGAGGGGCAAGGAAACAATCATGATAAATGAGGGGTCCAGCATCTCATAGCCAGGATATGGTGATCTGGTGAGTTTCAGATCTGTGATACTTTTTTTTGAGAGGCATGAAGGTCATTCCCTGAGGAAGGAACTCAGATAAAACAATTGTAAGTTTCAAGATTTAAGATTAGAAGTGTCAATTTCTATGTTTATCAAACAAAATGAAACAAACAAACAAACCCCAAAAAACCTGTCTATGGGACAGTTGGGTCATTTTCAAGGACAGATGCAGAAGACATCTGTCTATAACCAGGAAGTGGGTCCTCATCAGACACTGAATCTACAGGCAACTTAATCTTGGACTTCCCAGCCTCCACAACTATGAAAAATAAATTTCTGCTGTTTATAAGCCACCTTGTCCATAGTATTTTGTCATAGCAGACTGAGCAGACAAAGACACCTTCCTTATTTCTCAAAAAATTTTAAAGTGCTTTTTCTCTTGAAAATTGTTTAATTAGCATTATTTTAAATCATGTCCGCTCTAAGCCTAGACCAGTCATTACTCATGCCCTGGGACAATTCAGGCTGTGTGGATAATATTGGGGTTTAGTTAGCAAGAAAGAGGAAGTAATGCTTGACGTTTTGCACCTAATAGTATTTGTCCTGAAACTGAATCCCATTTTATTACAGAAAACTTAGAATAAACTTAGAAAATAAGTAAATTAGTAACTTTTTTATATATACAAAATTATGTGTATATAGTACATTTTATTTTACAAATAGGATCATACCATATAATTCTGTATCTGTTGCTTACTATATTCAAATATAAATTGTGAACATCTTACCACAGTTTCCACAATGCCATTTTTAGTCAATGCATTATTTTCTATTTTGTGACTATATTGACGATTTCCACACTGTCAGGTATTTCTTCATATCACTAAATATTCTTCTAAAGCATCAGTTTCCCCTCTGTATAAATATATCATATTTTATTTACTTCATTGCAATCCTATATTGTTGGACATTAGGGTGGTTTTAATATTTAATGATTATAAATAAAGCAAAGAGAAATCACCATGCATACCCATAGTTTTTTCCTTTAACTTTAAACTTTTTCCTTAAACATCCTATTATTGCTGGGAAAAATGTATGCAAATTCTTGTGGTCATTGACACACATGGCCAACTTGCCCTCCAAAAAGGTTATATCAATTTATATTCTTGTAAGGAATGTCTACATGAGAATGTTTCATTCTCTATATTTTTATCAACATTAGGAGTTATGTGTTTATTGTCTTTGCCAATTGGATAAACCAAAACAAATTCCATTATTATCCTTGTTTGCATTTCTTTGATTATAAGTGAGTGAAATTTAACTTTTTTTTGTATGTCAATTGTCAATTTGTATTTCTCTTTCTGTGAAAAAATTTTACACATTTCTGTTCATATTCACATTGAATTGCTTGTCTTTTGTTTTGACAAAATTTATTAAGAATTATTTAAAAAGGATACTGAGTGTGTATTATCTTTGTTGGAGTACATTTTAATCAGGTTAGTTAACTGTTTTTTGTTTGTTTGTTTGTTTTGAGACTGAGTCTCGCTCTGTTACCCAGGCCGGAGTGCAACAGTGCAATCTCTGTTCACTGCAACCTCCACCTCCTGGATTCAAGTGATTCTCCTGCCTCAGTCTCCCAGATAGCTGGGATTACAGGCGTGTGCTGCCACACCTGGCTAATTTTGTAATTTTAGGAGAGATGGGGTTTCACCATGTTGGCCAGGCTGGTCTCGAACTCCTGACCTCAGGTGATCCACCCGCCTTGGCCTCCCAAAGTGCTGGAATTACAGGTGTGAGCCACTGCACCCAGCCAGGTTACTTAACTTTTGCTAACAATTTTGTGTATGGTATTTCTTGATAAGAAAAAGCTTAAATGACTATCAAGCCACGTCTGTTAATCATTTCTTTTATGGTTTCTGCCCTTGACGTCATTAGTGTTTTTTCATCAGTTTCCACGATAAATTTCTAAGTTTTTTTCTTATTGTAACAGATATTTCCCTACATTGTCATTTGCTTTTACACTTGCTTGTAGCCAAAAGGCCAATGTTATTTACTTCTAAGACACACACATATATATATATTTCAACAATACCAATGACAGTTTTTCTGCCAATCTCATAGCCTCTCACGCATGTGGGCAAAATGGCATATATATATATATATATATATATATATTTGTTATTTAGTCCAATCTGCTGACATATTTCTCTGTTATTCTTTTCCATGTTGTTTATGCTTAGAGACTCTTCGTATACGCAGAGATCAGTGAAGGGATCACCTAGCAGAGCCCTTCAGAGTCTGGGCTGCTAGGACTGAGTCCCGGCTCTGCTGTGACTGTGTGATGAGCTTCTCTTACCTCAGTCTCTTTGACTCAGTCAATTATATACTTGAAACTGAGTTTCCACTTCTTCAACTGTACAGTGGGCATAACTGCACATGGGTAATGGGTGGACTATTAGTTCTGTGCCTAGTACATACTAAGCTCTCAATGCTTTTCCTCCTAGATTAAAAACAAATAATTCACTTATTGTATTTGACTTCTGAATTTCTCTGGATTGTTTTTTGTTATAATTTAAAGTAACAATCCAAATTGATTTGGTTCTACAAATTTTTAAGCAGTCTTCGGCATACTATGAATGATTCTACCAGCAACTAAAATGACAGGTTACTGTTGTAACATTCTATAGTATCAGGTAAGATGTGTTCAAATAGATTCTAGTGTATATAAAAACAGAACTATACACAAGAAAGAAAATGCCACAAACCGATGGGGAAGGAATGAATTACTCAACAAGTAGTGATAGAAAAATTAACTGTACTTGGAAAAAAGATTTAACTAGATTCTCCCATATACATTGAAATAAATCCAGAAGAATAATGAGCTACATAAAAATATTAATGTATATCATCCTCATGTTACATATATATCACACACATATCAATAATCTAATAATGCTAACAAAAATTCAATATTAAGTATTGATCAGGTACCAGGCACTGAGCTAGGGCTTTATGCAAGTTATCTTATTTAATCTTCTCATAAATTATATGTTTTTGGTATTATTGATATTACCATATTTAACAAATGAGGATACTAAGACATAACTGAGGTTATATAACTGCCGTGGTTCCCCATGGGAAACAGCAAATCCGGGATTGGAACCCAGATAGTAGTTCTTCCCCAAACGCTGTGCTGCCTCACCATGAAAATAATGATAAATTTTACCTTAATTTTTTTAAAATAAAAAGATGCCTGTATTTCAAAGAACAGCCTTAATAAAATTAAGTAATATATAATCAGGAAAATATGAAAGTATTTCTATCCATTTATATAGTTGAAATTGAGTTTCCACTTCTTCAACAGTTGTACCATCAGGTATAATTGTAGATGAATTCAGATAAAATTTGGAGAGTGAGCTTGGGAGGGTCCAATAGAATATATAGGCTGTGTGGTATGTATGGTATTCACTCTTCAGGGCCCCAGAGGACAGAGTGCAACCAAAATAAAGATGTGATTTTCCCCCATCTGTATGACATGCAGAAATATAAGAAATTTTTCATGATGGCTTTCGTGAAGAAACATGCCAAATGCATTTAGGTGTCATGAACTGAGGAAGAAACTGGTTTCCCATCAGTATATGGGTCACATGGAGACTGCTGCTTTGAAAATGCAGACTTAGGCAAGTGATCCAGCTGCCTCTCATGTGGTCAACCTATGTAGTATGGACTAAGATAATCACCAGTAGTTTTATTTATTCAATAATAGCTAATGCTTCTCCAGGGACTGCCAGGGAGGCTGGCTGGTATTTTAAATATCACCACGAAAAAAACTTATGGTGAAGATGTGCAAATGACTAGACCATGACTGCTGAGTAACCCAACATCCATTTTCAAGCCCCCTTCACTCTTGCCCATCTCCATTATAGAGGCTGGAAAAACTAATAATCTTTTCCAGGCTCTTTTGTGGCTAGGGTAGACATGTTGCATAATTCTGGTCAATGGAACATAAGCAGAAATCTTTGTGAGGAGTGTGTGGGGGCAGATATGGCTGCCTTGTTCTTCCTCCCTTCTTTCTGGCTTGAATAAGGATGAGATGCTGGGTCTTCAGCAGCCATTTTGCCCACATGTGTGAGAGGCTATAAGATTGGCAGAAAAACTGTCATTGGCATTGCTGAGCTGCTGGACCAACCCTTAAAGCCAAATTCTTCAGACTTCTTAAAAAATTCTTTGTTTCTATCATTGGAAGTCATATTTTCTCTTACTTGCGGCTCAAAGTTTTCCTGACAAATACAATGTGCAAAATAAGAAACACAAATGGCTAATCAGATATTTAAAAAATAATTCCGCATCAATAATAATCAAATAAATGAAATTTGGCAAAGATTTTGAATAGATAATGACATTTAGTGCTTGGGAGGCTGCTGCAAGATAAGTATTCTCATTCCCTACTTATGGCATTTTAAATTGGTACAGATTTTCTCAAAAGATGCCGACGAATTTATGAAGAGCCTTCAAAGAGTTATTACTCTTTGATGGAGTTATTTCACTCTTGGGAACCATCCAAAGGAAATAGTTAATAACGGGAACAAAGATTCACATGTGTTGTGGTCCAAATTTTATAAGAAAGAAAAGCATGTATCTTCATAGATGTAGACTGGTAGAAAACAAAATAAAAACGTTAAGAATTGTTACCTCTTGTTTTGAGTGATATTTTTCTTTTTCTTTTTCAATTTTGCCTTTAGGAAAAATGTGTATTTATTTGTAAATTAGAAAAAAAACAAATGTTATTTAAAAGAGTAGTAACACTGAAGGCTCAAGACTCTATTCTTGGAATCTACTGCTTTTCTGCAAGTAACAGTAGGGCACCTTTATAGGTCTTTGCTTATAAGCCCTTCTTTTTATTTATTTTGAAATATGTTACTGTGAGACAGAATTTACTGGACAGAGTCATCATATAAAAGCCTGGGAATGATTGAATGCACACATACATTCACTTGAACTTCACAATGGTCCTGGGAGTCATGTGAGGTTGTTATTATGCCCATTTTTACTTCTAGGAAAGGGAAAGAAAGGAAAATTTAGCAAAAGAAAGGAACACTATCTTCCTGAAGTTCACTCACTGGTGTCAGGCAGAGTGAGAGCTGGACCCAGGTCAGCGAATTCTAAGCCCTGAGCTCTTGTTTCAACGCTGGGATTTCTACCATGCATGGGTGAAACACACATTCAATCAGAGCCCCAGTTAAAGTTCCCTGTAATTGCAAAAGAGACCAAAGAGAGAAGCTTGTGTTATGTCCAGACCGGAAAAGGGTGAGGAACAACTGCAAGCAGTAGAAATTATACACATTCTGAATGCTTATTTATACAAATCCCTCCACCCACATCTGTAACATAAGCAATGTGCAAAAAAGAAAATCTATTTTTGAGCTAAGTACCAAAGCAATTATTGTTAACAAAGAATAAACTACTAGTACAAAGTTGTGTAGATCTTCATCGGAGAATGAGAAGAGGGTGGGAGATGAAATTGTGTGTGATACAGAAGAGACATAGAATTGCATTTGTGTAAACTGATAGAACTGATTCAAGCTGCTGTGTTCCCACGAATTTCCATCTTTCCTTTTACATATGACGCCCTGGCCGAACTTTTAATTCTAGAAATTAACTTTTCTTCTTGAGACGGGTGTGATGAATGTTGTGAGTTAGAATATTCTCAAATAACAGCATGTATATGAAAGAGATGGTTCAGCTAAATGGGCAACACGGTGTTATCTAATTTTTTTTTTTTTTTTTTCCTGAGACAGTCTCACCCTGTAGCCCAGACTGGAGAGCAGTGGTGCTATCTCAGCTCACTGCAGCCTCCACTTCCTGGGTTCAAGTGATTCTCCTGCCTCAGCCTCCCAAGTAGCTGAGATTACAGGCGCCCTCCACCACGCCCAGCTAATTTTTGTATTTTTAGTAGAGACGGGGTTTCACCATGTTGGCTACGCTAGTCTCAAACTCCTGACCTCAGCTGATCCAACTGTCTCAGCCTCCAAAAGTGCTTGGATTACAGACATGAGCCACCACGTCCAGCCTCTAATTTTTAATAGGGATGAAAACAAATGGCAAAATGTAAAGCTGCAAAGATACAGTCATTGCTAATTATGACCTATCATTAAGAGAGAAGGTTCTGGCCGGGCGCGGTGGCTCATGCCTGTAGTCCCAGCACTTTGGGAGGCCAAGGCGGGCGGATCACGAGGTCAGGAGATCGAGACCACCCTGGCTAACACGGTGAAACACCATCTCTACTAAAAATACAAAATATATATATATATTAGCCACGCGTGGTGGTGGGCGCCTGTAGTCCCAGCTACTCGAGAGGCTGAGGCAGGAGAATGATGTGAACCCGGGGAGTGGAGCTTGCAGTGAGTGGAGATCGCGCCCCTGCTCTCCAGCCTGGGTGACAGAGCAAGACTCTGTCTCAAAAAAAAAAAAAAAAAAAAAAAAAAGAGAGAGAGAGAGAGAGAAGTTTCTTTAAAAATGTAGTATACATGCCAGAAAATCGACAAACCCTTTTTAAAAGTGACCAGACCCAATAAAAGAATCCTCTGTGTGTACAGTTTTCAATGTCCCTCAGCCACTTCCTGAAAAGCTCAGCCTGGCCAAGTCACACATGGTGGAGGAGCTTTGGCTTCAGGACATTGCTCCTCTCCTCCTGGCTGAGGGACCCTCTCATCCCTGAAAGTCCATGTAAAACAAACTCAGACCCATTAGAAGCAAGAGGGCAAAGATATTGCATTTCTTTATGGACTACTGCCTGATTTTCATTAAGCTTATTCAGATTTATTTTATACCCTGGACGCTTGAGTTAGTGCTTACTTTTAAGTTGTCAAGGGATCATTTCAGAAACGAAAATATATGGCTTCTCTCTTTATATAGACCTTTTAGTTCTCTGCTCACTTTCTCTATTTAAGTTCTATTCCCCCTGTTTTTAATTTATTACTTTTTAAGTGTTGTTTAAGTAGCAGATGTTTAGACACTTTTTAATCGGGGAAACTGCGAAGTGTAACTGCTGGGTTTGGCAGGCGGCAGGTCCCGGAGCGCCTGGCCAGCTGATAAACGTGTTCTGCTCACGACATCATTGTGCTGCAAAAGCGCAGAAGCAATGTGACCATAATATCACACTGCCAGACATCTTTCTGTGAGGATCAAGAAGAGTTCTTCAATTAATCAGTCAAATTGGCCAAAGCGGAAGGGCTGCCTAAGGAACATGTCAGTTCTCACTGTCAGATAGGTAAAATGTCTAAGGGCTGAGGCATGCACCTCAAATTAAAATAAGGTCAATTTGCAACCTGGGTGGAAGGAATTTAGTGAAAAAGTGTGTTTGTCTTTTGGCTTGATTGCAAAAGCAAAGTTGGAAACATTTAAGCTGCACCCAGTGATGTCTCTCAGCTGTGAAGCACCCTGGGTGTAGGTGAGCCTGCTCAGGCAGTGAAGGGAGAGTGTTGAGAAAATAAATGCCAACTCTCTCCTCTTCTGCCATTTGTCTATTCCCTCCAGAGTCTTAGTGAAGAGTGAATATTTCAAAATCAACACAGAAACCTACAAGCTTTCTTCTTTCAAAACAATTTTCCAAGGAGCAAAACGTCATGAGCCTGCAACACAGGAATGGACTGAGATGCATGCTGAAATTCTGATACTAGTTTGTGAAATCCTCTGGCTCACTCATTTTTGATGTTTTCTGTTACCCGCCTCTGCCCCAGATGGATACACAGCAACACGCCTGGATGTGGTCCTGCAGGAAAGCATTCACTCATTTATTCATTCATTTATACTATTGCCAGGTTACAGGTGACTGTGATATGGTTCCCACCAGCAAGAGGCGTGCGAGAGGGAGAAAAGGCTGGGGCCAGGGTAGGAGGACCTCTCTGTGCAGCTCTATTGCTGTGGAGCCTGGGACAAACCATTTAAGCCAGCTGGGTCCCCTTTCCTTGTCCATGTGATGGAAATAATGATGCTTCCCCTGGAATGATGCTTTCTACCTAAGAGTCTCGTAAGGGTGTTTGCTAAAAGTGCAAAGTCTAAAGCCAACCCTAACCTGTTGGATCACGTGCTCCAAGCATCTGCATTTTGAGTTTCCTCTGTAAGTGAATGTGATGAGAACCTCAGATGCCACGTTGGGATCCCTTCTGTATTTAAGGCCTCCAATTCTCGGCATGATTTATTATCTATGAGATTAGGGTGGAAGTAGATGAAACCATCTCTCACCTTCTGGGCTGGCCTTGCTCTACTGATTTCAGCCTGGGATGCTGCTATGGTTTGAATGTTTGCGTTCCCTCCAAAATTCTTGCTGAAACTTAATCCCCAGTGCAACAAGAAGAAGAGGTTCAGCCTTTAGGAGGTGATCGGGCGTTGAGAGCTCTGCTCTCATGAATGAGTTTGTACCTTATGAAAGGGCTAGAGGGGGTGATTTGTCCTTCCCACCACATGAGGACGCAACGTTTGTCCCCTCTGGAGGATGCAGCAACAGGAGTCATCTTGGAAGCAGAGAGCAGCCCTCACCAGACACTGAGCCTGCCAGCACGTTGATCTTGGACTTCCCAGCCTCCAGAGTTGTGAGGAATACATTTCTATGATTTATAAATTACCTGGTGTCAGGTATTTTGTTATAGCAGCAGGAATGGACTGAGATGCCTGCTGAAATTCTGATACTAGTTTGTGAAATCCTCTGGCTCCTTACAACCTGAATCCATTCATCGACCCATCTTGCTGGTGGCACAGAGACTGGGGAGTGTGTGGCATGAGGTTGGATTCAGAGGGAGGGGTTCAGGGGTGTCAGGGATGCCTTACAGAAGAGAAGGCACCTCACTGAGGCCTGTCTTATTTATTGTCTGATGAGCAGGGGAGTTTGGAGTGGAGTGGCTGAAGTTGTCCCTGGCACCTGTCAGCCTGGTCTTTGCCTCTTGCCGTCCTGGGAGTCAGGACACTGAGGCCCAGCTGAGCAGCACCTGCCTCTGTTTCTTTATCTATAAACAGGGGATAATAAGGCCTGGCCGTTTTGCCCAGTGGGGTGATTTGAGGCTCCAGGGAAACATGGCAGGCACATGAAAGGCTTTTGACAACCATCAGGTTTATCAGAAGCTCTTTCTCCACTTCCTGACCTGAATTATCTTTGCCCTCAACTCATTCCTCTTGACCCTACTTAGTGACGGATGATGAGTTTTTGTTAATAATGGATTATTGGTTTGGAAATGATGGATGAGAATGTAAATGCTTTTCCCCATCAACCTTCACTTCCAGGAAGAATTTTGGGGCCAGTGGCCTTCTGGGGGATCTACAGAAACCACCTCAAGCACCCCTAGCATGGAGCTCTCTTTACCTATTCCTGCAGGCAAATTAGCCGATGGCATCACTATTTTTCTTTCTAGTTTTGTATGGAGGTGATTTAGGAGATCATTTTTAGCTCTTCCAATCTGACTGCCTACCCTGCAGACTTCAAGCATAAGCACTAGACACAAAGAAAACAGGTTCACGGAGACTCTCTAACCAGCTCCCACAATTGCATAAAGTTAAGTCCCTAAAATAAATCTCTCATATCGTCTATCACTTCCTAGTGCTTCTGTTTCTCTGAACTAACCCCAGCTGATACAAGCAGGATTCTATTTGCAACACTGGACTGGGACTGGCTGAGCATTTTAAAAAATGGGGAGCCTCAGGTCCCACGCTTCAGCTGCCCCTTGGGTTTAATAGTTTTTACCATTACCTAACTATTCCGTCTGATTTGTGTAGCTTGAAGGCATCCTATTAAGGTTTCAGCAAGTTTCCTTCTCTCAATTATTTTCTGCCTGATGGAACTCTGGGTTCTTTCCTTACTTTTCTGTCTTTAGAGAGATCTAAGTGACACTGGAGTGGTGGCTACTGTCTGTCTCAGGCATTGGCCTTGTCTTACAGCTGTGCTGCCCCACGTGTGACCAAGCCCTGGGAAGAGCAGCACTCAGCCAAGTGACAGCAATGGCCTTGTGCTTGCAGCTGAGTTCCTTGTGGGATCGCTGTGGATCCTGCTGCATAGGCTCACCTGCCCTCCCCAAGGTGGTGATGCAGGCTTCCCTGCTGCTGCTCAGCTCCAGCCCATGGTTGTGCAAATTCTACTCTCCCAGACTTTCCTGGTGGTGGTCCCAGCACCTTTCCAGGAGGTCCCCTGAGCAGGCTTTAAGATCCACTGTCTCTCTCCTACGTGCCCACACCTGGTCCCTGGACAGCACCACCTCTTGGTGGAAGTGGACATCACACCCACTGTGTCCAGTGCTCCTCTCTTTGTTCTGCTGCCGCAAGCCCACAGCCCACAGCTCCTCATCAATGGGTTCTTTGCTCAGGTGGCAAACATAGTCCACCAGGCCTCCCAAAATCCAGGGCACATGGAGCAAGGTCACAATCAACCCTATAGAAGTCAGTCTCTTGGCTTGAGATGAAGGGGGGCACACACTTCCACCCACCCACTTCCCTCACCCACCCCCAGAAGGTGTCTCATAGTTTTCTCTAAAGAAATCCTTTTCACTAACCCTCTGCTTCTCAAGCCTGACCTCTTTATGCCCTTGATGTGGGTGAATTATCTAACTAGTTCTTTCTCTAAAGAAATCCTTTTCACTAACCCTCTGCTTCTCAAGCCTGACCTCTGTATGCCCTTGATGTGGGCGAATTATCTAACTAGTTCTTTATCACCTACTTTAAATGTTTGCATTACGGTCTGTTTTACAATTCACTTGTAGTCTAAAATCTATCACTTTCTTGATGCCCCAGAGAAAGCTTCTCATGTAATATCTTGTTCCATAGGATGGCAAAACTTTGACAACGCACCCCAGGGAGATGGTGTCACGTGCAGAATCGGGCACAGGAAAGTGTCAGGGATATCATGGTCCTAGGTGGATGACCACGCCATAAGATTCCCTTGGCTCACTCCAGTGGCTCTGGTTTCAAGATGGCTAACCTGCCTTTTCATGATAATTTGTCTTTTGGTGTATTTGTGCCTTCAGAGAGGGGGCAGTGGTAATCAGCTACCACATGGTTATATTTCTTGTTGTAAGTTAATTCATCAATATCATGCTAGGTTTGTAGGCTGACAAACCACTGGAAAGAGCTGGAAACGGAAGTTCCATGCCTTCGGAGGGGCTGCCTCCCAGCAGGAGGCTCCCTCCCTCTCCACCTGCAGCCATCCAGCCTCTAGTTTTACAACCTTGCCTCATCCTTTTCTGTTCATTTCTTGGGGTGTATTTCCTTCTCCTTTCCCTCAAAGCAGTCCTCGTTCACTAACAGTTTTATCATGTCTATGACTAAATTATAAGTGACTCAGTGACATACTGGGAGTTTTGTCAGATTCCATGAAGTTCTAGAACTGCCCAGAACTTGTACTGTGACTTTATCAACACCTGGTGAAAAGAATCAAATTGAATGTTTCCTACAGCTCTGAGAACAGGAATTACAGTACTCAGAGATATTCTTGGATGGTCAGGAAAACTAGAATGCAGTAGAGGACTTGGTTTAACAGATCTTTACAGCTGATATCTTCTCAACATCCTCTTTACCATAGAGGATCCGCCATCTTGGAGCCTATCTGAAGACTAGTCAGTGAGGTGCCAAAGAAGGGGGTGTCTTCACAGTGAGGCTCTGGAGTAGCTGGAGGGGCAGAGTGGAGTGCTGAAAAGAAAACAACCACTGAAAACATGTATTGAGCACGTATATTGCACCTGGCATGGTCTAAGCACCAACCATGAACTCTCTCACTCAAATGCTCATTAAGAACCTACCACAGATGGTGGGCTGGCAACCATCTTTCCCTGAGTCATACAGCTCTTAGTGGTGGGGCTGGATATGAACCAGGCGGTCCTACTCCTGAATGCACATTCAGAATCACTCTGTTTTTCCCCAGGGGCTTTTCAGCCTGGGAGGCAGCACTAGATGTCCTGGTCCTGCTACCTACTGTCTCTAGGGGTTTGGAGCAAGTTCTTTGATACAGCTGAATCTCAGTGATATGGTTTGGCTGTGTCCTCACCCAAATCTCATCTTGAACTGTAGCTCCCATAATCCTCATGTGTTGTGGGAGGGACACAGTGGGAGATAATTGAATCATGGGGGTGGAGCTTTCCCGTGCTGTTCTCCTGATAGTGAATAAGTCTCACAAGATCTGTTGATTTTATAAAGGGGAATTTCCCTGCACAAGCTCTCTTCTTTTGTCTGCCGCCATGTGAGATGTGTCTTTTACCTTCTACCATGATTGTGAGGCCTCCCCAGTCATGTGGAACTGCGAGTCCATTAAACCTCTTTCTTTTGTAAATTGCTCAGTCTTGGGTATGTCTTTATCAGCAGCATAAAAATGGACTAATACACTCAGTTTCTAAATTGAAGTCAGCATCTTAATACTTAGTGGGCTGTGAAGGTGAAGAGAGAGGATAGGATGTGGAGGACTGGCTTGTGCAGGGTGCCACTCTCCTTCCTCTCTGGAACACCTCTCCTCCCCTCTGCCCCACCACAGGCACAGATACTGTCTGGTATATTTTGGTAAAAGATAAAAGCCATACATGAATGAAGGTGGTGGTGGTAGGGTGTGTTTTCAGGAGGTGAGCATGATGTGGGGCTGAACCTTCCAGAAAAGGAGCAGCCATATGAAGAAGCCCTTTGTTGTGATGCCGGGGAAAGCCAGAAGGGGAGCTGTGTGTCCTTGGCTGGATGGCCCAGGTCTTGCTGCAGGGCTCGCTGCACTTCCCCCCACCCTTCACACCTACTACATCACGTTCATCTTTCATTTGCTGCCTCCCTGTTCACTGATGTCTACATGCTTTCCCCTTAAAAATAGCTTTCTATTGATTGTTCTTTTCTAGAAAATAATTTATGTTCACTGGGGAAATTTTAGAAAGCATAGGCAAGCAAAAGCAAAAAATTTAGAAGTCACCTACACATTAACCTTTTGTTTACCCATTATTTCTCATTCCTCCGATTGGAAGATGATTTTTTATTCTTTTATTGGTTACTATTTTGCTAAACATAGATCTAATTTCCTAGCCCCTTTCACGCTGGCAATGCAGGTGATTCATACTGGTCTTCACCCAGATCCTCCCAGCGAGGGCACAGCTGGATGCCCAGATGCATTCAACTGCACCTTGGGTGAAATGAAATTGGTTGCTTTGTTTATTCTGAAGCCATCTTCTGGAGTCCCCATGTGGCTCTACGACAGTCAGACCTGGGGAGACCACTGCTCTTCACTCTTCACACTTCTGTAATGATCAATGCACAGTCCCATCGATGCCACCTCCCGTGCATCTCTTCCTTCCTCCTCAGCTCTGCCATGTCCTAAGCAGGCACCATCACATCTATCAAGACAGTTGCAGAAGTTCCCCCAACTGCTCCCCTTGCTTCTTTCTCTTTCTCTCTCTACGCTTGAGCCTCTGATCCTTCCAGAATGCAAATCTGATCAGGTCACCCCTCATGTCAAAAAGAAAAAAAAAAAGCCACCTACAGTGCCCCTTTGCTTATAGAATGAAGTTCAGTGTCATGGTCTTGCCTCCCCAGACTTCACAACCTTGAGTCCCTCCTCTTGGGCCTACTTGTCAGCTGAAGCCACAGCTGCACTGAATAGCTTTCTCTGACCTTGGTGTGTCTGGTCTGCTCCCTTTGCTGAGAAAATCACCACTCCACCCACTCCATTCTTTATCAACACCCCAGGAAGAAGCCTCCTATTAAGCCAGAGCTTTGCCAAGAGGTTCTGAGCATTGACTGACAGCAGCTCCAGCTTCAGAGGTGGACCGAGCTTCCCAAATGACACTTTCCATGTGATCGAGACAGGTGGGCTAGACTGACAAGTGGTGGCAGAGGTAGCCCCAAGGGAGGGTGAACAGCTGTGCTCTCATTAGGGTGATGGCATGGGGGAATACAGCACTCTCTACCTTTGGTTACCAGTGAACAAAAATCTCCCCTGTCATACTCAATTCTCGTAAATAAGTGGCTTGCCAGAGGCGCACTGTAGTTAAACCAAGAGCCATCCTTTATAAAGATGCTAACTGGCATTTTGCAAGGCACCAGGGGTCTCTGAGGCTCATCTATGATCCTCTGTGGGGTACTCCAGGCTGTTTTAATTGCATTTGCCAAGAGGTCCAGCATCTACGATGGTCTGCCTTGTAAACCACACACACAAGTGCATGCACACGTGCACACACACACACACGAAAGGAGAACAATTTTGTAAATGCATTTCTGTGGAATTTTCACAAAACTACAGTGTCAGTGTTTTGTCTAATTTGGATTGTTCACTGTACTTCCTGGTTTAAAATTATGGGGAGTACATGGAAACGCAGTCTGTCTGTTTTTCCCAAAACTTGACTTTCCAAATGTTTAATGCTTAACTTTGCCAAATCCCTTGCACACCCAGAATTTATTTCCAGAACTGTGGAAGGATTTCTCTATTTTTCCCCTATTTGTCTGGGCATGGAAACCTAGCAAGTGGACCAGTGGATCTTGTTCATCCCAAGGAGAAAACTTTCTGTGTGAGCCACCACTGAGTGCCTGTCCAGAGACGCGTTTGAATAAATCAGGCCATTAACTTGTTGTTCATCGTCATTGACTCCCGAGAAACACCCATGATAGACATTGTGTGCTCCAAACAGAAGCAGGCAATAGCATGTTTGATCAAGAGATGTCAAAACTTTTTTTTATTTAGATGCTCCTTTACCAGCAGAATGTTGAATTAGATATATATTTTTTAAATTATGCTGAGCACAGAAAGAGGCATCTTTTCATGCTCATTTGTGATGGATTAGTTTGAGCAAATTCTGAGCTACCTGTGATTCTAGAAACTTTCCTCTTCTCCAAAGGAGTTTGGGAAATGCCTGAAGTTGTGCAGCCCACTCCACTGTGCCCATTCTAGATCATTAATACTTTCATTCACTCAACATTTATTTGACACAGTCTGTGCATAGGGCCTAGGCTTGTTGCTAAGGAAAAGAAGATGAACAGGGCAAAATCAAATGGAAACCCAGAGGAAACAGGATGGGTGCTTTTGAAGGCTGGACGATTTCGTAGAGAAGGTGACTTTTAAGTTGGATCTTGAAGGAGAAAGAGAGGCACAGCAGTGCCTGGAGTAGAGGCAGGTTGTTTGTTGGTTGCAGAGATATTTCACCCAGCTCTTTAAAGAGAAGAGCCATAATGGAGAACATTTCTCAAGTGGATAAAAGAGAATGACACAAGAGAAATACTTCGTACACTTCCCATATCATTTTTTAGAGAGTCAGTAAATATTAAAAACACATATTGAGTTTAACAGTACTGTGAGTCTTCACTTCTTAAGTCACATCCATTGCCCATTGTTACTGTTTTTCTTTAAAGATAACATATATGGTATTTGTTAATTAATATTATTTAGACAGGATATGTTCTATTTTATTTTTATTTTTCTCTCCAAACATTTTTTACCTATGAATTTTTAAGGGAATGGATATTTAACAGTGATGAATGAAAAAGTAAAAATGTGTCTTTATAGTGACCATGAAACCAATACGTATAGTTAGTTGTACTTTGGGTAGGGATTGCAAAACATTCTGGGGATGTCATTTGCCCTCTTGTGTTGGAGTAGCCCTAAGACATGTAGTTGGAGCAAGCTGCTGAGACTTGGGGAATGCTTGTTACCTGCCATGTCTTAGCTTTAGCTGATTAATACAATGAGGTGGAAGACTTAGCTGAAGAGATCACAAGAGGCCAAGTGATTCTATTCTAGGCATAATAGGTAGCCACTACAGGATTCTGAGCAGAGGAGGCACTTTTTTCTACTTACATTTTGAGAGGCTCACTCTGGCAGCTCTGTGGAGAACTGATTAAAGAGGAACAAGAACAGGGAATCAGACACGAGTAAGGAGGCTCTTTCAGTGGTCCAGATGGGAGGTGAGGTGCTGAGCCGGAGTCAGATTCAGGATGTGCCAGGCAAAGGTAGCAGGATTTGCTGACAGATTGCATCTGGAGCATGAGAGAAAGATAAGAACCAAGGACAATTCCTAGGTTTTGGCACCAAGCAGTGGAGCAAGTGATGTCATTTATGGAGATGAAGAGGATGGATGGATCATAGGCCAATTTAGGGGACAAGTCCATCAAGAGCATTGTTTTGGTTGTTAAGTGAGAAATGCCTCTCTTACATTGGGTTTCCTAGAAGAAGAGCCTGATATGGGGATTTTTGTGCAAGTAATTTATTGAGGGCAGTCTCTGAGGAGTGATGAGAGATGTGAAATAGGGCTGAGAATAAGCTGGGCAAAGACGTGGTTCCAGCTGAGGTCTCACTTCAGCCTACTCACACATGGACACTCGGGGCACTGTGGAGTTGTCCCTCCTTAGTGCATGGAAGCTGGGCTTTTGGGTTCCTGTATCAGTCAGTCATTGGGTAGGACACCTGCTCACCCCTTCGAGGGAATAATCTCCTAAACATTTCTGGTGAGTGGTCTTTTATCAGTAAAGGCATCTTTACTTTGATGTTGCTGGAAAAACCATGCAAGAGGGAAGAGATGAAATGCAGGTGGTTATAGGATAGAGTCAGAGAGAGAGGGAAAGGCTAGCTCATAAATGGCTTTGAATGCAATGTCAAAAAGCTGGGATTTTAGGCAATGGGACCAAATACCTGAAGAGTTTTTTTTTTTTTTTTCCTTTCTTTTTTTTGATATGGAGTCTTGCTCTGTCTCCCAGGCTGGAGTTCATGATCTCGGCTCACTGCAAGCTCTGCCTCCCAGGCTCATGCCATTCTCCTGCCTCAGCCTCCTGAGTAGCTGGGACTACAGGCGCCCGCCACCACACCCAGCTAATTTTTTGTATTTTTAGTAGAGATGGGGTTTCACCATGTTAGTCAGGATGGTCTTGATCTCCTGACCTCGTGATCCACCCACCTCGGCCTCCCAAAGTGCTGGGACCACAGGCATGAGCCACCACGCCCGGCCGAAGAGTTTTAAGAAGAGAACAAGTGTGGTAAGATCTGTATCTCTTTCTGGAAATATTTTATACCCTTGTATGTAGACTTGTGTGCCTATACTGTATGCTCTCTCTCTTTCTTTTTTTTTTTTATTTAATAGAGACAGGGTTTCACCATGTTGACCAGGCTGGTCTTGAACTCCTGACCTCAGGTGATCCGCCCACCTTGGCCTCCTGAAGTGCTGGGATAACGGACATGAGCCACCGCACCTGGCCTGCTCTTTTTGAATCTATGGGAAATCATTACAAGGATGTGTCTTTATCACTGAAGTTCCATTGCATTTTCCTGCAGCTTAGAAAAGATTTCACCTTTCCAAGTCTCCAGCCAGTTTGGATGTTCACTTTCAATTTCTTTCAACATTTTTAAAGCTAATGATGCTGGAAAATAATGCAGAAATCATTAAATTATTAACTTAGAAAGTTCTTAAAAAACGTATCCCCTGAGTTTAAAAAATCTTATCAGCATTTTCTTCCTGATGTATCTCAGGAAATTTTTCTTTGCAAAGTGGGATAAACATTGTTGTCAGATAGTCCTGTGAGTTAAACATGTACAATTTTACCCAGCTTTTGGCCAGCTGAGTTCAAAACAAGGACCATAATTTCCTGGAAACATCTGGTTCTCTAACCACCCTCTGGCATGATCTTGGTAATTCTTAACTGTTATTTTGTGCCATTTCATCAGCCTTTATTTAGTTTACATTATTCATTCATCTTGGAAAGGAGTCCTTAATGCTTATCAGAACCCACTTCTTCCTAGCCTCCTTCCTTTTAAAAACAGTGTAGCTAACTCTTATTTTTGTCCTAAGAAAGCAACAAAAATGTTTAATACTTAAGCTCTCAGGCCATGCTGACTTGGTATAGAAGGGGTTTCTTCAATATATGTTTATTGTCTGAGGAAGCATTACAGTTTCAATCATATTGGCTTTCTGATTGCTGGTGGGAATGTAAATCTTCACAACTGCCTTGAAAAGCTACTTGGCAGAACCGACTAAACCTGACAATCCACAAACCCTATGACTACCTGGCAATTCCATTTGTAGGTGCCAAACACAAATACATACATATGTTCACAAACAGACAAGTACAAGAATGTTTATAGTAGAACTATTTCTTTTTTTTTAATTTTATTATTATTATACTTTAAGTTTTAGGGTACATGTGCACAACGTGCAGGTTAGTTACATATGTATACATGTGCCATGTTGGTGTGCTGCACCCATTAACTCGTCATTTAGAATTAGGTATATCTCCTAATGCTATCCCTCCCCCCTCCCCCCACCCCACAACAGTCCCCGGTGTGTGATGTTCCCCTTCCTGTGTCCATGTGTTCTCATTGTTCAATTCCCACCTATGAGTGAGAACATGTGGTGTTTGTTTTTTTGTCCTTGCGATAGTTTGCTGAGAATGAGGAAACTATCCAAATGCATAACAACAGTGGAATGGGTAAATTGATTGTGGTATAACCACACAATGGAATACTATTCAGCAATAAGAATGAATAAACTACAACTGCATGCAACTATATGATTAAATGTCTTAAACATGATATTGAGCAAAAGAAGCTAGACATGAAAATGTATATACTACATGATTCCATGTATATAAAGTTCAAAAATAGGCAAAAATGGAATTAGAAATCAGGCTGGTGGTTACCCCAGGGGAATGTTAGTGACTGGAAGGATCTCAATGGTTTGTAGATGACAGTCATATTCCATTTTTTTTAAAATTATTTTATTTATTTTATTTTTACTTTTACTTTAGATTCAGTGGGTACATGTACTTGTTTGTTGCTTGGGTATTACATGTCTAATGATGGAGATTGAGATTCTATTCTACCCATTATCCAAATATTGAACATTGTACTCAATAGGTAATTTCTCAACCCTCACTCCCCTCCTACGCTCCCCCATTTTGCAATTCTCAGTGTCTATTATCCCCATCTTTATGTCCATGTATACTCATGTTTAGCTCCCATTTATAAGTGAGAAGTCATGTTTCATTTCTTGATCTGGGTGGTGGTTCCTCAGATGCTTCAACTCTATAAAAGTTTTTCAAGTTATACAGTTTTGATTTGTTTATTTTTCTATATATATGTTATACTTCAATTTAAAGGTTAAAAAAATCCAGAAAGCATAAAAAGAAATAAAACATCAGAAATAATTCTAAACATGTCAATAAAAGTAAATGAGATAAATTTATCCATAAAAGGAAAACACTCTTTAGAAAAACACAACAGATAATCATGTTTGTAGTCAGATAAAGTTGTACTTTCCTAGTGTCTTCATATCAACCCAAAGGGTATGAGATTTCACAGACCCAATTAAATTTACCTCACTCATTTAGGAGGGGAGAGAGAAGGATAAACAAAGAGAAAGAGAGACAGAGAGAGAAAGGGAGAAAGAAAGAAGGAAAGAAAGAAGGGAGGGAGGAAGAGAGGGAAGAAGGAAGGAAGGAAGGAAGGCAGGAAGGAAGGAGGAAGGAAGGAAGGAAGGGAGGGAGGGAGGGAAGGAAGGAGGGAAAGAAAGAGGAGACAGAGAGAGAAATAATTATTTCTTGAAGGACTTGAATTTCAGAGTTTACTATCGTTTGGTTTAGGAACAAAGCATAAACTATCCCATTCCCTTTTCCTCTTTGAAGTTGCTTTTTAAAAGCATAACAGAGAAGTGGTTCCATAACCTTTGAACATTGATCAGCTTTTGTCTCTTGCATGATGTCTTACAGACCTTCCCAGTTTCCATCAGTTGCCATCCTTTCCTTGACTTGCAGCATGCCAGGTTCACTCCTCACACCTGGCAGTTAACCAAGAATGCCCCCTCATATCCTTGCTTTGTGTCTGTACATCCCATTTGGCATCAGGAACTTCTGTCAGCTCAGCTCCCACACAAGAGGCAAAATCCTGGAGGCCAGAGTTACGGCTTCTTCATCTGTGTTTCTCTGGACCCCAGAGCCAAGTTCTTAATGAATGCATGATAAATGGCTATTGTGGATTTTCCTGGTTTATTTTTGAATGATATTCCCTGGGCATCTCCTGCATTGTGGATGATATTCTGTTGAATAGATCCCACCTCTTGGAAGCATCTTTCTGAAACAGAGTCTGTGCAGCCCGAATGCACAACACTTAAGAATTCCATCCACTGCACAAACATGGCAGTCACAGTTTTGGGGTTGGTTTTCTATTTGCATTTTCCAGAATTGTTCATTTTATTAACTTGAGACCTTAACACCAGGGAGAACTGTAGTTGTTGCTTAGACACCCTCAGCCCTCCTTATGCAAGACAGCTTTTCCTCAATCCCAGTTAGAGGGGTTGGATTTGATAAGGATTTATGCCCTTAATGGTCTTCCTTACAGAGGAGGAGAAGAGTACCGGGTCGGTTTTCTTTTTAACCATCAAACTCTCAATTACTCATGGCAAGAACGGCATGTTCTCAACTTCCACCCAAATTAGACCATCTCACTTTTTCTTGTTTCTTATTTTGGGCTTCATTTTCCTCCTACAACCCAGTTTTTCTGAATAATAGTACTTATAAGCCTACAGTGTGATACACAATTTGGCATTTTAATCTCATGGTTATTTAGTTCTCTGAAAGCTGAATAAAATTGAATTATTTTCTGATTTAGAAAAAGTATTTTTCTTTTTTTTTTCAATAGTGATACCTGATTTGACAGTCTTCCTTGCGACTGTCAGAGAGTACAGAGTTCACATTTGGCATGAGCATGCTTCATCCAGAGGAAAGAACTTTCCAGATGGTTTGCAAGGCTGAAGGGCAATATTTGGGAGACCAGGAAAAATTCTGAGCATATAATTGATTGGAAATGCCTGTTCAGTTCTTTTCACAAAATCCTCTTTTCCTTCTACCTTTGTCCTCTCCTGTGTTATCTGAAGCTTCTCTTCATGGGGCCTAGACCCCTACATCTTTTGGAGGTAATTTCAAGCAGTCTTTTGTGCTGGGGCACAGTATTCCTAAGACAGTTAGTTCATTAGATAGAATCATGAAACTGCCATGTTTGTAGGTTAAAAATGGTTAAATAGCAGCCATTTCATATGGCTCAACCTAAACATTGGTTCCTGTAATTGTATTCATCCATTCATCAAGTATTTGTTCAACACATATCATATGCTGAATACTGTGCGGGGCTGTGAGGACACAACAGGGAACACAAAACAGCCGTTGCCCTCCAGGAGTCTAACAGGGAGCAGCTGTACAAACGCAATTACATTGGAGTGTGCAAAAATAGCGCTGCGATATGGCATGACAGCTCATGGTGGGGCCACTTAAGCCAACAGTGGGGGATGGTTAGGGGAAACCCTGGCAGAGTGAGTGGGAGTTGGCCAACTGAAATGGGGGACAAGAGTTGTAAGAATAACACTCCAACCTGGAATGTTCCAACACCTGGGAAGGTAGAAAGAATCAGAACCTACTTGGCTATGGTAGAAACAGAGAGCAAAGATGGGGGCATTGGGGGACTCTAGAACTGGGAAGATGAGCGGGGCTTCCACACCAAGCTATGTTTTTGGAAATTACTCTCAGGGCAACAGGGAGGAGGGTTTTAAACCTAAGAGTGGTTAATGGTTAATGCCACTCCATGTATAATTTGAGGGATGAAAAAAGGGGCAAGGGGGAGGACCACCATGATGAAGCCTTGGGTTTACTCTTCCTTTGTTCTGCAGATGGTTTGTTTGTTCTACAGGAAGGGGGTTGCTGATATGGTGTGGCTGTGTCCCCACCCAAATCTCATCTTGGATTGTAGCTCCCATAATCCCCATGTGTCATGGGAGGGACCCGGTGGGAGGTAATTGAATCATGGAGGCAGGTTTTCCTGTGCTGTTCTCATGATAGTGAAGAAGTCTCATGAGATCTGATGGTTTTATAAAGAGCAGTTCCCCAGCACACACTCTCTTGCCTGCTGCCATGTAAGACATGACTTTGCTCCTACTTCACCTTCCACCATGATTGTGAGGCCTCCCCAGCCATGTGGAATTGTGAGTCCATTAAACCTCTTTCCTTTATAAATTACCCAGTCCTGGATACGTCCTTATAGCAGTGTGAGAACGGACTAACACAGTTGCTTTCTTCATTTTTGGTATGAAAACAGAAACAAAATTGGAGAAAATCTGATTATGTTCACCAGACAATTCAAGAAGAGAGTCGTTTTAGGGCCATGGCAGGTGAAAAAGGCAGAATGGACCCAGCACTTCAAGTGGACTAGCCCATTGCCTGTGCAGAGGCTGAAACTCTAGACCAGCCAGGGTGGCAGGAGGAAGGACCTCAGATGAGCAGTGCTGCCTCTTAGAGAAGTCATTGTCTTGGGCTTGGAAGGCACACAAAAGTACTGAGACACAGGCCAGCACCCACAGGGCAGAGTCCTTTTTAACTACTTAAAGGAGCCATAGGAGCACATACTTTTACGAGAAATGCAAATGGGAAACAACTATATATAGATGCAGCACACACCTTATTTTGGAAAGTTATTCCAATCTTTTGGAGGCAAAAGAGACCAGAACATAGGCAGAGAGCCCTGTTTAAACACAGCCTCAGCATTGCTTTCATTTATAATTTAATATTTAAATCCAAATCTCTAAAGCACATAAATTTATCTAATCTTGCACAGTGTTTTGGCTATGACCCCAGCCCCCTGTTATTTTTCCAAGCTGGTCTAAATTTTCCAGGTTGTTGGAAATGCTGGTGATTCTGTGGCCTTCAAGAACATCTTACATTAAAGCCAGTCACACTGAGTTACGGTTTTTCCATCAACTAAACCTTTTACCAAATTGCCCATGGCTGAAACTATTTTCTGATAGATAAATATTTTCAAAGTTCCACTGTCAAGCCCAGTTTAGAAATGTCAAATTTGTCATGACTCTACCCACCAGTGTCTTTTCCTCTACTTTTGCCACTTTTCATTTTCAGAGCAAGAAATCTGGGGAGGAAAAGTGGAGATCCACCGATTAAAATGATATTAAAGGAGAAAGAAACAATGACCTCTTTGATAATTTACAATTATCCAAAAAATAAATACCCTTTTTTTTTCAAGGGACAGGGTCTCTCCCCTTGTTGCCTAGGCTGGACTGCAGTGGTGCAATCATAGTTCACTGCAGCCTCAAACTCCTGGGCTCAAATGATCCTCCCGCCTCAGCCTCCCAAGTAGTAAGGACTACAGACACACACCACAATGCCTGGCTAATTTTAAAATATTCTGTAGAGATGAGGTCTTGCTATGTTGGTCTCACACTCCTGGCCTCAAGCGATCCTCCTGCCTCAGCCTCTGAAAGTTCTGGGATTACAAGTGTGAGTCGTAGTACCTGGCCTCGGAGAATAAATATCTTGATACTTTTTCATTTTACAATCATCCTCACTTTTCTGTTCAAATCCAGCTCAGGTACTTGTGGCTGTTATGACATGCCATGAACAACACACAGAAGCAAGAGGTATTGTTTAAATTCTGCAGATAAGGGAGGAGTACTCTGAAGAGTTTGAGGATATTACTTTTCTGAAAATTGAAAGATATTCATCTGTTTGGAAAAGCTTAAAGAAGGAACGGGAAAAGGGAGCTGCTACAGGCCAGATTATGTCAAAACCAAGGTAGCTGGGGACAGTGGCAAACGTGTGTAATCCTAACTACTCAGGAGGCTGAGGTGGGAGGATCACTTGAAGCCAGGAATTTGAGACCAACCTGGGCAATGTAGTGAGACCCCATCTCTAAAAAGAATGTGAAGTTGTGCACAAATGAAAACCAACTTGTTCTTATGGTGGGAAGTGCCACATTCTATTTTCTTCTGTCTTTCCATTTTATTTGTCTGACTTCTCCCTGAGCATGGTGGCTCCTTGCTCACCACTGTTATCCCTGCCTCTGGGAGCACACCTGGCCTTCGGTCACTCCAGTGGATAAGTATTAAGTCAAGGAACAATCGCGTGAATGAATGAATAGTGAAAGTGATCCAGGAGGGTGCTTTTGTCACATATCTGTTATGGACTTGGGGAGCCACACCCCAAGTTCTCATCCTAGGCAGTTTAGTACTCTGGTAGCAATAATGTTGAATACTATTAAGTTTTTTGGTTAGTCTAAGGAAGTCAGGAGTGAGCATGGGGGCTGCATTCAACAGCCAAAGTTCACGTTTCTCCAAAATTCTTATGCTGAAGCCCTAACCCTTAGCGTGGTGGTACTTGGAGATGGGGCCTCTAAGGAAGTTATTAAGGTTATTTATTTATTTATTTATTTATTTATTTATTTTGAGATGGAGTCTCATTCTGTCCCCCAGGCTGGAGTGCAGTGGCACGATCTTGGCTCACTGAAACCTCTGCCTCTCAGGTTCAAGTGATTCTTGTTCCTTAGCCTCCTGAGTAGCTGGGGTTACAGGCACGCGCCTCCATGCCCAGCTAATTTTTGTATTTTTAGTAGAGATGGGGTTTCAGCATGTTGGCCAGGCTGGTCTCAAACTCCTGACCTCAAGTGATTCTCCCGCCTCAGCCTCCCAAAGTGCTGGGATTACAGGCATGAGCCACCGCGCCCAGCCAAAAGTCATTAAGGTTAGATGAGGTGATAAGGGTAGAGTTCTGATCTGATAAAGGATATGTGGCCTTTAAAAAAGAGATACTAGGGCTCACTGTCCCCCCTCCCCACCATCTTTCTGCCAAGTGAGAACACAGCCAGAGAGCCCTGGCTGGGAACCCAACCCTGCCGGAAACTTAATCTTGGACTTCCAGCCTTCAGAACTGTGAGAAGATAAATGTCTGTTGTTTAAGCTGCCTAGTCTGTGGTGCTTTCAATGGCCACCCATGTGGACTAAGACATAACTTGGTGTTCAGCTGGAACGTGGGATCCAGAGTCAGTTACCGTGGCCCCGTCAGCTGCCTAGGCAGCCATGGTGAGAACTCTTCAGTTCATTTTATCCCTAAACCATGAGAAACTCCTCTTCACTGCAGCACTGCTGCTCCAGGTGGGAGGGTGGTGTTGCCAGGGACGTAGCTCCAACCTCTACCCCTAATGAGGTCAGATTCAGGACCAGGGAACTCAGGATGTTTTCTTGGCAAAACAACAACAACAAAAACAACAGCAAACAAAAAAAATCCCTATGATGTAATTCATGAAAACCAAAATTCCCTTCTCGTCCTTTGAATTAGAGCAATACCATTCCGCACAGCCCTTCTGGGGTGGCTGCACCCCAAGTTCACATCCTGATAGCGACAACAAGGAACGTTACTTAATCTTTTTAAATTAGTCTACAGAAGTCAGGGATGAGGGTGTGGGCTTTATTCTAGAGCCAAGGTGACAGGAACGATGACTACGGTCTTCGGATAAGAAGATCTTACCCCATGGCCAGCTCTGATTTATTTTGCCAGTCCATATGTTCCCTTTTTACAAAAGCCCCCCTTGATCTTTTTCTCCTTCTTTGGTAGAGAGGCTCTGTGACCCATGGTGACCTGTCTCATTCTCATTTGAGGAGTGCTGCTGGCTGAGATGACCCACACCGCCTGGAAGACTGGGGCATTGTTGGATTCCCACATGTCAATCAGCTTCCTGCCATCCCTTGCTTTTGTTCCTGTCTCTGCAGCCTAGCTTTTTGTGGTCCAGGGTTTTTGTGGTCCTTGCCTCATGGAGGTCAGAGCTTTAAAACCAGCTCTGCTTCAGCTCAGCTCCCAGCTTGTGTAAGGGGCAGAAGAGAGGACAGGCAGGCCCCAGGAGTAGCTTGATGCTGTGCAGGCTGGGAGAGGGAGGACAAAGCAACATCTGAAGGGTCTGGGCTGCTCTTGAACCTGTGACCTAGTGAAGAAAGTTGCTATCCAATTACAGCATCATCTAGAGGAGCTGGCATGAGCACACCGCTGAGCTGCGAGGCTGCCCACAAGCAATGCCAAGGTTTGCTGAGGACTCTGCTGTGCAGGGTCCCCCTGCAGCTGGAAGAGCTTGCTCCCTTCGAAGCATACCTGCCCCAGAGAGTCACCAAACTTCTTTCAGGTGCAAGGATAGCTGCCACCCTGTCTCACCACTCACCTCCATCCACAATCTGCACCAAGAGTTGCAGATCCTGGTACCATGGAGCAAGTTATTCAGCCAACAGCCCTGGTCCTGAAAGATTTTGCAATCCAAGGTGGAGATGAAGCAATGGTCTTGTGCTTGCCGGGTCTAAACTCAATCAGGCAGTGAATCTTTGTTTAGTCTTGGTACTTGATCCTTGGGAAAAACATCCCATGTAGACGTCTTCATTTTTCAAATACGGGTAAGCATAGGAGAATGATGAAAACATTAATTAGTACCTTGATTTGCAGTGACTGGGACAATGCCAATTTTGGCATCCACATTACATTTTTTAATGCTATTAGAGTTAAAATTCTCTGAAAAATGAGTTTCACAAAACTTCCTACCTCCTCTGAAAGGTGAACACCCTCTGATGTATACTCACTCAGGGTGCATATACCCCATTGTATTGGTCCGTTTCACACTGTTATAAAGAAATACCACAGACTGGATAATTTATAAAAGAAAGAGGTTTCATTGACTCACAGTTCTGCATGGCTGGGGAGGCCTCAGAAAAGCTACAATCATGGCGGAAGGCAAAGGGGAAGCAGGCACTTTCTTCATAAGCCGGCAGGGAAGAGAAGTGCAAGCACAGGAAAAACTGCTGCTTTTAAACTATCAGAGCTCAGGAGACTCTCTCACTCTCGCAAGAACAGCATGGGGGAAATCACCCCCATAGTCCCATCAGCTCCCCCTGGGTCCCTCCCGTGACACATGGGGATTACAATTTGAGATGAGATTTGGGTGGGGACACAGAGCCAAACCATATCACCAATTGTTGATTAATTAATTACTCGGATGAAAAATATGTCACCAGTAACAGAGTTCCTGGCATCCAAACCTGTACCATGATTTCATGCCTAAAATATTTTCGTAGTTGTTTTCCTTCATTTGGAGGATTGGATTTACCTGAAACACATAGTAGAGGGGAACTTCATGTTCAAGAAATGTTTTTGCAGTACAGAAATCCCATCATCCCAGGGGTTTTCAGCACTTGGCCAATGTTTAGGGAGGATTTACTGAGTACTGCCCAGTGCTCTACTAAGATGGCAAATAAGCAAGGTGATATTGAGCATGAAATGGCCAAAGAGGAATGCAAGGGTTGCTGCTTAAGGGAGGGAGGAGGAGGGAGAGAGGGGATGGAGAATGTTTAGTAGGAAGCATCATGGTGTTGATGTTTTTGCTCAATAGGAAAGCTGTTCTTAGCTCCTCTCAATGTAAAAAATTACCCTGACCACCACCAGAAGTTTTGGTTCTCACCACCACCCCACTGGCTAGAGGAAGCAAAGCAATCTTGATCCTAAAAAAGGCACTGATAAAGGGAAGCAAAGACTTGGAAAGCTCCTGTTGGAAAGATTGTGGTGGAGCCTCCCTATCTGGCATGCAGTTATTATCTGGTACAGTGGATTAGGATCAAGGCCTCTTGTGGAAATCAGTAGAGAAGGATTCAAGGCTGTGTTGGGAGAGCTGAGTAGTATGGATGGAAAGGGATAAATTAGGGCCTTCAAGGAAGAAACAGGCATAGTGTGCAGATGATGGCTCACCAGGAACAAACAGGGACAAAGCTCAGCAAACCTAAGGCATTGGCAAAATCCAACCACCATGTTTTTCAGTGGCCTATGAACTAAGAATGGTTTTACACATTTAAATGGTTGGAAAAGAATCATATTAGGAATATTTCAGTTTTACACTTTTAAATGGTTGGAAAATAATCAGATGCAGAATATTTTGTGACATATGAAAAATACATAGAAGTCAAATTTCAGTGTCCACAAATAAAGTTTACTGGAACACAGCCACGATCATTCATGCATGTGTTGCCTAAGGCTGCTTTCATGTTACAACGGCAGAGTTCAGAAGTTTCGGAGAGGCTGAATGTACTGCAAACCCTCAAATATCTACTGTCTGGCCCTTTCCTAGAGGTTTATTAGTCCGTTCTTGCACTGCTATAAAGAAATACCTGAGACCTGGGAATTTATAAAGAAAAGAGGTTTAATTGGCTCATGGTTCGGCAGGCTGTACAGAAAGCATGGTTCCAGCATCTGCTTGGCTTCTGGGGAGGCCTCAGGAAACTAACAATCATGGCAGAAGGTGAAGGGGAAACAGGCTTGTCTTACACGGCAGGAGCAGGATCGAGAGAAGGGGGGAGGTGCTACACACTTTTAAGCAATCAGATCCTATGAGAATGCAATCATGAGAATAGCACCAAAGGGGAAAATCTGCCCCCATGATCCAATGACCTCTCACCAGGTCTCACCTCCAACATTGAGAATTGCAATTCAACAAGATTTCGGCAGAGACACAGATTCAAACCATATCAAGAGGTTGGCAGACTCCTGCTTTAAACCATTGATGAGAAGAGCTGCAGACATCTCAACATATTATAAAATGGTGAAACAATTCATTTTATCATATGTTGTGTATATTAAATTATAAATAGCCCTCTGAGTGTTGTCTGTGATCTGTCTGAACTCTAGTGTTAGAAGCATCTGAGATGTTGTTAGGAAGAGCACCTAGACCAGAAGTTCTCTCAAAAATGGTGCCTCCAGCGGGCAGGTCCAGGGAGCAGCATCCTGTTCAGAATTTATGTTGGGTTTTCTCTCTCTGGGTGGGCTACATCTACACGGGGGATATGAGTGGAAGGCAGACTAGAGGTGTTAGGTAGATATTTAATACTATGAAAGCCTGATATGTGATAAAGTCACGATGCAATAAAAGAAACTCTTTTGTTGTTATGGGCCAATTGTGTCTCCCCCAGCAATCCCCACTTCAAATTCACATGTTGAAGTCCTAATCTCCATTGCCTCAGAATGTGACCCAATTTGGAGATAGGGTCTTTACAGAGGCAGTTAAGCTAAAATGAGGTCATCAGAGTGGGCACTAGTCCAATATGACTGGTGTCCTTAAAGGAAGAGAAAATTTGGACACAGAGACAGTCATAGGAGGAAGATGCCACGTGGAGACACAGAGAGAAAATGAACATCTACAGCCAAGGAGAGAGGTCTGGAGCAGCATCTATCTTCACAGTTCTTAGAAGAAACCAAGTCTGCCCACAACTTGATCTCGGACTTCCAGCCTCCAGAACTGTGAGAACATAAATTTCTGTTGTTTTAAGCTGCCCAGTCTGTGGTCCTTTGAAATGGATGCCCAAGCTGTTACTCTCCTTCATTCAATGCTGGAGTGAGATTGTACTTAATCTCCAAGCATTTCTTAGTAAATCATTTCACATTCCTTGTCTAATTATTCACAGATTTTGTATAAATGATACCACCATATTCGAATGGAAAGAAATAGCAGTGATAAAGAAGAGAAAGATTTTTGAAAAATCACCCTGGCTGGTTGCTGGAATATTTTGAGTAATTTACTACAGACACTGTGAAAGTTGGGCAGCTCTTTTGCTTTATAAATTAGTTTCTTCCATATGGAATGGGAACTTCCATAGAAGTGACCCTAAAAACATTATTCTTGTTCTTTGTGACAAGTTTTCCAAAAGAAGCTACAGAGATTATCATTATCTGGGGGAATTTATTTAATGGTTTCCTCCTCACTGGCTCAAGTCTTCCCATTTTTGTCTCCACCTCCACCTAACTTATTAGGCACTTGTTAAATAAAACACACGCCCAGGGTTGGATTTATGATTTTTATATGGACTGTTAAAAATAGCTCAACTGTGGGCAGAAGAATGACCACAGGAAGTGATTCACTTCCTCTGGTTAGCTTCTCTTACACCCACTGACCGCTGAGAAACAGCAATAATAGAAAAAGTTATACTTGGGAGTCCTGGTAGGACATCACTAGAGCAGACCTTGTCAATCAGGTCATCTAACAACCATACCGGGCAAGCAAAGACTTAGCAAAGTCATGGCTCAAGGTCATCCACTGAGGGTCTAGCCCGTCTCTTGGTTTCTATTTCTGCCAGTGTTTAACCCAAATGAAGATGTGTCTCTGCTGGTCACAAAGGGTATGCATTTTTGAATTCTGGGGTCATACCTAAGGTTCATTTTATAAGCACAATTCTTTAGTCTGACATTTATATGGACAGTTAATAAAAATGGACTCTAACTACAAGAGAGACACTTTCCTCAATTCTTCTTTTGGGGAGATATTAGGGGTTGTTGTTGGTGGCATAGATTCCCACTGGTGGTTCTTTGTATGCTCGGTCCAATTTCAGTAGCCCCTTCACAGTTGTTTAACTGTTTTACCTGGTCTTGGTCATAGACTATGCTTCCTTCCGTTAGATGGTAGTATGCCCAGACAAGAACAACTATGATGATCTTGAGCTTTGCCTCATGTTTTCTCCAATGTGATCTCATTAATGTGTACCAGCTCTGGAAGGTCTTTGGTGCCCTTCACTCAATATGATATCTGGGAGATGGAACAGCATTCAAAGTCCCACAGGCTGGCTGTGACCCTTCCCTGGGTACCTCCACACCCCAGCCTGGGAAATGGGGGAATACAATTTTACCCAGAATTTTAAAAGTAGAAATTCCTGCATGGTTGATGTGGGCCCTTGGAAGCCCTCCACTTCTCCCCTCCCCTCCCCTCCCCCTCCCCCTCCCCTCCCCTCCCCCTCCCCATCCCCTCCCCCTCCCCTCTCCTCCCCATTCCCCTCCCTTCCCCCTCCCCTGCCCTCCCCCTCCCCTCCCCCTCCCCTCCCCCTCCCCTTCCCCTCCCCTTCCCTTTCCTTTGTAAATGTTCTAGTGAATCTTCAAACCTTGAGTAAGAACCTGTTTGTGGGAAAGGCTTGGAATGTCAACCCAAGGGCTGGTACTTGGGGTGTCAAATTTTCCCCATTGTCACAAAGGCTACTCCACGCCAGGCATCTTACCTGCTATCACCTCTGATCTTCGGAAACCCTATGAGGAAGATATTGCTAGCTCCATTTTACAAATGAGGAGAGTAAAGTCCAGAGAGCTTAGGGAATTTGTGTAAAGTTGCACAGCTTCATGGTGGAAGCAAGGTTTTCTTTGGGGTCTTCCTGTGCCTGATAGAGGGGGCAATGGGCCTCTGAAATGACACCGTGTAGTCCTAAGACAGTTACCTCCCCAGAACCAAACCTGCCAGCTCTTACTTCCAGAGAGGGCTCTGTGCTGGGATATGAGGCTGGGAGGACTTGAGCACTCCCGGAGGCTTCAAGGGTCAATAAGCTCTGATAATCACTGTGGGTCGTAACCTCAATATCACTGCCACAGACCCACCTCCCCACACCACCAGACCTCCAGCCAGTAACAAAAACAGTTCCTCACTGGTGACTTAAACACCTGGGACCTAAGTTTGGGACAGAAGCCAGGGTTTTAGTAACTCATGTATAACTCCCAGATATCAAAATCTTCTGTAAACCTGACCCGTCTATTGCAAGGTCTTCCTGCAAACGTCTTTCTTGTCAACGATTTCAAACTTTCTTTGTAGGTCAATAGTGTCCACAAATTTTTAGAGAGGTGTAAGAAAATTGGAGAGAATTCAGAAAAGAGCAAAAGTAATGATTACGAGGATGGAAAACAGGGCTCTGGAAAGGGTAATTAAAGTAATTATTTGTTTCCTGGAGGGAAACTGGTGTGGTCACTAGAATCTTCCCCAGATTCCTACCACAGACAAGCTATTCCTTATCTCCGTGGAGAAACTGGAAGCATTTTGGTCAGATATGGATCCTTGCACTTTTTTTTGTTTTGTTTTGTTTTGCTTTTTTGTTTGTTTTTGAGACGGAGTCTGCCTCTGTCGCCCATGCTGGAGTGCAGTGGCGCGATCTCGGCTCACTGCAAGCTCTGCCTCCCGGGTTCAAGCAATTCTTCTGCCTCAGCCTCCCGAGTAGCTGGGATACAGGCGCCTGCCACCAGGACTGGCTAATTTTTTGTGTTTTTTTTTAGTAGAGATGGGTTTCACCGTGTTAGCCAGAATGATCTCGATCTCTTGACCTCGTGATCTGCCCGCCTCGGCCTCCCAAAGTGCTGGGATTACAGGCGTGCGCCACCGCGCCAGGCCGATCCTTGCACTTTTCAGAGCCCTTTGGTGCCTGCCTCTCCTTGGTTCTTAGAGTTGCCCTGTGAGGGAAGGAGGCTGCAGATAACCTCAGGCTCCCACTGATGAGACATTTCGGCCAAAGCTCGCGAACTTTCTGTGACTCCGTTTCTTCCCAAGCGAAATGGAGATAATAATAGTATCTATCTGATAGCATTGCTGGAACTGTTAACTGAATTAATCTATGCAAAATGCTTAGAAGAATTCTGGTCACATTGGCAACATGAGGAAAATATTAGCTATTGCTATTGTGGTTTCAATCAGAAGTACAGCCCCAGGGACATTCAGAGGCACGTACGAGGCTTATCCTAGCCTTACGTTGGTTAAATAATTAATTTACTATTTATTATTAAAGCATGTTCTGTATAGAATAAACTGGCCAGAGATTAAGTGTATGCACAATTTGAGGTATTTTGACTGAAGTGTACACCTGCTGCAGTTACCACCCCAAGATATCATTTTTAGTGGCTGCTTAGTGGTCTTTGGTGTGGTTCTTTGGTGGTCTTTGGTGGGATTGCCCCGCTGCGCTTAATAATCCTCACTGAAGGGCACATAGATGTTTCATGTCAGAAGGAGGCCCTTGTCTTTGATGTTTGCTGTACCTACTGCAATTCCCCCTGGGCCCCTGGCAGGATGATAGAGTCAGCCTTCAATCAGCCTTAGGGAAGTATTTCTAGATTCTTCCTCTTTCTGGTCCAAACCATCACCATCTATTGCTAGCAGAACAACAGTCTCTCCCTAAGTCTCCCCTTAGAGCCCCCACAGTCTCTGCTCTCCTGGCCAGGGAGCCTCCCCCAAGTTGAGCCAGGCCATGTCACCCACTCTGCCCACAGCTCCTGGCTCCTTCCCAGTGTTTACCCAGAGCCCATAGGAGCTGATCCCATTGACTTCACCACTCATGGCATCCAGCCTTCCTGGTATCCTGATGTTCCCAAACCTTCCATAGATGACCCCTTTTCAGGGCCCCAAATAGCTCCCTGGCCTCCTCTTTTACTTGCTTTGAGCTTCTGTTGGACAGTTTCTCTATCCCAGGCTTTCCCTGACCTCTACCTACCTCTCCAAGTCTGTCTGTCAGTCTCTCTGTCACCCACACAGCTAGCTGTGCTCTCTAACATCCATTAAGGTTGGGTTCTAAATTTCTCTCCTACCATTTTTTCTTCAGGAGAATCTCTCCAGCATCAAAGCCTGCACACACACCTCCTCTGCAGTCAGCTCCTGGCTACGGCCTCGTCCCTCCTTAGATTCCAGGAATGTTATGTGACTGAATGCTAATATCTGTGAAAAATGCTTTGAACTCCTGGAAAAAGACACTATATTAAAGGATTCTTAAAAAATCATTATCCTGCATAAAATGTAGACCTATGCTTGGCACGAAGTCTGTGATTGCATGAGCAGGCCATGCTAATGATTTAGAAGTTATCCTTGTAACTGCAAATCACCTCAAGCCATCAGTGAGATCCTAAAATATGTTGAGGACTTCATAGTCTTGATCTTACTCTTAGGCAAACTCTTTACCATAGAAATGTGTCTAACTTGATCTCATACGGAACCTACTTTAATATCTAAATATTCTTCACAGAATGTGACCATTTGCCAAATTGAGAATACATTTAAAACATCTTGGGGGGAGGATGAAAGGAATACCTATGCCCCTGAAAAAGGAAATCACATTGCAAAATGCGTGGAGTAAGAGATCCCGCATCCAGAATATACAACTGGTTCGGTTGCCACCGTCCAAAAGCGCCATCCTAGCATCTATTTTTCCAAGCAGTTGAGAGACGCGGTGTGTACATTTTTCATGTGTAATTAGGCAGCGTAAGGCGATCCCTGCTGCCGACGGGCTGCTGCTGCCCTTGCCGGGGTGAATGGCTTCCAGATTTCACCCCCATCTTTTCTGTCTAGACTCTACTTTGCTATTTTTTTCCTCCTTGCTTAAAACAGACTCCAACATAAAATGCCAAAAACAGAAGTTTTGTCCCTCTTTCTCATAAAGATGTGGGACAGAGCTCGCTCTGCCAGACGAGCAGGGCCCCAGACTTTCATAAGACACGTGTCGTCTGAAGCTGACATTAAAGATTGTCCAGGCGTTTCGGCGGGTCATGCAAACTTTTTTTTTTTTTTTTTTTTTTTAAATATGGTTTTCATTAAGAACGCGAGTATTTCTAGAGAGGTGTGGTTCAGTTCAGAGGAGGGGGAGGGCTGGGTAGGAAAGAAGGCAGAGAAAGAGTAAAGCTGCCTCCTGAGTTTTCAAACAAGGCTGTTATTTACGCTGATGTTGAAATGTGCATTGTCTTATAAAATGGCTTTTGAGGAGTGAAAAAAAATGTCACTCTACTACCAGGGGCATATCTTATTGACCTGTTAAAATATTCAGGTTAAAGAAGTCACCTTTACAAAAGAAAATGGAGAATTCTTACAGCACAAATGGCCTTTATTAATTTTAAGAATTACATATAGTATCCCATTATTAGGGGGTAAAGTCTCTATTGCTTCTCTCATTTAGAGTTTTAAAAAACATCATTTACAACGGAATTTATTTAACTTTCATCATAAGATGAGACTCTGGAAAGACGAGACAGCTGAAGGCCCACGTGGTTTGACCAACAAGGGCTGGGGTGGATTCATGTTTTGGTCTTTTGAAGCTGTCTTGTTTAATCTTCTCCAAAACGTCTGCAGTTTCTACAGAGCTGATGCTTGTTTTCTTCTGTTTAAAAGCTGATTCCATACGTGATTAACAAATACAAATTGTAATACAGGAAAGTAATTTTTAAAGAAAAGGATGAATAAGAAAGCTCTGTTTATTGAATATCAAAAACAGTACTTTGTCAGAGAAGATGGGTTTTAGTTTCTATCAAAGCAAAGCAAACAAAAGTAGTAAACATGAAATACAAAAATAAGTTTTAAATAAGTAAATGATAATAGAATTCAAATAATACTTGTGTACATTCCCCCCCACCCCACTCTATTTTAAAATATGTCCCGCAAAGTAGTACCCATGAGCCTGTTAACCAGAGATTTAAAACCTGAGAACCTAGTTGTCGTTTGCGTTATAAGCTCTTTAGGGGCTATTACATGCTTTCAACTAAAAATATACACAATCATTCTTATATAACTCAGGGACAAATTCTCAATTCTTCAGAATCAGTTAATTTACCCATACCTTTTCCTGAGTATCTACTTTGTACACTGGTACTATATAAACTGCAGAAAAATTGATGGTGTCTTAATTGTTTCAAAGGTGGCTTAGCAACAATAGAGCTGAAACAACTGATTCAACAGCCATTTTTAAATTCCTATATTTAATAGAGTTTCAGAGAATTTGAGGAATGAAAAGAGAAGAGGGAGAACTGACTCATGATTTTGAAAAGTCTTCAGTCTAAGCAAAACCAAGGCCGGGCATGGTGGCTCACGCTTGTAATCCCAGCACTTTGGGAGGCCGAGGCAAGAGTATCATGAGGTCAGGAGATCGAGACCATACTGGCTAAAATGGTGAAACCCCATCTCTACTAAAAATACAAAAAATTAGCCAGGCGTGGTAGCATGTGCCTGTAGTCCCAGTGACTCAGGAGGTGAGGCAGGAGAATCACTTGAACCCAGGAGGCAGATGTTGCAGTGAGCCGAGATTGTGCCACTGCACTCCAGCCTGGGCTATAGAGTGAGACTCTGTCTCAGAAACAAAACAAAACAAAACAAAACAAAACAAAACAAAACAAAACAAAAAACAACGGCAAGAGATTCTTTACAGGCGAGAAATGATTCATGCAAAGAGAGAATGAAATGTTGGCTTATGGGGCAGGGTAGGTAACGTGAGAAGGAGATTTCTGATGCCTTGAAATAATCTCAAGGAAATAAGAGACCTCTATGGGCTAAGATGGTCTGGGAGGGACCCACACACAATTTCTTTCGAATTTATACCCAATTTTCTTAATAGTCTTAGTCAACCCCTGGCACTTTATTCCTAAAAACATTATGAACTCTTTGGGAGGTGTTGCTGGCCTTTTACTAAAGATACGTGAAGTCAGTTTTACATTTTAAAACTTGGGTTGAATTCTTAGTTCTTGAATTGATATACACAACAACAAAAATCCAAATCTGTGCTAAATAAAGTGAGTCAACTACATTTTATTCTTTTGTTCCAACTTAAATTTGTATGTCTTGATTTTGTCTGATAAGAATCATAGTATTTCTAGGTGGTAGGGTTCAACTGTAATCTGGGAGATTCAATCCTGCAAATTCACACAGAGACCTTGTTTATAATGTTTGCATCCATGGAAGTCATGTGCTTCATTCAATTTTTGCTTGGACAGATAAATACTGCCTCGCTTCCTAGAAAGATGCAGTTTGAGTCTACTTAAAATGCAGTGGCTCTGCAGAAAGTCCTAAATCTTACCTCCATCTGTATTGCATCCAGGTATGAAGGAGTGAGTCTTGTGAACGGACAGTTTCTCTCTCTCATTGCACTTCTGACAGTTCTCTTAAAGGATACATTTGCATACTCGTCTCCCCCAGCAGATCATGAGTTTCTGGAGGACAGAAGTCCTCATCATCTTCTCTTCCTCAGTTCCTGGCATGATGCATACACTAGGTGCACCATACGTGTGTGCTGAATGCATAAATGAATGTGTGCTTGTGTCGGTGGTGCCTGATCCACTTATAGTAGAATGATGAGAACACAATGACAATAAATCCAAGTTTGAACCACTTACAAGAAGGTCACCTCGGTGCCCAACGTCAGAAAAAAATTGTTCTTGCAGCTAAACTTGTTAATAGTAATTCGCTCTATTTCTGTACCTACTTTCCCTTAGCTTACAAAATCTTTTTGTAGCTTCTTGTGTAGGTGCTCGTAAGAGTAGAAGAAGAATAGAAGCTCCTGGAAATCACAGTTTATCCCAGGCACAGCGCATCATACGTCATGGGTGCTTAGTAAAGGTCTCTGGACTCTCTCCTTTCTGTCTGTCTAAGGTGTCCCAAATGGACGGGAAAGCAGTTTGTCTATTTATGTGATTCTCTATACAGTGCTATTGGTCATGGCCCCAGAAGAAAGGAGATGTCTCTACAGTGGCTTGATTAAGCTTTATTTTTCTTTAGGAACTATCTAAATGCTTTACTCTTTCTTTTCATTTCAAACAACATTCACAGATTATTCTGAAAGTGAGGGAACATTTTGGTCTAACAGAGGAGGTTGGCTGCTTGCTAGCCTAAGCTCCTTGCTCCGTCTCTGATGTATCTGTTTAAAATGAAGAGAAATAAAATCCCAGGAAAATATGATGATAGATTCAACTATAAAGTAACTTAGAGATCAATCCACAAACAAAACTCAGCATCCCATAGGAACGCGTTGGCCAAAACAGTAACAGCAGTCTACGGTGCAAAACATGCCATCTGCATAGGCTCAAATTCTGCACATTGGTGCATAATTTTTTTTTTTCCTGTTCACATCAGAGAACACAGGGTTGGGGTTGTTTTCAAAAGACTTAGTAGCTCTCATTTAAATTATTCAACAGTTGTATTTGGCTGACTGTTGAGAGTTTCGTTCTTTTTTAAGCTGGGATCATTTCCAAGGATTGTTAAAAAAAAAAAAAGGCCCAGTAACTTTGGTAGTGAAAGAATGTAACTTACTTTGGTGATAGACTCACATAGAAACAGACAGCTAGCTCAACAGACGTGGTCTGGTCTGGGACGATGTGGCCTGTGGTGGGATTTGGGGGTTGATGGGGACCCGCTGGAACTCATGAAAAGGGGCTCAGTCCCAGGAATAGCCACAGAGCGGGTGAAAAATGAAGGGGATATTTCAGGGGGAAAGGTGTGGCTGTCATGGCTTATTCTGGGGGCTGGGGAGGATATCATAAAAAGTATGTAACTTTAATCGTAATTGCCAAGGGTAAATGGACAACACGGTCTACCTATTCATTAGCAATTTGGCACTCAATTGTGGGCCCAGAAGTAACACACAGGGGAAACCACTCCTTACAGTTTAACACTTTGGAGAAAAAGTTCACATTTTCTTTTCTTTGGAATTGGGCTGCAAGGCCCTGAGTTCTGGGGTTGTCTTTCTATGATGATGATTTAGAATCCTTTATTGAATATAGTTATAAATGAACAGAACACTGGACCTGACTGATTAATGGAATGAACACACATTGGTTTGCCTCAACTCAGACCAATTCAGAAGGAAGTGTGTGTGTACATATAAATTTATATTTATATTTCTTACAACTAAATATAAATATATATACATATAGAGAGAGAGAGACAGAACAACTCATACAAACTGCACTACGCTTTGTTTTTATCTCCAGTGTATTTTCATCTGAGCCAAAGTAGACCCAATTTAATTTATTGCAACCTAATTTGAAAAACATTTATTCAATATCTCCCATGTGCCAGGCTCTGAGAGTACTAAGATAAATAAGACAAACCTGCCATCAAGAAACACACGGGCTGGCAGGAGACAGAGACCAACATCATCAAGATTGTGTGCTGAGTTCCATAATGGAAGAGCGTGTGAAATAGCTCAGGAACAGAGTGCACCCTGCTTGTGCGAGAGGCTGCATGAGAAATACTGAACACTCCTATTTGCAGTGCTTTCTTTCCCTTTCTCTCCGACCTTCGCAGACAGACGGATGTGCACCTACAGGCTCAGTACTCGGTGGGGCCGCGTGCCTTGGGAGTTGTGCTCAGTCCTGGGTGGGGACTCGCTTTCCCCAACACCCTCAGTCTTCTGGCAGTTATAGTCACCAATGGGTGAGGCAGAGTTACATCATCTGTATTGTATCCTGACTTTTCTGTATTTCTTTGTACCATCTTTTCCTCTGCCTCCTTGGTTAAAGTGATTACTAAGGAGCTACAAAGGAGTGAAAAAAATCAGGTGGTGTGTAAGGGGTTAGGGCTGTCTCCTGTTTGTGCTGGTGGTGACAGCTGGAAAGATGAGGGCCTCTTGGATCACAGGGAGCTTTGGGTATTTTTAGGCAAAAGTGACAGAGTTGCCATCTTCTTTGACACTAGCTGCTTCATCAGTCAGGTTGCAAGAGGATGAGGCCTCTGAATCACTCAAGGCTCATTTCTCCACAGAGATGTGCTTCTAGCTCTTCTTGGCCATATCACCTGGCTGTTGGTCTCCTCCTGGATCAGGTCCACGGGCGCCTTCCACCTGGAAGCCAGTTTGGTTCTGCACCAATGCTGGAAGAATAAGAGTCTGGGCAAACATAGACAACAAAAAGCCCATTGGGATGGTGCCTTTTTTTGGTTTCCATTTAAAGAAGACTTGAGACAAGACTCTGGGTTCAGGTAGTTCACCTAGAAAGTGACCCCAGGAAGCAAAAGTGAGGGAGTGGAGAACAGGAACAAGGGAGGCTGGCCAATTAAGAGAAGCTCATTACTGCTTCAGTGGACAGTCGAGGCCTGATTGCATGGGAAGCCTCCGAGGAATCCTGTGGAATGAACTTCAGAGTTGTGCCTCTGGGGAGTGAGGAGCTGGGGCATTGATTCACCAACTGCTCTCCCTTATGGGTCGAGAGTTGGGTAGCCCATCCTCAGCCCTTCTGGGATGCTTTGCACAAAGGCTGAACAAGCTTCAGTGGCCCCAGCGAAAGCCTGTTTCAGAGAAGCCAGAGATGCTCATGCCAAGAACCTGTCAGTATGTGAGTGAATGGTCCACTGCAACTGTGGGTGAACTCAGAGAGGTGGACCAGTGGGATCTAGGGTGAGAGTCAATTATGTTGGTCATAGGTAGGTACTAGGAAGTGAGATGGGTCACAAACACTGTTGCCTGAGGCTCAGAATGTGATACCAAAGGCCAAGAAATCAATAGAGATTTGTTAAGATGGAGTATCTTTCTGATGCTGTGCCAGATGGGGCAAACATAAGAATGGTAGGTTGTGCATGGTCAGAAAGGATTCGGGAGAGAATTCTGGGCCTATGGAGATTCATGTAAGAAAGTGATGGGCGTTTAATTAGAAAGAAAACCTGGACCCAGATTGTGGCAGACCCAGATACCCACATATAGGAGTTACAAATCTTAATTCACACCACAACTTGTGTGTGCAGAGAAAGAGTCATTGTTTTAGTCAATCTGAGCTTCCTCCTGTGCCCCACCTGCTGGTTAGCAGGAAAAATGTTAGCTTTATTACCAGACCTGGTAAGCGCTTTAAGTCTGATCCAGTAAACAGTCTCTAGGCAGGGCCAGGTCTCCCTTGGATAAAATGCTCTGTAACTCTTTGCTTGAGTCTCTTTCTAAGATGGTGTTGGGGCCTGTGGGCTTGCTGTGGTTTACCGCAGCGCTTCTCAAACGTTCCACGATAAAAAACCAATTTGTTTGTTTGTTTGTTTGTTTTAAAATGTTCAGTATGGTGCTAATGGATATTTTGTGAAGTATGAGAAAAATAAGTTACTAGAAAAAACAAAATAAAAAAGACACACAAAATCCAAGCTCAAGTTTTATTAGGTTGAACAGACATGAAAATACTCGGTCAGATAGCTATAGACGTTTCTACATGCTTACCCTCAGTTTCTGGACTTATCTTGTTGAGACCGGTAACAAATTTCACAGACCGTTCCTGATCCACACTTGGAGTAGCACGGGTCTTCTGGAAGAATGGAGGTACTCAGACACAATGTCTTTGGGTTTCTGGGGAAAGTCCCTTATCCTCTGGGTTCCTCTTGCTGGGCTGGTCTACATGGCTGAAGCCCGTGGCTGGGGGAACTCATTGTCCAGGGCCTTCCTTGGCATCTCTTGGCCACTTGGCCTTCCCTCAGGGCCTGCCAGCTGTTTAACACCAGGCTCAGCCACACCCTTTACCCAGCCCACAAGACCAAAGGTTGATTTCCAAGGTTCACTGTGACCTTACCTCACTGCAGCAGATGCCTCGAATCTCCACTCAGAATCTACACCGCAGAGGAAGACCCAGGACCCCTCCGCCACCATAGGTTCTGGAGTGCAAGAGCTTCCATGGTCCTCATTAGGGACTGGGTGCAAAAACTCCCTCTGCCCTGAGCTTTGGCCTGACCTGGTCCCCGGCTCTGGGCAGAAGCCAGAGAAGGCAGTAGGGACCTAGACATTTTTATAACTCCTTCCTTTATCTCTCCCCACAATTCATGGGCTTCAGAAAGAGCAGGCTTTCCCCTGTGTTATTCTTTCCCCTTCCTGAATTCAAACTCTCCAGCTACATCTTAATGGCACACAGGATTCTCTTTTTGTGTACACTGTCAGCACACTCCCTGAGTGGATGCTCCAGGCCAGTGCAGTGCTGAGTGCACAGCCTTAAAGAAATACAGCTCCTGTTCTGCTCCATAATCCTACTTTGCACCTTGAATTTCTTCTGTAACAAATCCTAATCTCCCCTTCTCTCCCAGGCAGGTAGGCGGACATCAAAGCTTGTCCCTGGTGAAGAGCTTGCCTTCTGCAAGGCAAAAACAAAGAAGTATGCTCTAGTTTTCTAATTCTCATCCTGTGACACCCAGCAAGTACATCTGCAATCTACTCAGCAGGCAGGAGGCATTCCTGAAGGTTTCTAAGACTGTATGATGGTGTTTGCTGTAGCGCAGGTGCAGGGGGACTTGGTGCAGGCAGATACCAGTGACCAGGTGGGCAGTTAGGAGACAGCCTCAGTGGCCAGGTGTGAGGTTATAAAACCTTGAACGAGGCAAACTGGCCCTGGAAATAGACAAAACGGGGTGTTCACGGGAGCTGTGGGGAGTCAACATGGCCTGTGGTAACTATTTAGCAATGGGGCAAGTGAGGGTCAGGGTTCAAAGATCTGATTCTTTTTGAGTCACTGTTGTAAACAAAGTCAAGGGGAACTAAGGTTGCCTGAAGGAGCTGATGTGTAAAAGGGAAGCAAAAGATGCAGACAGTTCCCGTTCGTGGATAATGAAGTTAGGAGAAGTAAGTGCCGTCACAGAGGTGGGAAGGGGTGCCGGAGGGCAGGAATTAAATTAGGCACAGGGCTGGCAGGGAGGTACCCAGAAAAAGACCTTGAATAAGGGAGGGTGGTAAGCTGGCCATGCAGGGAAAGCCCCAAGGCCTGGGTTTGAGTCTTGACTCGCTTTCTAGTTGTGCAAACTTGGAGTTTCTACCTTGTCACCGCTGCGCAAGGTGACTGGTGGGCGTTTACAAAGCACTTACATGCATGTTTATCCCCAGGGGAAATACACATGTAAGTGCTTTTTAAATGGTAGATCCAAATGAATGACATCTGCTACGGTAAGGATGGGAAGGACATTCCAGGACAAGGGGACAAAATGAGGAAGGGATTCCCAGTATCCAGGACCTTGTAACTGCGTGAAGAATGACACTAGCAATGGAAGGAGTAGACTCCAGCTGTTTTGGGAGTAGGAAGTTTTTTTTAAAAATAGAGACAGGGTCTTGCTCTATTGCCTAGGCTGAGTGTAGTGGCACGATCACAGTTGCTCACTGCATCCTTGAGCTCATGGACTCAAGCTATCCTCCTGCCTCAGCCTTCTGAGTAGCTAGGACCACAGCTGTGCATCACTGTGCCTAATTTTTTTTTTTTTTTTTTTTTTTGAGACGGAGTCTCACTCTGTCGCCCAGGCTGGAGTGCAGTGGCGCGATCTCGGCTCACTGCAAGCTCCGCCTCCCGGGTTCACGCCATTCTCCTGCCTCAGCCTCCCGAGTAGCTGGGACTACAGGCGCCCGCTACCACGCCGGCTAATTTTTTGTATTTTTAGTAGAGACGGGGTTTCACCGTGTTAGCCAGGATGGTCTCGATCTCCTGACCTCGTGATCCGCCCGCCTCGGCCTCCCAAAGTGCTGGGATTACAGGCGTGAGCCACCGCGCCCGGCCCACTGTGCCTAATTTTGAAATTTTTTTGTATAGATGGGGTTTTGCCATGTTTCTCATATTGCTCTCGAACTCCTTCCACCTTGGCCTCCCAAAGCACTGGGATTACATGTTTGAGCCACTGTGCCTGGCCAGAGGTTCATTTTAAAAATGTGCTTTCCCAGAGATGTCTGATAAGATGAAGATTTCGGAATGCCTTCATCATTCACTTGATGGCCATAATGTCAAGCCCGCTATCCTGGAAGTCCATTGCAACTACCTGGGGAGTTTCAAATATACCTGCCAGTGCCATGGTGGTCTCCCTGTCCCCTGAGATTCTGATTCACTGGGTCTGAGATGGCACCCAGATGATGGCAATAGTTTTGAAGCTCCATCATCAAAGTGTATTTGATGTGGAGGCAGGCCCCAGAACGCTGCTGTGTAGACTATAGTTCTCCACCCATACAAGGTAGATATAGGATGCAAAGGTAACAGAACCCATCCCAGAAAGGCACACCTCTTGCTGCAGTGCTGCTGAAGAGAAGCAAGAAGTGTGTGCATAAGAGTTTATCAAAGAGAAGTAAATTCCCAAGAGGTTTCCCCTTAATCAATCAATTAGTCGCTACCCCAAAGAATAGAGATGAAGATGAATAACCCAAGTTCTTCACTGGAAGATCCTGTGTTTAGTATATTTGAGGTCATCCACCTCAACAGCTTCAGTTATTAAATAAGAAAATTGAAGCCTTAATCAAGTGGTTATGACTTGCCCAAGGTCATGTGGGTGCTAAGTGCTGGATACCTGGTCACATGCATTCCTAATAATTGCTGGTGCATTATATCTGCAGTGGAATTTTCACCCGTTTAAATTGCATCAGGTCATCCATAATCCTAACATAATGATTTACTATTTTAGGATACAAAAGAGAACTTAAGATATTGCTTTTATTTGCACTGATGTACTGTTATGCTAGTGTATCAGTCTGTTTTCACGCTGCTGATAAAGACATACCCCAGACTGGGAAGAAAAAGAGGTTGGATTGGACTTACAGTTCCACATGGCTGGAGAGGCCTCAGAATCATGGCGAGAGGCGAAAGGCATTTCTTACACGAAAGCAGCAAGAGAAAAATGAGGAAAAAGCAAAAGCGGAAACCCCTGATAAACCCATCAGATCTTGTGAGACTTATTCACTATCACGAGAATAGCACGGGAAAGACCGGCCCCCATGATTCAATTACCTCCCCTTGCGCCCCTCCCACAACATCTGGGAATTCTGGGAGATTTGGGTGGGGACACAGCCAAACCATATCAGCTAGTGACTTTATCGATACAAAAAAATCACTGAGAAGAAATTGTCTCAATTTTCTAAAATTGCAACTAGTTTTACACTCATGAGTAATCATGTTATGATAATGTACACAACAAAATTGTTCATGATAGATTTAGTGTCATAGTATACGAAGTTCAAAACTGAACCGTCTAATTGTCAGAAAAGCTGGAGCAAATCTCCTGTTGTACTCTATGTAATTCCACTTTAAAAATACAAATAGACTCTCCTGACTTATTTTGTATAACCTTTGTCACCAAAGCTCATTGACAGATGTACAATGTGTTTCATATCAACTTATTTTGTGTGTTATGCAAGTTGATAGGAATTAAGCATTATGCAATTTTACGGAGCAGTTTGTGGTCACCACGTGTTATTGAGAACTGCTGTGTGTACTAAAGACTTAAACTGCATCTGACGTAGATTAAAAAAGTGCTTCAGAGGGTGAGAGTGTTGCATGAAATTAGTTTGTCTGGAAGGATAAAGAACACCTAAAACTGACTTCTTAACAGCAAGTAATAAAAGATAATAGTGATGCTTGTGTACTAGGTTAAGAGACTCCCCTAAGAGAAGACACACATCTGTCCTCCTGTTCGCTAATAGTCAGTGATGGAAATCAGGGAATGAGTGAGGGTGGTGAGGGAGAGAGGGACCCAGGGATGCTCCACTTGGAACCCCCAACTGTTGTGTTCTGACATGTATTCCCATTGCTTCCATGTCTTGGTTGCTTGAGTGAGTGTGTTCTAATCATTTGCCATGAGGGAAAGCAGAACTAGGAATGGGACAGGACAGGGGCCTCCAATGACTCCTGAGCTTCCGAGCTGCCCGACCCATTTGCATGATGAAAAGAAGGTCCCAGGTGATTGGGTGGAGATTGTGGGGGTAGGGCTCAGGTGCCTGGCAGTGGCTGAAGCCTGAGAGCTATCTGCTTTCTCAAACCACGGCCATCCTCAGAATGGCTTCAAGCCAGATTTGAGCTCACCAAAGATGTGAATGGGTCAGTGTGAGGAACCTCACTCCAGTACCCCGTTTAAAACAGAATCTGAGACTTCCTCCCTTGTGAGCATTTACTGTAGAGGGATACGCTGCCCTTTCCATATTTAACACACGCACACGCAGACTGCTAAGCCATAAAGTAAGCTCAAAGACGCTCCGTGCAAGGACAACAAAAACCAGACCTTTCAAAATGATAACCAGGATTTTATAACTCATAACACCATGCATGTTATATTAAAAGTGGAAGACTTTTTGAACTGCAACCTTTACATCCCAATCCAATAGTTCTTTCAGCTTTGAAATATCCACAATCTGAATTTTATAGGGATTATTTTTATTATAGGTAAAGCAATTAAATCTCCATATTGAGGGATGAAAACCTTTTAAAGCCCTTCTCAGAATATCAAAAGAAAAGGAGGCTTATATTTAACAGGTGTGACAACCCAACACAGGACATTTCATTGAAAAGGAGCTTGACATTATCCAGTAACAAATACTTAAATTAATCCAAAACATCTTTTGGATAAAAGGGATTTTAAAATGAATTAGGTCGACCACAAAACTTTATATAAAAAGAAGACCATCTCATGTATGAAATACTTTAAAATACTAATTCTTATGGAATGTGTCAAGTGGTGTTTTTATAAAAACTTTCCTTTTAAATGACATTTTAATTAGAATTATGATGTTTGTCCTGCAATACAGAACGTGAAGTTGTCTCTTAGTTTTCTTTCGGCCTCTCAAGTTAACTGAAATGATTTAATTCATTGAAACTGATTTCCTCCTATTTGACCTAAATCATGGGTCAGACTGAAGGGAATGCTGCGGCCATAGGTAGGGATTAGATTAGACAGCAGAAAGAACATCCTAACTATAACTACAAGATGCAATCAGTTGGAGGAGATGATGTCATATGCAAAATTCTAGGATTTGGGATACTGAGATTCTTCAAGGTTAATGACCCACATTTTATGAATGGGATCGGTATGCGTCTTTCATGTTTTAAGAAATTATCTTTCTCTCTCTCTCTCTCTCTCCTTCTGCAGTGTCTTTTGGGGGAACTGGAGATGGTAGTGAGGGAGAGTCACAAACAACATTGTTTCAAATATTGGGTTTTTACTGAGCTCATTTTGAAATCATGTTCCTTCTACTATTAAAGTGCAGTTCATTATTCTTAAAACGTTAAATGTTATTTTGTTCATCAGCACGCATATTGTTTTTAGCACTGTTCTATATTGTGATAATATTCACCATATACTGATGATGATTGAGAAACGTTGGCAGCGTATTAAAAAACTTTTAGAGTATTAAAAAAGAGTCATTGGCCTGTGGGCTACTGATTTTATTGAATAGGTTCAGAACCTGTTTACTTTAAAGCATTCCCCTAAATGTTAAGGGTTCACTATGGTGAGACTTGAAAATTAGTGGCTAATTGGAAGATTTCAAAATCCAGTGAAATATCTTGGATCTGGAATATTTGGAGAATAATTAGAAAGAAAAGGAACCAAAATATGCATTTGGTAGTTAAGGAGATTCAGATCGAATCTTTTTGAAGGCCATGTGAACTGGAGTATGGGGACTTCTGTGTGATTTGTGAGCACATTCAATACTAAAGGAAATGCAATCGACTTTGCAAATGACGATTCGAGCACAGAGTGGATAAACTGACAAGACCCTATTACTAAATACCCACTTTGAAATATACATTCTGTTCTTTGTACCTCAGGGGACAAAAAGGGTGCATGCTTGTCAGAAATTTAATCTGTTTTCAATATTTATTTTTATTGGTATCTTCTCTTGGCCACCTATGGAGAGGTGGGCTTGTATCCCAACTACCATGGTGTGCCTGATTGTTCAAGAAATTTCCTAGGAATGCATTTGTAGTTTCACGAAGGCTGTCCATCTTAACAGGGGAAAAACTTCCTTGGCTGGAGTCTCACATTTTAATGAGCTCATTTTGGCATCTCTAGGGTTAAAGATCCTCTCAGAACCTATAGGTACTGGAAAAGGCGGTTTCTAAACTCAGCTGCTCAGGTCCATTTTATTTTTTTCCCCCAGCAAACAGGAAATGGAGCCCTGAAACTTTTTTTTTTTTTCCTAACTGGAAAGTGCGCGGGGAGGGGGCACACTCACCCTGCCCACATCCAACCCTGAGCCTGACCCAGACTTGGGGGTCTCCGTGTGTTTTTTCTTCCCTCTCTTTTTTTCTATTATTTTGGCAGACTTTTTGGAATGTCTGGGAGCTAAGGGCTTTGCTTCATGGAGCAGAATTCTGAAGCAAGAAAAAGAGAAAGTTATAGACTAAACCACAGAAATGTAAACACGTCTGCAGCTAAAATAACTCCACTTTCATTGAAAACACTCCTCCCTCACAATCAGACTTCTGTGTGCTATGGTCAATAAAACTGCATGTTAATAGCGACCAATTAATAGATTATGTTGCTCGGCCTTAAAAGTTGAGGGAGTTTTAATTATTATTTTTCAAATTAAAGGAGTGCTTATTCCCTCCCTTCCCTTGGGGTGGGGGGCGGGGGGAGACTTAGCTTTCTTTCTGGCTGTTTGCTGAAATTCTTGGCTGTTAAAGTTTGGAGAGGGAGGGACATGGGTAGTTTTCACTTGGTCGGAATGGGGAGAGTGTGCAAGAGATCGCTGCGGGACAGGTTCCTAGAGATCGCTCCGGGACGGTCGTGACGGCCCCCGAGGGACATGAGAGAAGAGGAGCGGCGCTCAGGTAAGCTGGATTTTGCGGTCGGAATTCGCGTAGAAACGAAAACTTCTGGAAGGGGCTTAGCCCCGAGCCCCGGAGGCGGACAAGCTGAGCCTCCTGGCTGCACCCTTTGGAGGCTGCTGGTTGCAGACGCCGTCGTCTCCCAAGGGCGGCTGTCACCGCGTGCGTCGGTCAGACCAGGCCGCGGTGCCCTCGGCATCCCCGCGTCCCGGCGGCTGTATCCGGCTCCTCCCCACGACCGAGGTCCCGGGCACCGCGCCTCTCCCTCCGGACGCTCTGCGCGACGTCGTCCCAGTTCTCATCAGCATCGAGGGCAGTCCGCGGTCATTTTATAAACGTCTTAGTGTCGCAACCGTTTTCACTTTTACTATTTTCAATGTTTGCAACGGTTTTCAATGAGGCTGGAAAAATATCACTTCTCGCTAAAAGCGACCCCGAGTTAGGAGGAGCGCGCACCCCCGCGGCTCCCCCTCCCACACTTTCCCTCCCCTGACCCCCTCTCCTCCCCTCTGGTCCTTCCCTTGCTCCTCGCCCCTCCAGTAGTCGCGTGCTGGGTTCCTTTCCTGCTGGGGCCGGACTCTCTCCTCCGGCCGTCCCAGCCTCTGCTCCTCCGCCTCCCTCCTCCTCTTCCTCCTCCTCCGCCTCCTCCTCTTCCTCCTCCTCTTCCTCCCGGAGCCGCCAGCCGCGTCCTAAACCCGAGCAGGGCGCGTAGTGTCCAAACCTGCCCGCGCGGCCCGCGCTCTTGGCCCCGAGGGCGCGCGCACGGACACGCGAGCACACCCACACCCACGCGCACACGGACACGCGCGCACTCGAAGACTCCCGCGCGCTCGCACCCACGCGCACCTGGCCACGCGCGTGCATTCCCGCCCACGCGTCCCTGCCCCGCCCCCGGCGCGCACTCCGGGTTCGCAAGTCGCGCGTCGGGGCGGCCGCCCTGCTCCGCGATTGGCGGGAGCCGGAGCCTCCCTGAACCCGGCGCCCACACCATGGGCTGAGCCCGTCGGCGCCGAGGGAGTTAGTGCGACCCGGCTCGGCGCGCACGGCCAAGGCACGCGCGCTGGCACACGCGGGCGCGGACACGCGCGGACACACACGTGCGGGACACGCCCTCCCCCGACGGCGGCGCTAACCTCTCGGTAAGTCCAGCGCCCCACGCGACCTGCCCGGCTCCCACGCTGGCTACAGCGGCTGCGGGGACGGGGAGGAAGGCAGCGGGGTGGCCCTAGGGGCTCACTCTGCAGGGCTCTTCCGACGGCGCCGGGACAGGTGGGGCGTCCAGCGCCGGGAGGGACGGCTCGCCAGTGCGGGGTCCCAGGGAGGCGCGTGCAGTCGGGTGCGGATGGAGAGGAGGGGGCACCCCGAAATTGACAAGGGCCAGGAGAGCACACCGCGGGGACTTCATCTGGGGCCCCGACCAAGAGGTTATTTGTCCTTGTCTGGAGTGGAAATCAGGGTTGAACTAAAAAAGCTGACGCTTGGCCTAAAGTAGGGACCAGGTTTGAGGCTGGGTTGTCACTGTCCGCTGGGTCCTGATGGTGGAATGACCCCCGACGGCGCCTTCCCGCACACCCCGCAACACCGGCTCTGGGACCAGCTCTCAGCGCCAGGAGCGGTCCCTTTCCTTTCCCACTCTCAGTCTCAGTCTTTTCACCTTTCCATTCTTCAGCCTGCAGCTGTTAAGTTTATTTGCCTCCAGTTTACCACCCTAATTGCAAAACTTGGCATGTTAAAAAAAATATAGTCTGTATTTTATCAGCTAGCCTTACCTGGTTTCTGTCTGAAATACATCGTCCGTTTATTGCTATGGTATGTTGCATAGATGCATAGAGGCATTAATTATCTTTTAAGTACAGGACAAATTCTGTTATTAATAGCAGACTACACTGCGCAATAAAATGGATAAACAATTTCAATGAGGATGTGGATTTAATACAACTCATCGTTAATCTAAAGATAGTTTCCTTTATCTTTCAAAATAACATATTCGTATGTGCTACAGGTTTCACTCTGTACATGTCTCTATAGCTTTTGTAGTTCAGAAAACTTTCAATGTGAGTAAAAATACATTTTATTCTTCCCTGGGTGACATACATAGGACACAGAGTTTATTTACCTTTGGGACTATTTTTGACTGTTTTCCATTCTCTCCAAGTAGTTTAGAGCCCCTGAAGGGAGAACTGTCACAGTCCCAAAGTTAACCCTTGCTCCGCTGGCATTGGCTGGTGCCCGCTCCCGGGGCAGGCCAGAGCTCATAGCCTTCATCCACAGGAGGATCAGGCAACAGACGTTGCGAAGAACCCAACCATGTAAATTAATTCACCATGTGTCAAATTATTAATAAGCTAATTACACCATTGAAATTATAATTCTAGCAGAAACGGTGAGCTATGTAAACTTGTGGCTAATATATCAAGTTTTACAATTCTCAAGAAAGGCTTTAGAAGAGCTACACACATCACAAATGCTATTTGCCATTTGGTAATCCTAGCTTCGGTTTGGGTCAATGGCTTTTGGAAAGTACACTGAATTAGCAAATGGGTAATCCGTCTCAAGATATTTGTTAAGGAATATATAATTCCAGTAGCACTTATAATTCCAGTTTCTTCTCTTTTGTAACATTTTATAATTACTTCATTCTATTTAAAAAAATTTAGAGTAGAATTGTAGTACATGATTTCACGTTTATCTGTTATTTCATGAGGAATTATTGGTGATTTAATCTTTAGCTAAAATTTAGAAAATTAGCATTTACCATTGAAGGGATTGTGTGAGGGGCTGCATTCACACCTGTATATAAACATTCCCCCCTCCACGTTCCACGTTTTGCTTTTATATTAAAGAAAAACCTTGTTGAGTTTTTAATCTTATAAAATCAGATATTTTATTTGTGGTAAGACCTAAGATCCCAATGGAATACCAGATACATAAGTAAGAAGGAAAGCATCTCTGAAAGACGTCAGAAGGAATGTGTAACTCACATACTATTCTACAATGTTATACGTTATGTATCTTTTAAATGCATCTCACATTGTAAGTAGGGTAATAGGAAACTTTCAACACTTTTTTTTTCTAAAAGTAATATTAGTTTTTATTTTTATCTTGCTATCTTTAAACAAAAAAGAAATAAAAGGGGGAATTTATTTCTTCTCAAAACAGAAGAGCTAATGTTTCTGGAATCGTTTCCTATTCCCAGGCAAAAACCGATAGCAAGTCAGTCCCGGTCATAGGATCTGGAGTGGTGGGAAGACATTGTCATAGTGAATAAATGTCTGATGCCTGTTATTTCATAGAACTCCATTGAGAAGGTGTCGACACAGAGCCACCTACGTTTCTAATGAGACTTATGGAGCCTGGGAAGCAGTTTGGTCAAGGTGGCAAAATCCCAGCTCTGTGAGGCATCAGGTCACTTCTCAGTTTAAGTTGACAGCTGATCTCTCTGAATGCAGGTCTCTTTTTGTCACCTCTTTGCTTCTTTACCCCTTGCGTCTGAGCAGTTTTCCAGAGAGCAGGAGTATGGCAAAGGAGTTCTTTTTTCCTTCCCCAGTGTGTAAGGTTACTTGGGCTTTCCCAGGGAGCATGGTCCTTCACAATACAGCTATTGTTTAATGTTCTACACCTTGAATTTGAACCTTAGCAGCAACATTTGTAAGAAAAATAGGCTGATGTAACAGGGACGTTCAGATCTTTGGGGCACAGTTTCCGATGATTATGGTACTTAGTGGCAGTGGTGTGAGTAGGGCTTTTTGAAAACTCTGAAAATCACTGCGGTATTTGGGGATGCTCATGCTTGGCAGTGACCAGCCACCCCTCCATATTGTTGCTGTTCCTTGCATGATAGCATTCTCCCTGGTATTTCCCACACTCTTATTAGGGGTCAGTTAATTAGTTGTCCATTATGCATTGTCAGTGTACGGACCTCTCACAATGATTGATTGAAAGCAGTTATTTTGTAAATAAACAACAGCGGGAGTTTTCCAATGGCTTTTCCAATGGCTGGGCTGTCACCCAAACCAGTTCTTCAACATAGCTAAAAAAGTTAAAAGTTAAAGTTAAAAGGGGCATCTTTCCCTTTTAACTTTATCTTTTATTTAAAACATTTTCATATTAGAAAGAGGCTTGAATGCTTCATGTTTGTAACATTGCAAAGTCTAGTGAAGGTAGTGAAGGAGGGTGAGCTAAAATTACTTTGCTAAATTTAAGTATAAGTAAAATGTAGACAAAACCAAGAAATTAAAGGGTGCATCTAAAAATGGAGCGCTGGATCTAAGTTTTAGATTTAAACTAACTTTTAAGTTCTCCTATTTTTAGGGTCGCATGTCATAATCTGGGAGACCCTGATTGCGTATGAGAAACAGTAATTTTACAATGAAAGTAAGGGGTTTGGCTATCTTGACTCAGTGCGTGTTCAGGAGAATGTGCAAAGGAAGTTTCATTATGTGACTCTGTCCTATTCAGAATGGCTATATGAGACAATGGAAATATCCTTCAAGTATGTAAAATAGGCCATTTGAATTAATTTATCACCTCTTTTTTTTTGTTATTATCCCAGAGAAATAGACATCAGATGTGATCTGGGACAAATCTTTAGTGTGTCTAAAGGTTTTTAAAACCTAGATTTGTAGTTGCTTCCTTTTAAAGCCTAACCTATGATTTTGAATTGTTTTAGTGGGAATGAGATTTTTGTACCTGCTTTTGTCTTATATGTGCTCCCTTTTAAGGATAACATTATTGCAGTAATTATTACCCCTGCAAAACATACTCGGGGGGGAAAAGCTGTCTCTCTAGGAAATAGGAAAGAAAACAGGCATATATAGAATGACTTTTAAAAAATAGGAAACCCTTATTTTCACTTGATGTCAGCATTCAGCAAAAGTTCCCACATGTTCATTTGAAAGTGTAGAAATGCATTTGAACCTCAGTTTTGAGAGTAGGGGAGCAAAGGAGCGAAGCCTTATTTAGTGAAGTACTATCGTCCTATTTCCATTAAGTGATTCTCTGTTATTGGTAGAAAGATTAATTTTCTCTCTAACTGGGTGGAAAGAGTGGCTATGCATTCTTGGGGCTCACTAAAGTACTTAAAGTTGGAAAGTAAAAGAAAGACTAAATTGGAGCGTGCACATTTTTCTGCACGCCTGGCAGGGAGGTTTGTGTGACTATCTTAAGGAAATATTAGCTTGTGCACCGTCAGAAGCTGCATCCTGGAATCAGATTAGCTGGTGTTGTGAATCTCCATCTGAACTAAGATGGACAGTAAGAGAATCCCAATATCTTAGTAAATCTGTTACTTACCTATTGCCTTAGTTTAATAAATTGATTGAAATTGGCAATGGGAACGTGCTGTTCCTTCTTGGTCTACAGATGTGAGTTCCTGAAATCCAGGCAGCCCTTGATGTCTCGATGGCCCAATGACATGGGACAAGCTCTGCAGTGTCCTTTCATGGGTCCTGTCACTGGAGCTTTCCATCTGTAGGGGCTGCTGCCAGCTTTGGAGCCTGAACCTCTCTGCCCTCCCTGGAACCCCCCTCCAGCCAGAAACCCCTTTGTAATATTCCTCTCTTTCTTCCACAGACCCTTGCCTGCTGCTGGGGCCTCTGCAGGGGCAGTGGTTTCTCATCACGTGTGGGTTGGCGGGGGGCGCGGTGAAGAGTAGGGGAGGGAGAGAGCCCTGGCCTCTGGGGACCTTAAAACTGTATTTCATGGAAAGCCTGTTTTCCAAGGCAGGCAGATTCTGCAGTACTACCTGCAATTCCTCCCATTTGGCCTGTTCACCAAATAATTTGAGGGGGCAGAGCTGGGTACCAGCCTTTACTTAGAGCTGTGCTTCTGTTGAAAAGTGGGGCCCAAGTTTGTATTAACTAATCTGGGAACTGGATGCTGAGGTAGAGTCTGTTGGTCATGTTGTTGTCCCCCAAAACTTCACTTCTTAAAACCATGACAGTTTCATGGTTACAGTGACAGTGCTGCTTACATTTTAAAAATCCACACTCAAGCCTCAATAAGCCTGAAGGGAATTTGGCCTGATTAAATGGTTCTTTTTAGTTGTTCGTAGTCAGATGTCACCCCTCACACACAATTAATTTGTTCGGAGCCAAGTGCGTTCCACACACATTGCTAAAGGGTGAGAAGAGGGGATAGCAGGTGAATCTCCTAGCAATCAAGCTAATTATCCATTTGCAATGTATGGTGGGAGATGCTGAATGCTAGTGCAATGCTAGCATTGCATTGTGTTCTTAAAATGAGGACTCTTGGGAGAATTGGGAAGCTTAGGCACAGGCAAAGCAGGAATTTCAGAAACACGGGATACCTCCCTGGACCCACCTCTGTGTGCAATGAAGGCTTGGAATTCTGCTTGACATGAGAGTGAACGGGGGTCTCAGGGTTCAGAGGAAGGACTGAAAGAAGCTATTATGAGGGCCCTGTGGGAGGAAGAGGGGGTGACTGTGGCACTACTTAGGAAGGGGAAACTTTAGACCTCAGCACTGAAGAAGGTGCATTTCAGGATTTTTGCATGGGAAATGCAGAGATCTAAGCAGAGTATAAATAATAAGTGAAGGATGTACTAGCAAAATGAAATGTTTTGAAACAGAAACCACTCACATTTACAATCTCAACATAAAACTTTTTAATTAAATGTATCAGAAAGCTGAGATTTCTTTTATTAGGAAATGAGGTAAAAACATTTTGAAAAGAAACCAAGTGCTAATTGAGAAACATTCTAAGATTTCATATGTTGAATGGATTCTCATTAAAATTATACCCAACCTCACAAAGCTGATGTGAGCCTGCTGCCAGATTTACAAATCTGGGTCTATAATTGCACAAAGTTTAAACTTGCCTTGTGCAAGGCTTGCTTTTTCTGCAGTTCAAGATACAGCAGCAAGAGGACAGAATAAGCAAAAGTGGAGGAAAAATTTGCTTCTTCAGTATTGAAAAGTACTTTCTAGTCTATTTGACCCCGACAGTAAAACTTACTTCACTACAGAGTTTTAAAATAGAAATAATGACAGTAAAAATCAAATCTAGGGAGTCTTCTGGAGAAGAGATGTTAGATCAGCATATTATTAGTATTTATCCCAAATTCTGAAACCTTACCTAAAGGCCCTGCCATTAGAACAGAGAGGGATATTATTGATTACTACTTGAGGTATCAAAGTAAAAGGATTTTATTTATGTATTTATTTATTTAGAGATGGAGCCTTGCTCTGTTGCCCAGGCTGGAGTGCAATGGCACATTCTTGGCTCACTGCAGCCTCCACCGCCTGGGTGCAAATGATTCTCCTGCCTCAGCCTCCCGAGTAGCTGGGATTACAGGCACCTGCCAACAGGCCTGGGTAATTTTTGTAGTAGAGACAGGATTTCGCCACATTGGCCAGGCTGGTCTCAAACTCCTGACCTCAGGTGATCTGCCCGCCTCGTCCTTCCAAAGTGCTGGGATTACAGGCGTGAGCCACTGCGCCCAGCCAGTAAAAGGATTTTATAGATGAAATAGTATCAGTTCTGAAGATCGAATATCTCTTAATGAAACTGAATATATTTTTACAGTTTTCTAAGGCTTGTAAATATAAGTGATTAGACAGAATGTCCCACAAGGGCAGTTTCTTCTAAGTACCCCATAGCCAAATTGTAAAACCAAAGGTAAGTCAATAAAATCATTTCATAAGTATGTGTAACCCACAGTAAGGGCTGTATTTGTTTGTACATTACGAGCACATTTGTAAATGCATTTAGCATCAATATAAACTTTTTCTTTGCAAAATTAAGCATTACATTGTATTAATTGTTCTTTATGGGTCTTAAGCAACGTGAAAATACATTTCTTAATTAAAATATATTGAGCATCTATTAAATGAGAGCACTGTCCCAAACAAGAGGTGGGAGCATAAGTCATACAGGGACTGTTAAGACACGGGACACGTCTAGAGATTAGACGAACAACTGCAAATTTAGTGGGAGAAGCCAGAACATTCCGCTATGGAGCCCGCCTATCCACCTGTCTGTCTGACTGCAGCAATTAGTGGCATGCTTGAATTTTTCTCTCTTCCATGAGTTGTGTTAACAGGTAAACAAAACTACCACCCTTTTTACTTTAAATAGCTAAGTTTAGCTGAAGAGAGGAGCATCCCCTCTTGCAAGGACACTCTAAATGCGGTGTCCTTAGGATAAATACCTACAGGTGGAAATTAATACAGGACAAGTGGAATGCCTGAGAATTCAGGGAATGCTGAGTAGGCAGAGATCAGCGGGCAGTCAGATTTGACTCAAGGTGAGAAGATACAGGACTCCATCCACAGAGGGGGTGCTCCGGATCCTGGGAAAGGCACGTGCAAAGGAAGGGAGGCTAGAAGCTACAGACTGTGTGGTGGAAGGCAAGCTGTCCATTTAGTCCATGTTTTTGCCTTATGTTCTGTGTAAGACTTCATGCAAGACACTATGCAGAAGACTTGCACAGTGCCTTCAGGGAGGCAAAATCCAGAAAGAGGATGAATCCGCATGCTATGGAATCTAGAAAGGGAGGTGAGCAAGAATGCCATGGAATTGGGGCAGACATTCACACCACAGAGTCTAGAAAGGAGGGGAACATTCACATCGTGGAATCTAGAAAGTGGGCGAATGTGCATGCCGTGGAATCTAGAATCTAGGCGGTGAATGCGAATGCCGTGCAATCTGGAAAGTGGGTGAACATACTTGCCATAGAATCTAGAAAAGGGGTGAATGCTTGTGTCATGAAATCTAGAACGGGGGTGAATGTGCACATCATGAAATCTCGAAGGAGATGAGTTCACACACCAACAAGAGTGGCATCCTCAGTGGGACCACCTGGTTGAACTGGGCCAGCATGGCAGTGAACAGGGCTCTAGACTGTATGGCAATGGAGGAGATGTTCCCGAGCAGGGAGACAGCCTCGTGCAATACACTGGGTTTGCTGTAGGGCCGTTCTTGGGCATGCTTGCTATCACACAGGTCCTTCTTTCTTATGGAATCATTGGAGGATTTCATTTTTAGCCTTAGCATCAGGAGTCATTGTCTGAGCATTTGGTTGGATTTCATTATTTGGAGACGTGTGAATGACCCAACTCCAGCAGATATGTGAGACCCTGAGGCCTGCCTGGCGGGCCATTGCATTCCTAGCTCGAGTTTATGTTCTTACCCTTGTTTCTCTTTAGCTTCATCTTTATTTTTTATTTTGCTTCTGAATTTTAAACAACCTTGTCATATTGCATATATCCTTGTAGACCACTTTGAGTCCCTTTTTGGGAACAAGGTAGAGTATAAATAACATAAAATAGAATCATGCAATCCAAAAGCAATCTACACCATTCCATAGGAAGATCAGAGGATCAGAGCATGCTACCCGGAGGCTGAGGCCCTTGAGCTGTGCCATGGCGTGTTGGATCTGGATTGGCGGGAATGGTAGAGATAGCAGTGGGCGGGAGGGTGGAGGAGTCAGGCCTGCTGGTGTGTTTGGAGGGTGGAAGTGTTACCTGGGAGTGGGTCACACAGTGTGGAAACTGACCAAATCCTCTGGAGTGTTGGAGGGATCAGACCAGACACCTACTTCAATATCTCAGGTGTAAAGTTAAGAGGTAGGGAAGAAAGCAGTCTTACATAAGGGAAGGGAGAGGTGTGATGTTGTGGAAGGTGGCAGGTGACATTCACTCACCAGATGGTATAGCCACAGGAGACACTTTGCCAGGACTGTCTTCACTGTGGCTCTTTGCAGGAGGTGCTCTAATTGTCCTCATTTTCCAGAATAGCAGTGAGGCTCAGGAGTGCTGAGCACCTTGCCTGGAGTCACACAGTAGTGGGAACCAGGGCAGCATCAGAACCAGGCAGGCGGATGCTGAGATCCACCCATGGGACTCTGCTGTGTGTAGTTATCTTGGTCAGAGTGGCGGGCCTGTTATGGAAGTGACCGGAAGGGAGCGAGTGACGTGGAGGCAGAGTCCGTGTAAGGTCCTGGCAGTGCTGGGCAAAGGAAATAGAACATGAACTTCAAGGGTAGTTTTAAATCTTCCAGTAGCCAAATTAAAAAAGACAGGGACAGGTGGAATTAATTTTAATAATGTAATTTATGTAACACATGCTGAAAATACTACCATTTCAAATGTAATCAGTGTAAAATATGGATGAGATATTTGACTTTATTTTTTTTCTATATGAAATCTTCAAAATCCATTGTGTAGTGTATATTTACAGCACGTCTCCATCTGGGCTGGTCACATTTCAAGGGCTCCATAGTCACATGTGGCTAGTGGCCACCATGCCGAATAGTGCAGGTCTAGAATGTTTAGCTTAGGAATTCAAATTTAATATAATGAGCAACCGCAACATCTATTATGTCTCTTGGCCACAGGAGTAGAAGTTTTGTGACCTTATGTCACTAAGGAACCAGATATGATAGCAATAGAAAATTGAATGCCAGCGTGACATGTTCGGTACTAGATCTGCAGTTTTTACATTGGAGGGAAAAATGTATGTATAATTTCCTGTTGAGTCACTTCATGCTTTTAAAGGGTAAAATAAAATACTGAATTTCAGGCCAAAACTCTGTGTGCCAGCTAACAAATAGTGCGGCTTTTGCCGGAATCATGCTGCGACAACTCCAGGCATAAAAATGCTATTTGAATATCCTCTATTTAAAGATAATTCCAGCTTGATGACAAATTTCTTATTTTGCATGTTTCTTGAGAATAATACAATTGATTATTTTGAAGAACGGCATTCTTAAAGTGCTAGAATCCCAGAGGAAGAAAGCACATCAACTAAATGTATTGCTATAGAATTAACCTTTACAAGGACATATTCACACTATTTGATCATGACAGGTTGCACATAACACAGGCTTTTCCCTTCGTTTGTGATACTGAAGCTTATGGAAAAGTCTTCTGAAGTCAATCCACAGTGCTTACATGCCATTTGTTATTATCAGTGTGCTATATGTGTACTATACGTGATGCGTCATTGAGTAACCTTCTACCCTTTTAACTATGCCACTCTTTTTTTTTTAATTTTTATTTCTTGAGACAGAGTCTTGCTCTGTTGCGCAGGCTGGAGTGCAGTGGTGCGATCTTGGCTCACTGCAACGTCCGCCTCCTGGGTTCAAGCGATTCTTGTGCTTCAGCCTCCTGAGTAGCAGGGACTACAGGTGCACACCACCATACCCGGCTAATTTTTTGTATTGTTAGTAGAGACAGGGTTTCGCCATGTTGCCCAGGCTGGTCTGGAACTCATGAGTTCAGGCAGTCCTCCTGCCTCAGCCTCCCAAAGTGTTGGGATTACAGGCTGAGCCACCGTGCCCAGCCTATGCTACTCTTAAAGTTAAGATTTCATTTAATTTTTTGTGCAAAGTAAGAAACTTCACTAGCAGATTCTTACTCATTCACATTTTCCTGAATAAGAAATTTGTTTTTAGTTCCAGTAGCTGGTCTCTAGGCAAATTTCTCGTCTGTGGTTCTTTGTAGATAAGTTTGTTTTCATTATCGCTAGTGCATAATAAGGGAATTTCACTCTTTTTATTTTGGTTTATTTTTCCCAGTGGGCAGTGCTTACTGTAAAAATAAAACAAAAACTGCTAAATAAAATAAGTGTGGCTTCTCTAGACTCTAATCACCATATTGAATTTTACACCTAAGGCAGCACAATTATTGGTAACCAAACAGTGAAGGAGAAGGAATATTGTGGTTTATTAAAACACCCAACCATACCCAAAACCTCTGACCAAGGAGCATGACTGTGTGTTCTCGCGTCTAGCATTATACGTCTCTGGTGTGTAGCGATGCTTCATTGTAGGGTCACGTAAGGACAAATGGAGAAGCAAGACTTTATCTTGTGTACTGCAGGCTCCCCAGCTTTCAAACGTAGGCAATGAGTTGGATTTTGTAGTTGAATCTTGTTTCGTCCTATAAGGAACGTGGGCCACTAGGTGTGAGCCCTTTAGGGGTAACTGAAATTCTATTCCAAGGCCTCCTGCATGTCCACTTGATGCCGTAAGCTGCATTCAAGCATTGCAGTTTCGTATCAGAGTACAAATTTAATTTAAAGTCTAAATTATATTTGAGCAGTCTGAAGCACATTAAGGCTTCTTAAATAATTCACTTGAGGTTACGTTCAGTGAACATGTGTAAATATGAGAACGTGCGAGGCAAGTGGTCTAAACACACAATGAATACGAGACCACATTGATGTAAGCCACAAGTGCTTAAAATCTTGTCGGAAAAAGCGTGTCATCCCCGGTAACCAGAACGTTTGACTGGCCATGTGGCTCGCAGGGAAGGGTTGGTGTCCAGGTGCCTCTGTGCTTGGTCCTTGCAGTTTGCCACATCATCAAGGGAGACCTTTGAGAGAAACGCTACGTCATCAGCTCATGGGTGTGGCTCTCAGCTGCAGCGCCACAGGGGAGACAGAAGCCCCCTGGGTGCTGCCTGCCGCAGCCCTCGGTGATGCCAAAACAGCCGTTTCCCATCAGCTTCTCAGGTTGGGTATCTGCGGGTGCGAAATGGCTGAAATGTACTCTTGGAAACTGTTGTGTTTAGTTAAACTTGGATTAATGAGAACCATCGAGTTTATTTTTTCCTTTGGGCTGAACAGTTTTCATATGTTATAGAGATGTGTGGGTGGATTCAGGGGCATGACAAGTGACTCCCAGTAGAGTCAGCTCATGAAGGCATCTAAGCATCGCTGAGCAATGCCCCTTCCTCACTGTCTCTGAGCTTCTAGACCTTCCTCCTGGGCACGTCCTTCCTTAAGTGTTTGGACTCACAGTTCTGAAGTGTCGTCGTTAGTGAGGTTTCTCCTGCAGTCAACACACCCAGGGACTAAAAGAAACAAGCCAGCGAGTCCAATGAAATCAGGCTGCAGATCTGAAGTGCTTTTGGAATATCCTGCCCCTGCTTTCTGTCCTCTGTCTGGTTTTCATGGAAATTTGTGTCTGGGAATGAGGGGGAATCGGAGTGGATTTGCTGGAGGCAGGTGCCTGTGTTCTTTGGCCCTTGCCATTAGGAGTCAGGACCAAGGAACCTCGGAGGAGGTGGAGGAGGAGGCAGAGGCCGTGGGAGATGCGATGAGCACGGTGCAATCTTTATAAGACAGTAGGGATTTCCACAGACTTCCTGATTTTTGAAAATTATTCATAAGCCTGCCCTCATCTGGGATTTTCAGGACAGAAAACATACCCCATTTACTGTCCACGCTCCATAAATTACCCTTTCAGATTGTTGCAAAGTTATTTTTTGCATTCTGTAATGCTGGCATACGTAAGCTCTGTGATTGTGAGTAAAATGCCTCCATTTCTTTCTCCAGCAAGGATCAGGACGGCACTGGTCAGGACAACATGCGGTAGCATCGCGGCCCCATTTGAAATACAGGCTACTTCTCCAAAAGGTTGGGAATAAATGCTGGCCCAACCCTGATTTAAAAAGATTAAGGAAGAAATGGAAATGAGGATCAGAATTAGTTACGTTTGCACTGGCAAAGGAAGCGAGATTAAATACTTGCTTTCAGTCTTTGCTCCAAGCAAGTAAAAAATTTAAAAAAAAGAATTGCATATTACATATTTGGGAAAGTTAAATGCATGCTTCCTTTCTGGAATGCACAAGCCTATTTGTAATGGGCTTTGCAAGGCAAAGATTGCTGCATTGGACACTTAACATGAAATAAGATGTCCTGAGAAATCTTTAGTTCATAGACATTAAAAAATAAGTTGCTGTTTTAAATAAACATAATCATCTGCTTCATCTGTGTCAGAGTGCCGAGTCTTTATTTCTTTCCTTTTTATTTTTTGCTTTTTCAGTGGTTTTATTTCTTGTGCTTTAATACCCATTGGCTTCTAAAATAGGAGGTGACGTGTATGTGACTTGTTAAAGAGTGAATGAGTGTAACATAACCCTTTCAATTCCCAACTTAGAGAAATCATTTTGGGGATACCTTAAGCATATCAGAATAAAAGAAAACTTAGTATTTCTGTGTCACCTGAGGCACTGGTGCCAAAACCAGCAAGAAGTAGTGACATTTTGTAATGTAGTTACATTTAGGCTTAAATTAGTGTTTTTCAACCTTTTTTTTCATGACCAACCTCCTGTTTTCATGATCAACCTCCTAAAAAGCATTTTCTGATTTTTTTTCCTAATTGTCCCTCCTCACATGAAAATTTAATACCACAGATATACTGTTTTAGTACTTTGCATTATACATATACGTATGTCTACATTTAGGTATATCTGTGCTTTATACAGAAAAGGAATAAGACGTTTTTCATCCTTCAAGAACTAATTTTAGCCTCCTTGAGGATGCATGGCTTAAATACGAAATGCCAATACTTGACTTTGCAAAGTATTCTGTTTAGGAAAAAAGACGGTGGATGCCCGTACGTGACCTTAGAAAGGACTGAAGGTGGTGAGGAGATTCAAAGTAAGCAAGGACTGGGACACCAGGGAATGATGTTCTGTTGGTTGTCGTCCTTGTTTAGAACGTGGCCTGAAAACTGATAATGAGAAAACAAAAGATGGATGACAGCTCCCCTTTGTATTGTTCAAGCACCATTAAACATGCCGAATCGCTGACCACATGTTTTCCACGTATGAGAAGGTGACACGGTACTTATCAAAGTTATGAGTGGACAAAAGCAGAAGGTTGCAAAAACCAGTAGCCTAGAGAGAGCAAGGCGGCATGGAGGCTGGCAGCCACCGGTGAGCTGATGGGAGAGGCTGCCTTTATGAACTTCTGGACCTGAGCACGCAGCCTTTTCCCTGCACGCTTTGGATGTAACAGTGCAGGTCATGTGGCGGGACTGACGTGCAGCAGCTGGATCACATTGACTCTGATCTTTCCCCTCCAGTAAAAATGGAAATGTAATAAAACAAACAACAACAACAAAGATGCTGAGCTTACCCCAAAACTCAATCAGAAGAGAAAAACACCTGGGCCATTGTCAAGAGAAACAAAACTGGGCCGGTATGAACATGATCAGCGAATAGTATTTCCATTAAAAGGCAACTGACTCAGAGATGGAGGGTGAGTGTTCTGTGAGGCAGAGCTGAATAACCCACCCACGCCCTGTAGCTGACAGGATCACTTAAGCAGAGTTACTAGAAATGACCCAGTGATACTGAAAACAGGAAAAAGTACATGAAGGGAAAAGCAGATTCTTAGGAAGGGAAAGAAGTGTGTGAAACCAGAGCAGATCGGTCAGAATCTAACATTCTGTTTGAGTCTCTCCTCATCACCTGCAGTCCTAACAAATCCTCCACTTCTCATCTTCAAGTGAGTAATGGTATGGCAATGCCCTGTCTTCTAGGAGAGATTAAATGGTAAAGGATGTTACCATGAGTGCAGAAGCGACTGTTTTGTTTTTGTTTGTTTTGCTTTTTTTTTTTTTTTTTTAGACAGAGACTCCCTCTGTCACCCAGGCTGGAGTGCAGTGGTGCCATCTTTGCTCACTGCAGCCTCCATCTTCCGGGTTCAAGCAATTCTTGTGCCGCAGTCTCCCAAGTAGGTGGGATTACAGGTGCATTTCACCATACCCAGCTGATTTTTTAATATTTTTAGTAGAGACAGGGTTTCGTCCTGTTGGCTAGGCTGGTCTCGAACTCCTGACCTCAAGTGATCCGCCCTCCTTGGCCTCTCAGAGTGTTGGGATTACAGGCGTGAGCCACCACACCCAGTCAAGACTAGGTTTCTAAGAGAATGGTTGCATCCAACTCAGAATGTGGGAAGTGTGGTGATGCTTTGTGCTGGTCGACGTCTTCCTGGGCCATCACTAGAGTATATGCTTCTATCTGGGGGCTGAGATCAGAGTGGTACCTGCATTAAACATCAACAAGTCGGCTATACAGAGCCCAGCTGTGCCTTTTGCTTATTGCTTTCTGGGCCTGTATTTGGAATGTAAAAGGGACATACATTTTCACTGATGCTTTTTGTCTTTGTTGTCTATGTTTTAAGTGGTGTTTAAATTCAAGCAAATACTGTTTAGTTGTAAAAGCTCACTCTTTCTCAAGTCTTTCCTCCCTTCTGTTTTTCCAAATTGTCTCTTTTGAATCATCTTACAGATAGAGTTAGTTTGAGTCAGTGGTGATCCACACATTGAATTTGGAGCCCAAGCCGCAGAACTGACCAAGTGCTTGTCATGGTCACGTGGAACCCAGATCTGAAGTCTGTGAATTCTTGCCCTTAAAAATCACTAAAAATACCTCTTTGAAATATGACTCGTTTCACAGTGGATTCCACAGTAGCAAAATCACATTGTGGTTTATTTGGTAGCAGGGTCAGATGAGATGATACATTGCAATGTATGCCTACACTCTTATGTATATGAAACCTATTTATATTACAAGCCATATATTTGTTTCTCTATAGCCATAGTTCACACTTAGGTTTTTCTTGCCTTTTCTGGGTAATTCCCTTTGAGCTTAGTAATTGGGGCCGTTAACTGTACAACAGTGTAGGAATTTATTATTTACTTATTTTTAAGGGTTTAAAATTTTTAAAATCGTTTATTTTTTTCTGAGACAGAGTCTCATTCTGTCACTGAGGCTGGAGTGTAGTGGTGTGACCACAGCTCACTGCAGCCTCCATCTCCCACACTCAAATGATCCTCCCACATCAGCCTCCCAAGTAGCTGGGACTACAAGTGCATGCTGCCATGCCCGGCTAAGTTTTAAAATATTTTTGTAGAGATGGGGTCTCGCTGTGTTGCCCAGGCTGCTCTCTAACTCCTGGGCTCAAGAGATGCTCCCTCCTTGGCCCCTCAAAATGCTAGGATTACAGGCATCAGCTGCCCAGTGTAGGATTCTAGAAACATTAATGATCCTTACCACCTGGGGTCAATGATGGCATGAAGATCACATCTGTATTCAGAAAAAGTGAATATCAAATACATGTTATTTCTAGGCCATTTCAGAGTTGTTTCACTGCTTGGCTCAATTTTAATATGATTTTTGTATGGCAATTTTTTCCCCCAAAATATTTAATTGATATAATCCTGATAAATAATCTTGTAAATATTGTGATAACCTTGTCTTAATAGAATTCAGCCTAAGTTAGTTCTTCCTTGGACTACATTGAAAGGAATCCAGGGAAGACCCCTGTCATACCAAATTTCACCCTTTGCTAATTCTCTAGGTAGAAAAAGACTGTGTTATACGTTGATCTCCTTATAAGGTGTTTCTACAGACCAAGATGTCTGCAGGCAATGTTTGGGAAGGCTCTTGTTTGCTAAGAAATCACACCCAAATGGAAACCTTCAGAAAACAAGTGGAAGCCAGGAAAAGTGTCCATCACTGGAAAGTTGAAATCTCCTTTAAGAAAATCAATTTATTAAAAGGAAAATGTCTTCCCATCTTGTTATAGTATGTTATAATATATCGAAAGTTCTTTTAAAAGGGATTCTTCTACTTAGTAACAATATCATCATGGTGGTTTGCAGACAGAATGTCATGCTACTAAATGGTGCCGCCTCTTCCATTGGATTTCAGAAGCCAGTGGCTGCCCTGCTCTGCACTTCTTCCTCTTCCTGGCTTGACCTCAATTCAGACCTGTGTGTCCTTCTGCACAGTAGGTCCCAGGCTACCACCTGGAGAGGGGAAAAAGTGGCTATGAAGGCCTCTAGGAAAAAAAGCCAACTCCACTAAAGTTTGTTGAGAGGGTGAGAAAGAAAGGAGGGGAGAGGGTGAGCAGAGGGGACTGTCCCTTGGGACCCCAGCTTCCCAAGTTCTGGCAGTGGATGGTGTCTGTGGGCACTTGGTTTTCAGTTACTCACTGCCTGGACAGTGTGTGTTCTTCCTGCCCCACGTGGCCAGCCAACATATGGCTCAAGCCCACAGTTCTTATTTTCCTGTGTTTACTTGAAATCTCTCTGAGCACGTGGAATTTACAGAAACATGCACTTCAATTATCCTTTACATTGACCCAAAATGGTACTGAGGAAATTTTCCAGTGGCCCTGCTAACCCTGAAAATGGCAACAGACAGGTGCAGACCGATGCATTCCCGGTGGGGCGGAATCCTCTTTGCAGCTTGTGAGTGTTGCCCCTGTGGTTTGGAAATACAGGGGAGGACTGAATTGAATGAGTTCTTTTGTTTTGCGGAACACCTGAGTTTGTGTGTGTAGCTTGAAGACCCATTCTACCACAAGAAACAAATTTGCCTCTTAAATAAAAGGAACAGGAAATAGCATGTTGTTGGCTTTGGTGTGCATCAAGGTTGGGAGAAGGAGGAGTTGTGACCTTACTCTGTCCCCTGCAGCCTCGGGCCTGTGTGTCCTATGAGCGAGTGTCATGGGGTGCACGTGGGCTCACTGGCTGTGTCCAGATAGACGTTTTTGTTCCCCTGCTTCAGGTTTTAGTCCTGAGACTACCAATTAAACCATCCCGTAAATCTTCCATTATAGGTAGTAAAACCTAATTTTGGATTTCCTGCGTGCTCTGGTATCCTGCCTGATTGCTACCAGGCTGGACCTGTGAAGCAGACAGTACGTGTATTGTGCCACGTGGGAAAGCCCTTTTCTTACATATTCGGGATTTAGTCTTAATTCCCTGACTGCTTTCATCTTAAGTTTTAAAACTCCTGAGGATAGCTATCTGGAACTCTGCAGTTGACTTAATTCTTTTCAGTGGATCACTTTGATGCAATGAGTAAGGGAAGGGGGCGCTAAGAAAAGAGTAGGCATAAAAGTGGGTGAAGTAAAACACCAAAGCCACTGTAGCTCTGCCATTCTTGCTGCGAAGGCACAGGGTGTGCCCTCTCTCAGTGTTTCATACTCCATCATCTGTAACTCAGCACTTTCCTCAAGCTGGGGAGTAACAGCTGCTTGGGAAAACACATACATATTTTGGAAGTATTTGAATCAATGCCTTGTTTCTACCCCTCTCCTCCTTCAGTGACCCAATACCTTTGACCAATGATGCTGAATGGTTTACCTGGGCTGGAATCTGGGGGATCAGGAGTGGTGCTGGTGACTTGGTCTTTGTCCCCCTCATCCCTTGCACATTTGTGAAGGTGAACTTGGAAGATCAGTGGGTGTAACAGTGTTGCAAGGATGTTCTGAGTTTGAGGCAGCCAGACTTTGTTACCTATTAATACAAAGGAAAGATGAAACCTATGCAAAAGTTGTTCTTCACGCTGGAGACTTGGCAGGATGTAGTGTGCTCTGAGAATCTGCAGGTGAGAGTTTGAGTGGGTCTGTGTATATGGATTTAGGGTGGGGTGTGAGGTGAAATCTATATGAACAGTACTAAAATGTTTAAAACTTACAAGTGATATATAACAGCATTTTTGAACTTTAGAAGATGGTGTCAATAATACTTTGTTTACCGTGAGCATACAGATGAACAAAAGTATTTAAATTAAATCTTTCTGCACTCAGACATAATGGCTATTGAAAAGTAATGCATTTCATTCCAGATAGTGGAATTTCTCTCTTATACACATGTTTTTCCCCAAAGGGGATCATATTATATATACACTTTTATATATATGTGCTGGCACCTGTTTTGTTCACTTACCAGCACATTAGAAGTATCTGCCCATGTTCATAGGTATGCTTAATGATATTTTTAATGCCACATTACTTTTAAACTGTCTAGTATTCCATCGTATGTCTCTGTCATTATAAATTTATCTACCTAGTCCTCTTCTGTTGAGTATTCAGGCTGTTTCTAGTTTTCTATATTATAAACCAGGAATTCCCAATCTTGAGTGCAGAATGCAGATGCCCAGGTCCTATCCCAGGCCAATTGAATCAGGCTGTCTTGGGGTGGGGCCCAGGAATCAGTATTCTCACATGCCTCCAAGATGAAAATTACTGTTTCAAACCATGCTGTAGTTTATCAGACTGAGATACGCTCTTGAAAGTGGAATTGTGTGATGAAAGATATGTATCTTTAATCTTTTGATATAGACTGACAAATTACCTTTCAGAAATTTGTTTTTTTTTTCACACTAATTTTCACTTTAAGCTTTAAGGCTTTTAAAAGGTAAATAATGAAAAAATTTGCATGTGCATTTGGAAGAGGTTTATGTCATACTAAATAATTATGTTGATCTGTTTGACATTGCTTAGTTTATTTTGTATTATAACATGACTGTGTTACTAACATAACAAAGGGGGACGTATTTGGTGCCTCTTTCCGGTTGCTTTAGTGAGACTGTGGTGGGAAGGGGCAGATGCAACAGCCCTGATGATGAGTGTCTTGGTTCATTCAGGCTGCTATAACAAAATACTGTACACTGGATGGTCATAAACAAGACTTTATTTCACATAGTTCTGGAGGCTGGGAAGTTCAATGTCAAGGCACTGGCAGGTTTGTTGTCTGTTGAGGGCCCATTTTCTGGTTCATAGATGGCATCTTCTTGCTGTGTCCTCAAATGGTAGAAGGGGTGAAGGGAGCTCTCTCTGGTCCCTTTTATAAGGGCATTGATCCCATTCATGAAGGGTCCATCCTCAACACCTAATCACCTCCCAAAGGCCCCCCAGCTCCTAATGCCATTACCTTGAGGGTTAGGATTTCAACATGTGAATTTTGGGAGGAAGCAAACTGGTGGTACATGCAATGAGCATGGGATGGCTCTGAAGAACTGGATTTTATGCCTTTTCTGGGTTCACAACTGACTCTCAGAAAACGGTTGCCTATCTATGTATGCGTTAGTTTATTCACTGTGAAATTTTCTACATGTTTTATCACTGTTCTATTCTAGTTGTTATATTTCTCATGCTAATACATAGTTGTAAAAGTCAAATAGTATTTCTGCGCTTATAATGAAAAATAGCAGTTCTCTGCCTTCCATTTTCCCAGAGAGCCCCCTTTCCTAGAGGTAACTGCTGTCCTCTTAGCTGTTTCTTCTGTCATTTACCTCCTTGTTGATACATCACTGCGTTTTCATGAGCTTTTCATTTGGACTTTGTATTAGTCCATTTTCACACCGCTGATAAAGATGTACCTGAGACTGGGTAGTTTATAAAGAAAAAGAGGCTTAGTGGACTCACAGTTCCACGTGGCTGGGGAGGCCTCACAATCATGGCAGAAGGTGAAAGGCACATCTTACATGGCGGCAGGCAAGACAGATCAGAGCCAAGTGAAAGGGGTTTCCCCTCATAAAACCATCAGATCTTGTGAGACTTATTCACTGCCACAAGAACAGTGTGGGAGACACCACCCCATGACTCAATCATCTCCCACCGGCTCCCTCCCACAACACGTTGAAGTTACGGGAGCTACAATTTAAGATGAGATTTGGGTGGAGACACAGGCAAACCATATCAGACATTATCAATTTTCTCCTAAGGTAGATGAGAATTTAGCTCATGCCCCCTTCCCCCATCTCCTGTTTCTCCATCCTTCCAATGTAGGTAAATCATAATGTTGGTTAAGTTGATATGCATTTGTAACATTATTATAACTATGTAAATGTTACTTAGAACTGAGTCATATAGTGTGCTGTAATGTTCGATTTTTTCAAAAACAATAACTTTTCATTGATTTTCAATTGATTTTTCATTGATTTTCAATGATTTTCAATTGATTTTTCATTGATTTTCAATGATTTTTTTATTGCCTTGGTTTTTCTAAGTACTTACAATAAGACTCCCTTAAACTCCTTGGCAGAACCAGTTCCTCTTTTCAGTGTGTTAGAATGAATTTGGTCATCTCTCAGGGTTTTTATTGTTTTGTTGTGGGGGAGGGTGCTTTAAGGAGCCCTGTGCTCACAGATGGAACCGGCTGTTTCCAGGCGTGGCTGTCCTGGCATCTCTGCCCTCTGGCACCCTAGGATTCTGTTGGTTTTCATGCTGGGTCCCCTGTCTCCAGGTTATCCTGTCAGCCTCATGGTTGGTGTAGTTCTTCACATTGATGGCTTGGCTGGGCCTTTGATTCCCTTTAAGAAACATTTCCCTCACGATTTGGAAAGTGAAAGTGATGCTTCATAGACTACCAGCTCTTATTGTTGTTATCAAGAAGCTTGGGATGCCATCCTGGTTCCCATTTCTCTTCTCTGAATGTTTTAGGTTTTTCTCTTTCATCTCAGTGTCCTGAAATGTCACAGAGATGTGCCTTGTTTAGGGTCTTCTTCCTTTTATTATGTGGGGTACTCAGTGGGCCTCTTCAGTTGTGGGAAATTTTTCTGTATGATTTCTTTGAGAATTTTCTCTTCCATTTTTAAATGTTTTCTCTTCTTGGAACTCTTGTTATTTAGATGTTGAACCTCCTCTCTGATCCTTTTTATTCAAGGCATCTTTAACTGTTTTTTTAATGGCTGTATTATTTGTTCTTATCTTTAGGATCTTAATGATAGTTTTTTTTTTTAAAGTTAAAACATCTCTTTTTGCTCCACATTTTTTCTTCGTGATTGTTAGATTTTGGTCATCATTTCTAATGCTTGGAAGTTTTTCACAAGTGTCTGGTGGACCTTGGATGCTCTTCACTAGGAAATAATTCAGAATAATTCACTAGGAAACTGTGTGCCCAGGTGGGGCTTGTTGGCTGGGGGTGTGTGCCGTGATGGGTATCAGCACCTGACTATGTCATTGGGGACCCATAAGTGACTGTCTAAGTAGCTCTTTCTCTTGGGTTGGTCAGCATCTCCTGGGGGAGAATACTGCTGTTGTCAGCTGTGGAAAGGGTGGTGGAATGAGGGTGGGGTTGTTAGAGCCTGGCTGCAGGGTTCTGAGGGTGAAGTAGAGGGAAGATCCTGGGGGAGGTACCTTGCCATTCACTTGGTCCCCCTTTTCAGTATGTTGCCTCATTCCCTCACTCTGCAGAGCCTGGAGTCCCTGATTTCTCTCTGGAGAGGAACCCTAAATTACCTGCTAGGCACAGGATGGTTACCTGGCTGCAGGGGATCAGAAAGGGGATGTGGGAGGAGGAGGGAGCACTTGAATTTCCCCTTTCTCCAACACTCATACACTCTCATGTTTTCAGCCCCATTCCTTGCCCTGCTCCCACCCTCTGAGTGACCTCAAATTTCCAAAGCTCTCAGGGTCGTATGTTGCAAATTGCCTTTCCCTTTACTGACTCCCCCCATCCTCTGGCAGGGAGGTCCCCTCACTCATCAACTGCCATTCTCTTATTTGCTTTCCATCTTCCAAATTTTGCAAACATCTTCCACAGGCTGTTGTCTCTTCTTTCTTCCCTTTGTCCATTTGAATTTCTACTTTTAGTGATATTATTCTAGAGGTAAGCCCACAAGTTCAATCTGCCCTTTTTTACCTGGACCTGTTACATTTTAGAGATGAAGTGAGTTGCAAGTCTTGTTGGATGAGTGCTGCATTCTACCACGGGGTGCAGTAGTTGTAAGTGAGGAGGGCCAGATGCACGCAAAGTGATAAGATGATCATGATGAAGCTCACGCTTATAGAATGCCGACTGTGCTGGGCTTTACCTGGATTAACTCCCCAAATCCTCACAACAACCCACTGGGAGGGGCTCTGTTATTCCCAACTCACAGAGCAGGAACCTGAGGCATGGAATCATGGAGTGACTTGCTCAAGGTCCCATGGGGACAAGTGGCTGAGCTGGACATTGCACCCGGACTGGCGCACCCAGATCGGAGGAGTTTCACAAACCAGGCCCCCCTACCAGATCTTCCCCTCAGCATTTCGAGTTGCATGTGCTGTGTTTCACACCTTACCTTAGATCTTCGTTTTCTCTGATATGCCCAATGCATTGTGCTCATAGGTTTGGCTGTGATGAGAACTCTCTTGCTCTTCAATCCACTCAGTTAACATTTGTGTAGTCCTGGATTTCTTACTTTTATTATCTAGACCCCAGCATAAACTTCTAATGGGCAAGTGGGAACCCCTGTTGGAACACACACTTGCATACATACACATGTGTACACACACACACACACACACGCAGAAAAAGAACTTGTGAAGAGACAGCATAAAACTAACAGATAAGAAAAAGACATGGATCACAAGACTAAGGACAAAGCAAGTGAACAGGCTACCACAGACAGTTGATATTACAGTAAGTTAAAAACGAGGAAATTATTTTAAAGTCTTTTATTATTATTAACAGTATTGATGATTAAAATTATAATTAATAACATTAACATAATTTTAGTTGCTCTTTCTTAGGATCCTGTAGACAGTAGCACAGTTGTCAGGACAATCTTGCATGATGGACATTTTTATCCTCATTTTATGTTGAGGAAATGGAAGCTCAGAAATGTTAGGTAACTTTCCAAGGACACACAATTAGTAGTACAGTGTCTAATTCCAACGTGATCACTCATTTCACCACAATAGCTTCCAAAATATTGAGCCCAAGTAAGTAGAAAGACTATTTTGAACACCCAGATTAGTAAGAAATCCACTGGATTGTTTCTTAAGCTCTGAATCAAGGAGTTTTTATTCAGTCAGGTTCCGTTTGCCAATTCGCAGGTGGGTCATTTTCTCTGGCAAGTTTCAACAGAAAGGCTGGCAGAAACACAAAATGACACACATATGGGATGCACACACACACACACATTTCAGGAGACTGAAGTCTGGGAAAGCAATGGTTTTGAGATGCTTTTTACACTGACTAGAAAGCAAAGAGAGGCTAGTGGCTGAGCAGAAGGATGCTGTCCAGATCTTCATCTAGACTAGATTATCACCAGCCAGACCAGCGTGCGGTTCCAAGCCTGCCTCCCACTGGGCAGCATTTCCACAACATCTTTCCCCTCCTTGGGGCTTTATTTCCATCCCCATTTAAAGTCTCCCATTTGTTAAGAATCCATGGTTCATGTTTGTAAACTGTAACAGTGTTCGCCTCTTCCTTTTTGACAGTTTGTTGTATTACCTAATAAATATTTTTGAATAAACATTTGCTTCCTTCTAAGCAGGGGGACAGCCAGGCAGTGTCCAGCCCTCTATTAGAGTACAGGGCCCCGGAATCCAGGTTGAGAGAGTTCTTTTTCCTGTCAGGCTGTGGGCCGCAGGGTTGGGAACGGAGCTTTTTGGGTGACATCCTGCAGAGCTGCTGCAGCCAGCCCAGGTGGGAGAGGAGAGGTTGGATGGGTTTCCAGGGGCCAGAGTACATTCTTCCTGATAATCTCCTTAGAAATGAGAAAAAGCTTCCCTCCGGCTTTTATAGTTCCAGCTTTCATCTGCTCTTCACCCACAGGTGCTTCATTCCTTGGCTTGAGTAAATACCTTCAGGGAAAAGGAACCAGATGCCACTATTTTTAAAGCTGAGGAATTCTTTGTTCAAATAAAATTTTGCATAAAAGCCCAATAAGTAGCCCTTCCCCCAGAGGGTGAACTCTTTTGGTGGGAGCCGGACCCTCCTTGCCCTCCTGCTCCTCCTAGCTTCTCTTCTCCTGGAGACGGGTGTGAAAACTGCTAGCTGACCTCTTCTGTGCATTTATTGTGTATTAGTTCATTCTTAGGCTCCTATAAGTACATAACTGAGAATGGGTAATTTATGAAGGAAAGACGTTTAATTGACTCACAGTTCCAACATGGCTGGGGAGGCCTCAGGAAACTTTCAATCATGGCAGAAGGGGAAGCAAACATGTCCTTCTTCACATGGCAGCAGGAAGGAGAAATGCTGATCAATAGGGGGAAAAGCCCCAGATAAAATCATTAGATCTCATGAGAACTCACTCACTATCTTGAGAACAGCAAGAGGGTACCACCCCCATGATTCAGTTACCTGCCCTGGTCCCTCCCATGACACATGGAGATTATGGGAACTACAATTCAATATGAGATTTGGATGGGGACACAGCCAAACCATATCATCTTGTATGGGAAAATAGAGACCTAGAAGAATCACCTCCCCCAAATTGTGGAACTAGTGATTGCAAGAGCTGGGACCCTAGCCCAAGGCCTCATTTCCTGAATATTATTCAACCTGAGTCATGCTAGGGTCAGCTATGTTTGGACATAGGTGGTAATAGTGGCGGACTGCTGCCACCATGACCTCAAATGTCAATGGCCCAGCTCTCAACTCTGCAGTCAACCTTACCTAAACACAGAAAAGGTTATTGCAAAGTTATATGCCTTCCAGATTGTATTTTATGCTCAATAATTGTGCTTTAAAAATATCACATTGAATCCTTTTGTAACAGTTTTTGGATTTTAGAAATGAGAAGTTTATTATTATTATGCTTATTTCTTTGTTTCCTTAAAGGAATCATGCCTGTGAAGTTTCCTCTTGGTTACTTTTTCATTTATCGAATTACTCACTATTTCTTTATTTATGCATATATCTGGTGTTTTTTGGTATCTCAGAGTAGTTTGATTGTTTTTGCTTTTTAGTGTGTTATATTTGTTACAATTGATAAATCTAGGTTGGCACATCATTATCACCTAAAGTCTATAGTTTACATTAGGGCCTGCTCTTGGTGTTGTATGTTTTATGGGTTTTGACAAATGTGAGCCTACTATTACAGTAGGCTATACTATTATAGTAGGCTCACATTTTTCAGAAAGGATTCAGTATGGGTCTATGTTAAAAACAGATCCTACTATGATAGTACCATATGGAAAAGTTTCACTGCCCTAAAAATGCCCCGGGCTCTCCCTATTCATCCTTCTCTTCCTCCTCACTAACCCATAGAAACCACTGATCTTTTTACTGTCTCCTTTTCTAGAATATCATGTAGTTGGAGTCATATAGTATGTAGGCTTTTCATATTGACTTTTCCCTTAGCAATATGCACTCAGGATTCCTCCGTGTTTTTTCGTGGTTTGGCGGCTCATTTCCTTTCATTGCTAAATAATATTCCATTGTCTTGATGTGCCACACTTTGTTTATCCATTCACCTATATAAGGAACCTTGGTTGCTTCCAAGTTTTAGCAGTTATCTTCATGTTCTTTTCAAAGCTTCAGTGAAACCCTGTAGGCAAGGATTCTACAGTATACCTTCCAGGTGACATGCTGTGCCATTGTAATCATTATTGAGATTCTAAAAATGGATCATCAATCTGCATCCATGCAAAGGGAGCTGACTATTTTTAATAGAATAAGTGTTACAGATTCATTATAGGTCTGTGTTAAAAACAATGGAATATTGGGTCTTCGTGCAGGCAACATGGAAGTCAGTAGTGAAGATTTTCTTAGCATTCTGTCCTGAAGTCACCCTGAGAATACAGATGTTCTCTCCACTTGATGTGCCTTAAAACTGGACTCGAAGAGTTTTTGGTTGGAGGAGAGGTTGATTGTTATCTACACCAGATATTTGGGGTCTAGTTAGAAGTTTCTTCTTGGCATTCTTAATGCTCACATTTTCTCCTCCTGCATATTCCCAGGGACAGGGAACTTACTCCCTCATAAAATAGCCATTCCCGTTATGCACAGCTGTGTTTGTGAGCGTGAACTTTCTCATATCGACCTCAAATATGCCTCCATCATCGTATCTACTTTTCCCTCCTCGAATAACACAGTGAAGTGGCGACTTTTGCTCATAATGGGGACTAGGAACACCTAGAATGGTACCTAGAAATCTTACAGTGAATAGTGGCTGAATAATTTCAGAACTGAATAAATGAATGAATATTTGACTTATCTTCATTTATTTCAAAGCAGTATTTCCTTAAACTTCTCTTTTGCAGATAAAATACAACTACTTATTTTAACCTGATTTCCTACAATATGTATTTTAGAGTTATCATATTGGTTTTATTTTTGTGGACGTATTATTTTTTATCAATGTTCTTCTTAGAGAATTATATACAGAACAGGCCCTAGGAAATCTGAGACCATTATATTTTGTGATCTGAACCTTATGGTTCTTTTGAGGCAGCAGCTTTAGGGCAGCCCATCACACTGCCTTTGGAAACAACCTGATTTTTTTTTTTTTCATATCAACTGCTGCCAATCTACATCCCTCTCATTCAGTAAAAAGAAGGACCTTTAAAACCCAAAACAAATGAAATAATTCGGCACTTCAAATTGTATCTTATGAAATTGAAGGAGATGCAGATGATGGTTTTCTCAGACATTTATTTTCTACTTTTTATTTTCATCCTGGTAAGGAATAATTAAAAAATAGATGTGTAAAGCTTCTAAAACAGGCCTCAGAAAACACAGAAAATTGAGAAGGCAAAAATAAATAAGAAAACAAAACTCCATACAAACAAATAAAAAGGCACCCAACCAAACATAAAATAATTCATGTGTGCTGATATAGCATGGAGCAGGGTATGTGAATTCGTTGATAACGATGACATTTGAGAAATGCTCGCTCGTGCCATCCAGTGTTGTATGCTTTACACACATGAACTGATATAATCCATACAAAAGCTCTATGAAGAGTCACTTTTTAAATGATTTTTTTTCTATTATGGTAAAAAGAAATGCATAACATGAAAGTTACCATCTTAATCATATTTAAGTGTAGAGTTCAGTAGTGTTAAGTATTTTCACATTGTTCTGAAACAAAACTGAAGAAATTTTCCATCTTGCAAATCTGAAACTCTACACTCAGCAAACAATAACTCCCCTCTCCCTACTTTCTCCAGCCTGTGGTAACCCATTCTATTTTCTGTTTCCATGAATTTCACTCCCTTAGATACATTATATAACTAGAATCATACCATATTTATCTTTTTTTTGTGGCTGGCTTATTTCTTAGCTTAATGTCCTCAAGGTTCATTCATGTTGTAACATGGGACAGGACTTTCTTACTTTTTAAGGCTGAATAATATTCCATGGTATGTATATTCTAAATTTCATTTATTCATCCATCCATGGACATTTGGGTTGCTTCTACTTCTTGGCTATTGTGATTAGTCCTTCCAAGAATGTGGGTATGCAAATATCTATCTCAGTTAGTTTGGATATATGGACACGGAAGTGGGATTTCTGGACCACACAGCATTTCTGGTTTTAATTTTTGAGGACCCTCCATACTGTTTTCCAGAGGGGCTACACCATTTTACAATCCCACTGTATTAGTCTGTTTTTATGCTGCCAATAAAGACATACTCAAGACTGGGTAATTTATAAAGGAAAGAGGTTTAATTGACTCATGGTTCCACATGGCTGGGGAGGCCTCACAATCATGGTGGAAGGCAAAGGAGGAGGAAAGTCACATCTTACATGGCAGCAGGCGAGAGAGAGAGAGCATGTGCAGGGGAACTCCCCTTTATAAAACTATCAAATCTCGTGAGACTTATTCACTATCACGAGAACAACACAGGAAAGACCTGCTCTCATGATTCAATTACCTCCCACTGGGTCCCTCCACAACACGTGGGGATTATTACAATTCAAGGTGAGACTTGGGTGGAGACACAGATCCAAACCCTATCACCCATCAACAGTGCATAAGGGTTCTACCTCCTCTACATCCTGACCAACACTTGTTTTTAATTTTTAAAAAATTATAGTGTTCATCCTAATGGGTGTGAGGTGACATCTCTTTGTGTTTTCAATCTGCATTTTTCTGATGATTAGTGACATTGAGCATCTTTTCATATGCTTGTAGACCATTTTTTTAATGAGGATGCACTTTTACTGTGCCCATTTTATAGATAAGAATGTAGAGGCAAAGAAAGGTTAGTCAGCTTATCCAAAGTTATATTCAGGCGAAGTGATGGAATCAGAATTTGCATCTGGATGGTTGGCTACAGAGTCCTGCTTTGCAATCACTATGTTATACCCTTCTTAGGGGAGCCATGTTACAAGATGGGAGGATGTCCTCAGATGCCGTTCCTTCAAGATGGGTAATAAATATTAAATATAAGGGAAGGTTTCAAGTGCTTTAGACCTTGAGCAACGACTTTCTGGAATGATGATGTTAATGGAGTGATGATTCAAGCAGAAGCCAGTTAAACTGGGTTTCCAAAGTCAAGCACACCCTCTAGAACTGTCTGTGGGATTCGGTTTGCAGGTCTCAGGGCTGACGTGCTTCCTGACTTGAGCCACAAACCTGGCAGGAGAGAGGAGATGCCAGGAGGGTTGAGCTGGGATGAGGGTCACGGCTACCAAGAGGTCAGGATAGGGGTGTGGGAACTTTTTGCCTTTATGCATAGATTGCTGCCAAAATGAGGGGTGAAAACGGTACGGAAATCAGGTGTGCACACAGTAATGCAGAGATGTTCTAGTGTTACAGAGGATTACATGGATTTTATCCAAAGGAAAGGAAAGTAGTAAAAGGGAGGTCAAAATTGGGACCACGCCATCCCTTAAAGGACGGGAAGGCTATAAAAATCTTCCCAGGCTGTTAGTTATTTCATCTCTGCTGAAAATGACATATATAGCAGCAACAGAATGTTCAGTTACCACTAAAAGCAAAATTTCCCCCAATGTGCTTTAAAGAGACGAGACGTGTGGGCGTTTAGTGTTACTGATTCTTCCTGATTCCTTTTTTTTTCAACCAAATTTTCTGTGACTCATAGAACTCCTATTCTCTCTCTTAACCATGTGAGTATGTGAAACCATGTACTTGGCCCGCAACATTTTTAACCAAGACAACCTTAATGGGAAATGAAGTGTGGGGAATGGTGTGTTCTGAAGGTGCCAAATCTTTTTTCTCAAGGGCAAGATGCAGTCCGAGTTGAAGGAATTGGAAGAGGGTGTGTGGTCAACTCCCCGGAAAAAGCAAATATTTGTTACCCACCTGAAACATTAGGAATGAGCCAGTGGTCACATCCTGGTTTCTGCCAAGGCTGAATGCAGCCCAGATTGTCAGAGCTTTATGCTTTCCATTCCAGGGGTTTCAAATTCTACAAAATGCATAGGATGAGGCATTAAGAAAGTGACCCTTTATCTTCATTTTTGTTCTTCTTCATTTATTTTTTCTTTGTAGTGCTTCTCAGTTTAGCTCTACTTCTTCCTGAGGGTATATGGTGAATAACTATGTAGCTCACATCCCTATGAGGTCTGAATTCCTCTTATGTTGCAAAGTGAGCTTAACAAAGAAGAAAGTCCTCAGAACCATTTCTTAAAGCTTCTTCTTTTTGACTGTGATCCTAGGAAAACATAAAGGTGTGCAGTCCTGTGCTAAAAAACATTTGCACTCAAGGTGATTTTCAACTTATGCAGGATTGGTTGTTGTTTTCAGTACTTGTTTGTCTCTTCTTCCTCAATGTTAGCTGAAAAGATGGGTGCCCAGAACAAAGTCAACATTGCCCAGCTTCCCTTGAAGCCATGTGCAACTATGTGACCAAGTTCTGACCAATAGAATGGAAGGACTGTGTGCCACTTCCAGAAAGTATCCCTCAAGGGAAGGTTGAACTTCCAGGTAGAGGAGTGCCCTTGTCCTTCCTCCTCCCACCTCCCTGTTGCATGGCTGAGATGATGACTGGAGTTGGAGCAGCCATGTTGGATCATAAAGAGGAAGCCCTGTGTTGAGGTGGCTGAATGGATGGAACCTGGGTCCCTGATAATCATACCAGGCCTATCTGCTTGTTTTCCTATGGTTTAAGCCACCATTATTAACAAGAAATCTACTGTGGTAAAACATACATAATATAAATTTTATCATTTATCTATTTTTAAGAATATAATTCAGGGGTATCGAGCACATTTGCAATATTGTACAAGCATCACCACATCATTTCCAGAACTTTAAAAATCATCATCCCCCAAAAAACTCTTTACCTGTTGAACACTAATTCCCCCTTCCCCCTTTCCATAGCCCCTGGTAACCTGGATTCTCCTTTCTGTCCCTGTGAACTTACCTAATCTAGGTAGCTCATGTAAGTGGAGTCATATGATATTTGTTCTTTTGTGACTGACTTACTTCACTTTGCATAATGTTTTCAAGGGCCATCCATTTTGTAACATGGATTATAATTTCATTTCTTTTTTAAGGCTGAGTAATATGCCCGTGTATGTATAGACTACATTTTGTTTACCTGTTCATCTGTTGATCATGAATAGGTTGTTTCCACATTTTGTTTATTGTGATTAATACTGTTATGAACATTGATGTACAAGTATCTGTGTGAATTCCTGCTTTTGATTCTTTTGTGTATATACCCAGAAGTATAATTGCTGGATCACATGGTAATTCTATATTTAATCTTTTAAGAACTGTCATACTGTTTTCCACAGCAGCTGTACTATTTCATGCTCCCACCAGCATGGAACAAGGGTTCCAATTTCTCCATATCCTCAACAACACTTGATATATTTTTTTTCTACTGGCCATCCTCATGAGTGTGAAGTGGTATCTCATTGATGTTGAGTATTTTTCTATGTGCTCATTGGCCATAGAATGGTCTTTGGAGAAATGTCTGTTCATGTCCTTTGCCCATTTTTGAGTTGGGTTGTTTGTTTTTAAGCCACCATTGTTTTTAAAAAATCAATGTTATCTTCTGTCACTTGCAACTAAAATGGATTTTAACTAATACACTGCCCTGCTGCTTTGGTTGTGATGAGAATCCATTGAGTGTGGAAAGGTTTGCACCTTTCATAGAGACCTAGTGTATCAATGCTGGAAGCCACTTAAAATTGCCTCTGGTTTAGGAGCAGAGAGAATGGGCAATCTGCCTTAGTTTACTTCCCTGGAGAAAGAACCAGGGATGGAGGAGCTTATGTCTCCTGGCCTCTCATCCAGGTGTTTCCATCTCACTGCCTCCCACAGGGGAACTCTGCAAGCAGGCAGCTGGGAGCCTGTGTTCCCTTGTCCAGGGGCTGCAGGACTCTGTAAATAGTACAGTCTGTGCAGGAAACTCTGCTATTGAATTGTAAATGTTATTGCCTAAAACAGGTCATCTCTTGGCTTTAACAGTACTAGTATACTGATAACGGCACCAATGATAATGATAATTTGTTTAGAAAGGTTTGGAGGAAAGGGTTACTGGGGAGGCCCTAGTCCTCTAAAGCTGTGTACTGCTGCTTTATCTCTTGACAAAAGAGAAAAAAGTTTTAATGCAGATCTCATGAACAGGGATGGTTTAATGAGAAATGGTGTGAAGATTTAGTCTGTTTGTTGCCCACCACAAACTCAGCCTTGTTGACTCTGGAGCACGAAAGGTGTGATTCTGAGAGCTTGTAGCTTCTGGAGGGAAGGGACAGGGAAGTTCCATGAGAGAAGTGGGGGCATGAGAGTGCAGGTGTGGTATGCTCACTGTGGGGAGGGAGCCACCAGGTTCCAGACAGCAGGTCTCTGTTGTGCTTCACAGTTTCCCCCAGGAGGGGGACTGCAGCCAGCTCTCTCTTTTCTCCACGCAGTAGCTGTGGGTGTGCAGGTGGCTATTGAGCAGGGACATTTTGTGTTTTAGATCGACCCCTCCCTCGGTCCTTAGATCATCATGTCTTTCATTGATGTGTTAGTCATTCTGGGTAGTGTATGGAGCCCATCAGTCATTAATGCTCATGTGGTCCCTTAGATGGGCAAAGCTCTTGACAATGTTTTTTAAATGGTTGAACTTGTGTGACCCTTTTATGACTCTGTGGTCTTTGTTTCTAATGACATAGGCAGCATTCAGGGTAGAAAAACAACTATAAATACAGAGAAGCAAAAGAAAGAAAAAGCAGGCTGTGTATGGTGGCTCACACCTCTGATTCCAGCACTCTGAGAGGCTGAGGCGAGTGGATTCTGTGAGCTCAGGAATTTGAGACTAGCCTGGGCAACATCGCAAAACCCTGTCTCTACAAAAATATACAACAATTAGCCAGCTGTGGTGGCATGCACCTGTAGCCCCAGCTACTCAGGAGGCTGAGGTGGGAGGTGTGCATGAGCCCAGGAGGTTGGGGCTGCAGTGAGCCAAGATCACACCACTGCACTCCAGACTCCAACCTGGATGACAGAGCAAAACCCTGTTTCACAAAAAAAAAAAAAAGAAGAGAAAACTCCTTGTCATTTCTCTCCAGAGTTAGCCACTCTTATTATTTTGTTTTGTATATTCCCAGACTCTTCTATGCATGGTTATATAAAGATATACATCAAAAAATTACCACATCCCTTTCTTGCATAGGAGTATTAAGATATTTTCAAATACTGAGGATGTCAGACAGATAAGAAAGTCTGGCTGTCTAATTCACATCTTTAAAAACATGGGACAAAACTCGTTTCCTACCAGAACGCTAAGAGTTCATTTCCCATTTCAAACATTCTTGTCAGAATCTTTCCCCATAACAGCCATCAAGCCTTGCATGCTTCTACGGTTCTTTATGTTCATCTTCTATAATATCACATAATAAATGTAAAAACCTTGAATTTAATGCATTAGTTTTTATATACTATGTCTCTAAGCATGTTGTTCAGCTGATTTTTTTTTTCCTCCTGGCAAGACTTTCTGAAGAAAAGAAGCAGGTTGTTGATTTATTTTCATTGTTATCTGAATAATGATTTCACAGTATTTTCCTGTCATTACAGCTATGCTATCAGCCCATTCTTAAAAACACTGATTTGTGATATTATTAAAAAGTGGTACTCAAGCTTCCTTTTTTTGGGTTACAGATTCACCGAACATTTCCAAGTAGACTTCTTTAATGTAGTTTTACATTAATGTCTTGGCAATTTTATGATTTTTGTTTGATTGTTCATTTTGTTTGTTTTTGGTTTTAGTAATGTAAGTGCTGCTTTACAGGAAGCCTTAAGACATTCATTTTTAGACATGAAATATTCAACATCTACTTTTGTTGTCTTTTTAATAATACTCTTTTTTGCAAATTTTTTTTTATTCTCGGTATTTAAAAAATTTTTTTATGTAAATGCTACTCAAGTTTTGATAGTTTCATTGTTTTGTTTGCCAATACATTTGTTCAAGTGACCTACAGTGTTTTTAGCACTTTGCTATCAATTATGGCTGCAAAACTGTAGTTTATGGCTACATAAACTATAAAAATTTGTATATGAGGGATTATACTTTCAAGTAAAATGAATACAAAATTTTTTGGCTTTCATTTCTTCAATGTCAACTTCTTTGTCATCATTTGGTTACTGTGATTGTCACATTCAAAAAAGATATATGTTTTTCTGACCAAAAAGAGGCCATCAATCAATCAATAAAGGTTATAAATACATAATACTAATTTGACTTCCCTTATTTAGCCAGTAATGTTAAACTATAAATTTTAAAAAGCCATAAACATTTAATTAATTAAATTTTAATTATTTTCATAACGTGCTTCCCTTTTCTCAGATTATGAAAATAAGTTATGAAAATAAGTGCTTCCCTTTTCTCAGATTTTCATATAATTTGATTTATCCTTGACAAACTGACCTTAAAAGGTCACATGTTGTAATGTGGCCCTACCAATGAGTGCCCAAATGTGAGTAATGCTGCAGTGTCTGAAGTGGTCGGCACCTTATTTAGAGGAACTGGAGCACTGAGCTCATACTGATGTCACAGTGATGTCAACTTGCTCTAAAATTTTACAAGCCCTTCTTACTTTCCGTACTTCTCTCATCATGGTCAGTCAACATTTTGCAAAATGGCACTGGTCTATGGATTACACTCAGTACCACTGCTACAGACTGTATCATGGTTTGCAGGTGACTCAGAATTCAGTCCTTCCACACTGAATATTATTATCATGACATTTTGGGAAAAGTGAGTGTTGGCCAAACGTGGCTCACGCCTGTAATCCCAGCACTTTGGGAGACCAAGGTGACTGGATCACCTGAGGTCAGGAGTTTGAGACCAGCCTGGCCAACATAGTGAAACCCTGTCTCTACTAAAAATACAAAAATTAGCTGGAAATGGTAGCAGGCGCCTGTAGGCCCAGCTACTCAGGAGTTTGAGGCAGGAGAATCGCTTGAACTGGGAGGCAGAGGTTGTAGTGAGCCGAGATCACGCCACTGCACTCCAGCCTGGGCAACAGAGTGAGGCTTGGTCTCAAAAAAAAAAAAAAAAAAAAAAAAAGAGCTTCAAGTATTATTTTTATTGTAATGGGCTTTTTAAAGCTGCTTCAATGAGTTTCATCTCAGATTATTCTAAATACGCACCATATCGCCAATCATATTAATTAGTAAGTATCTAAGTAATTGAGAATGCTTTGCCTTCAATAAAAAAGCTGGTGTTGTATCCTGGAACCTGTTCAAAAATAAAGTCTTGATGTGAAAATGAATATAGGTTGAGATCTTGAGATCAACTGTCAGAAGTCAGGCTGGCTTGGGACTTCCTGGAAGCAGCACCAGGCTCTGCGTTCAAGTTTGAGGAGCGTTCTGCCTTCTGCTGTTGTGGCTTCCTGCAATTTAAGGCTCGCTGCTTCACACTCCTGGTCTAGCACCTTGACAGAAAATGTTCCCTAAGGGATGTTTCAGCCTCTCTCCTGGAGAACAAGGCCATGAATAAAAGAGGAGGCCAAGTGGGTAGCATTTTAAAGATCAAGGATTCTTAAAAACTAATGGTACAATGAATACCTGTTTAACAAACCTGCGTGTTCTGCACATGTATCCCAAAATTTAAAGTAAAATTAAAAAAAAACAAACTAATGGTGCAAGTAGACCAAATAACTCTGTTCTTCAAACCTTTACCTCTAAGAGGTGAATTTATATATTTTTAAAATTTTGTATTCTTCCATCACAAGCCTGTAATGCTGAAGATGAGTATTCTGTATCTAAGGATGAAATGAGTCAGCACTTTTTTGAAGTGTACCTTTATCTTTAAAAACTACAGCTTTATGCCATATGGTTTGGATAGAGTCTATTTCTGCTCTAAAAAAAAATTCTCAAAGGATGAAGGTGGGTTGATGTGTGAAATAATGTACTTCTTCCTCAAGCAGTGATGACAGCACATTGTCTTTTGGGACAGGATAGCAGGAATTTAATATTAATATATATTTTTAATTTCATACATTTATTCATTCATTCAACATTCTGAACAAAAAATTTTCTATGTGCCAGGTTATTTGCTAAATACTGGGGATATTAAAATAATAAGGCATATTCTTTTTAAAATGCTTATAGTCTAGTGGGGGAGATAGCCACATAAACAGAAAACTTTAATACATTGTGATAAGGGCTGTGATGTTTCAAGTATTATTCTAGGTGCTTTACATTTATTAAAATATCTATTCCCTACCACATTTGCCTCAAGTGAGTGCTTATATTATCCCAGTTTTACAGACAAGAACATTGAGATACAGGAAGGTTAAGTGTCCAAGGTCATATAGCCAGTGAGCGGTGCTGAGATTCAAATCCAGGTCGTCCCATCACAGAACCTTTTTCCCAGCCCTACGCTGTGAACGGAGGTGGACAGGAGCTCTATGGAGACCACAGAAGGGGTGTCTCCCAGCAGAGCTGGTGCATGAACTGTGTCTAAGGGGCAGGCAGGAGTTCGCCGGGATGAGTAGGGAGGAGAGTTTTTTTATTTTTTGTTTTACTTTAAGTTCTGGGATGCATGTGCAGAATGTGCAGGTTTGTTACATAGGTATACATGTGCCATGGTGGTTTGCTGTACCTATCACCCCGTCATCTCGGTTTTAAGCCCTGCATGCATTAGGTATTTGTCCTAATGCTCTCCCTCCCCTTGTCCCCCACCCACCCCCGACAGGCCCCAGTATGTGATGTTCCCAGGGAGGAGAGTTTAAGTGGCGTATGCCAGAGCATGCAGCCAGGTGCTTGGTGTAATGTGGAGACAGCCAGGGCTTTGCCGAGGCTGGATCATGGGATGGGTGGTGGAGCATGGCCAGGGATGATCTAGAAAGTAGGAGTGGGGGCTGCCAAGTCATGTGGTTAGGCTCACGAGGAGGTTTTCTTGAAGGCTTCACATATAGCCTGAAGGATGAAGGCCGAGATGCTTTAATAAATAATTTCACTATTCCAAATGGAAAACATCTCAGGAATGTTCTTATTTGATATGTGATTACTGTAACTCTGGGATCTTTAAAAAAATTATTGTAAAACATTAGCTTGGGAGGAAATTATGAACTTCAATTTTGTTTCATCAAAGAAATTGCAGAGATGGCCTTGAAGAAATCTAATGGCTGTTAGGTATTGCCTTGTTTATTTATGGAATGATGCTCCCCATGGGTCAAAGGCAAGGGGCCCACATGCACAGATTCATTTTAAGTTCGACCCCTGCTGGGCTGGTGGCAACCTTTGCCTTACTTACATGTTTGCTGTCAGTGCTGAGCAACTTAGGTGTTTCATTTCTGGAGGGAGGAACTCACTCTGAGTCTAGGACCTCACGCTCTGCTACCAGGACGCCTGCAACAAACTAACACACACATGAGCTCTGATGTACGGTGTGACTGGAAAATATACTGTGTTATTCCAGTGGCAAAACCCCCAACACTGCCGGATGGGGCAAAAAGTGAAATTGTGTTTTGAATTTGATGAAGATTTCAGAGGTAAATTATAAAAATCTTAAATTTGGCCAGTCTGCTCCATGTTTCAATCCAATATGCAGGGCAAGAGAGATGAATCTTGGTGTTCATTTCCTTTATGTTTATTTCATGCAAATTTTATGTGTATGTGTATTGTGTGTGCAGTGTGTGTGTGTGTGTGTGTGTGGTGCGTATGTGGTGTGTGGTGTGTGGGTGGAGTGTTGAGTATGTGATGTGTGTGGGTTATGTGTGTGCTCTGTGGTGTGTATGCATGGTGTCTGTGTGTGTGTGATGTGTGTTATTTATGAGCATGTGGTGTGTATTTAGTGTGTATGTAATGTGTGTGTGTGTGGCATGTATATGTGATGTGTGTGGTGTGTGTGCATGATGTGCGTGTGAGTGTATGGTGCATATATAATGTGTGTGGTGTGTATGTGGGGTTTATGTATGATGTGTGTGTGTGGTCTTGTGTGTATGTGGTGTGTGTGGTGTGTGCATGCTTTGTGTGTGTGTGGTGTGTATGTAAAATGTGTGTGACGTGTGTGTGTGCTGATGTGTGTGTGTGTGTGTGTGTGTGGTGTGGTATGGCTGAGCATGTGGTGTATGTATGGTGTGTGTGGTATATATGATCATGTAGTATGTGTGGTGTGGGTGTGTGGAATGTATGAGCACATGGTGTGTATGTGTGGTGTATATGTGATTGTGTGTGTTTGTGGTATGGTGTGTATGTGATGTGTGTGTGGTGTGTGTGGTATGTATGAGCATGTGGTGTGTGTGGTGTGGTATTTATGAGCATGTGGTGTGTGTGGTGTGTATGTGTGTGGTATGGTGTGTATGTAATGTGTGGTGTGTATGTGACGTGTGATGTGTATGTGTGTGATATGGTGTGTATGTGACGTGTGTGTGTGATTGTGTGTGGTGTGTGTGGTACATATGAGCATGTGTGCGTGGTGTGTATGTGCGTGGTATGGTGTGTATGTGATGTGTGGTGTGTGTGTGGTGTGTGTGGTATGTATGAGCATGTGTGTGTGGCATGTATGTGTATGGTGTGGTGTGTATGTCATGTGTGGGGGGTGTGTGTGTGTGTGTGATATGTATGAGCATGTAGTGTGTGTGGTGTGTGGTGTGTGCTGTGAGTGTGTGTGTTACCTACTGATGTTGAAAGAGACCTGGGACCCATTCCCTCGGCGCGGCAGAGCCCTGCTTTCCTAGCTGTGAGCCGGCCTTCAGTCCTCTCCACTGACTTGGCCCGGAAAGCAGCAGGGGCCCTGTTTGGTGAGTTACGTTTACACGTGGAGCATGAGAAGGCCCACATTTGGCTAAAAAGAGTACAAATCTAGTCCCCTGCTGAATGAAGGCCTGTGTGGTTGTGCACTGCACAGTGGTGCCTGAGCTGCTATCTGACAGCACGTGGTCACCTTTCCTCCCGTGCATGTCCTGGGACAGCTGGGGCTGCACCTGACCATCTGGGTAGGACTCAGGCTCCTGCAGGCTCCTGGATCAGGCTGCCTTCCTGAGCAGCTGCGTGTGTTTACCTGGAGATCCGAGAGAGCCTCTGTCTCCTGTAACTTCGCACCTTGTGTACTCAGAGTCATCTCGATGTCAGCCATTTTTTCTTCGGAGCAGGTTTTCATTGCTGGAAAGGCATGAGTGGGGACTCAGGGGAGCATCTAAGTAGACTCTGGAAATTCCAGTGGTAAACTCGGAGCATTTTTGTATATTGCCTTGGGCTGAACTTGCATAGCCATCTGGAACTCTCTTAGGCTTGGTGGCCTGATATCTATGAGGGAGACTAACCCTCCTTTCTGGGGGGATCTGCCAGAAGAGATGGGTTTTATTTTTGTATTAGTCAGCTTTTGCTGCAGTAGCAAATGATGGCCTCCAAAAGTCTCAGTAATTTGTAACAGCAACCACTTGTTTGTCACTCAGAGGACTTCAGGTCCCTGGAGCTCTGTCGGACTCAGCTGGGCCTAATGGAGGTCCCTGTGTCTTTTATTCTGGGTCCCAGGTTGAAGGGACAGCAGCTCTCTGAGGCATGCTGCTCTCATGGCAGCGGGGAGATGGCAAGGGGCAAGCAGAAATGCATGATTCCTCTTCAAGTTGCCACCTGGAACGGACACACTTTCACTTTTGCTCACTTTTACTGGTCAAAGCAAGACACCTGGCCAAGCCCAAGGTTCCTGGAGAGGAAAGTGCGCTCTCTACTGCCAGGCAAGCACAAGTCACAAGATGACATGTGGAGCTGCATGAAAGGAGGTAGGACATAAGAGTTGGGGACAATAATCTACACTAATCTGCTGGAATTTATTTATCACAGAAGGGGGTAGTCTGTTGCTTCCTAAGTGATCTCATCCCATCCCATGGCTTCCAATCCCACCTACACCGATGACTCCCAGATAGTTGCATTCCTGGGCTTCCCTTCACACTCAAATTCCTGTATCCAAAATTTTACTTGACGTCTTACTTGGATACCCAATAAGCATCTTTGAAATCCTCCAGTAGTTCGAGTTCTCTCAATAAATGCTGAAAACTGATGGCATCATCCTTCACTTTTTTTCTGGGAAGCCATGAGTAAAGTATGTCTAAGGTCCTTCTTACTGAACAAGGCTGTGCTTGACAGAATGTCTAGAAGGAGCTTCCAAACAGATTCTACTTTCCAAGATTTTTAGACCTGTCTTGTTTTAGGACTAAATTTACCAGCCTGCTGCTGCGGAACCACTCTGCTCCCCACCACACTTGTGTACTGGGAAACTTGATTTAGCCTGGTGGAGAGAAAGCCTGTCCTTGGGCAATAGTGAATGATAGAGTCCACGTTTAGGCCTGCATCTTTCTTTCTCCAAAATCCATGCTTTTCCCACTACACAAATGTCATTGATAATACCAGCTACTCATGGCATCCTTAAAATCTTGGTGATGGGGATATTTTATTGGTTAGGAATCTCTATTTTTAAATGTATTAAAAATTCCATTCCTTACCTGTGAGACAATGTAACCTGTAAAAGTAAGTAAGACCATTGTTCTTTTTTATTGGTCATGTTCAAATTACACTATTGCTCCTTCCTAAGCAGACGAGCTGGCTGCGGGCCTGCAGAGTGTGCTGGGGATTTTGCAGTTAGAAGCCAGAAGTCAGGTTTGGCCGTCATACATGAGTAGGAGGGTTGAATTGGCATTGTTTTTACGTCCTGGGAGATGTGAGCAAGAGCAAAAGAATAAGTCATCGCCTTTCTGTTGCATAACCTCTTCATCCCCACAAACGAACCAAACCAAACCCACACCAGCCATATCAAACCAGATCAGAACAAAGAGCCAAACAGCAGAAGACACTTGCTGAAGGCACTAGCTTATGCTGAAGAAATGCAATAATGATTTATGGACTCTCTGTATCTAACACTTTAAATGTTGATTTACGGAGGAGTCAGAGCCCAGATATTCCAACCAAGTGCAGCACTTTAGCTTGGCTGGCGTTCTGTGGCGTTTCAATGGGATTTTCACTGCATACTTTCCCATTCAAGTGTGCAAAGCATTTCGAGTCTGAATAATACTAAGCACATTCAAGATTCATTCAAAGACTGCAGACTTTGTCAAGTATCTTCTTTTCTTCTGGGATTGATTCAGGCAATTAGACCATAACCTACATGTTTTCTTCCTCTTTTGTTTATGTTGGTATTCTCATAATAACCATGACGAATTATCTTCCAGGATAAAATGAATGCTCCAGGTACTGGAAAGTGATGACAATGATGCTACATTAAGCCACAATGCCATAAATTCACAGATGTGACAGTATACTGAGGTGTGGCAATAGCTGACTAGCTAATTTATGAAGCCGTAAGGCTGGTAATAAATTCTGGCCCTATAAACAGTGTCAGGCAAGGTAGGCTGAAATAGAATAGATTCACCAATACATTGTGTAGGGCCTCCTGAGCTATCCCTGTTAGAATCTCAGAAAAGTGATGCTTTTATGATTGCTAGATCTCCTGTGCCATTTTTTTGGGGTCTTTAAATAAATGACTAAGGGCCACAGTTTTAATTAGCTGCAAGGCCAGAGAGTGAAGCAGGCTAGGATCACAGTGAGATTAAATGGGGGAGCAGGAGGGAAGAGACAGGGGAGGGAGTAAGAGGAATAGAGAGGAGGAGGATGAGGGGAGGGAGCAAGAGGAATAGAGAGGAGGAGGATGAGGAAATGTCTCAGAGAAACACATCCCATGTCTTGGAGAAATATGTGCCCAAGGCTCTTCTCTGGCTCTCTGGATACCAGGTGTGTGGGCTGTAATTCTAGACTCCATTGACTTATGAAGCTGAAGCTCTGAAGTACATTCAGCTTAGTATCTGGACTGGCTGGAGCATGGGGAAGGAAGTCGGTCTACAGGTAGAGTGTGTCATTGACACCATCTTGGAGAAGTCAGGGAAGTGGATGGTGGTAGGTCACAATGACTGTTGGCTTAATGTGAGGTGTCTGACAGACTCAGTGGTCTTCCCACTGAACCCGGCTTTGCATGACCCTGGTTGAATTGCATCTACTTCATGTTTCAGGTCCTTATCCAGGGACTAACTTTGACTTATTGAGTACTTGCTAAATTTTCAGGATTGGGTTCTGCCCTTTAACGCTTAGTTTTCCTAGCAACCCTGGTGGGTAAGTCTAATTTTATTCTCATTTGATAGTTGATGAAACAGAGGCACAAAGTTGTCACTTGAGCAATGTCACACTGCTAGTGAGTGGTAGAGGGGAGCTAGAACCCACATGGATGTGACTAACCTCTGCTCACTCTGTCTCCTGCCCCACAGAGGGTGATGCTGAGAGGTCTGTGTTGTAAAGGAGGCAGTGCTGTTGCTGATGCTATTGACAGAATGGCTACATTACCTACAAACCATTGCCTTTCTCTAGAAGAATCCTATTCTCAAGGAGTTAGTATTAGCCATTTTGTTAAGTTCTGTTTTAAAGTTGTTCCCCCCCAACCTCCCCGCCAAATGAGAGAGCTTGCCTGCTCTTGTCCACTTAGGGACCTTATAGTTAAGGTGTCTTAAGATGTCACCAACCAAACCTTTTGCTTTTGGGGCCAGAAAAGGTCTATTAGAGTCAATCTGCTCCACGTTACTTTGTGATTCTCACTCTGTGCCACTTTATCCTTGTCAGTTGTTATTTTAGGGGCATGCATTGTTTTACCGGTTAATGATCCTGATCTTCCTGTTTTCATTTTTATCTTTCCTGAATGCACCTGTTCGTTCCGAGATGATCATCTGCCCTGTTTCATGACAAGGCTGTTTTCACCACTCAGTGCCTCTTAACAGGATGGTCTTGCTCCTTGCTTGGCTGTCAACTTCTCACTGGGGCTGCATTCTTCCAGATTATTCTGGCTTAGTCTTGCTTTTCCAGACTCTTCTACTTTCTGATCCTACTGTTGATGGTCTGGAAGGCTCTGCTCTCCCCATTCCCATTGTCAAGTGGGCAAAGTTGTAAATGGTACTCCATGACACGTGTGGGCTTGGGCCTACCCCTTATTCATTCTTTTAAGCCTCGTCCTGCCAGGTGCTGCTCCAGGCTGGCCTTGTCCTGCCTGTGGTCTCTTCCTTCTGTCATCTGTTGTCTGGGTCGGTGCCACTGTGGGGGAAAACAAAGGCCTTCCCTACCTTCCTGCCCAGAGACAGATTCCATTTAGTTCTTCTTCAGCAGTGGACTCTAAACAAACCCTTTGGGAAACAAAGACAACAGATATGAACATGACATATCAAATATCAACAATGGGATGGGGATGGTACAGAAACAGCAGGACATCTCTGTACCATCTAAATGAAATAGAAACCTTTCCAGTGACTTGAGTTAGTACTTGGAATAGAAATGAGTTCAGGACTTGTCCTGTTTTATGTTCAGTGAATGTTATATGAAGAGATGAAGGGGTGAGGAAGAAAGGTTAAGCAAGCAGAATGCCTACTATATTTATTTATGCTTTAAACACATCCATTAAGACCCTTGACAATGAAAGCATGGATATAATTTTAAAGAACATTTTGCATTTATTAAACAAAATGTTCTCCTAAATGTCAGTGATGGACTTTAGTGTGTGAAGAATTCCCAACCTTGGGCAGGTCATCCGCCTGCCCTTTCCATGTGGTTAAGGGAGAGGCTGAACACATGGGCTCATTTCAGGATCCTCCTGGAAGTCCATTTTGGATCTGTTATGGTTGGAGGAAGGGCTGGAAAAGAAAATGTGCCTCATGCCTGAGGTGTGTTTCCCCATGAGCAGCTCTTTCCAGAAGGATTTTTTCATTAAATTGTTAAAAATTGAAGTCATATTTATGGTGCCATCAAATCTTAGAATTGGAAGAAACTTGATGTCATCTCTGTCAAAATTCATGAGGGAATAAATGACATTTACCAAGACACAGCCGCATTATTATGTTATCCCTTCGTGGAGGTCATTCAGAGGTTGGGTTTGGAGAGGCAGCATATGATGTAACTCCCTAGGTCTCTCTGCTAGAAATTCAGGCAGGTAATTTTAGAAGATGTCATATCCCTCAATATATTTTCATGCATAGATTAATTGTAGGTAAGAGTTATATCACATTATTTACTTTGGGAATCTCCAGGGAATTTCTTGATGTTCTGAGTAGTAGCATTGTTGGAATCCCTTGGCTCCAAGAAAATTTCAGCAATCAAAACTGAACTGTATTTAAAATAAAGAGCAAGCCCCATGGACGAAGGGGCATCTTAGATGGTTTCCACCATGGGACTTGGAGGGCATTTCCTCCAGGCAGTGCTTAGGATAAAAATGAGGTGGGGGAGGGTAGACTTCCCTCCCTCTTAGAGGTTGAATGTTTTCTGAGCAGACTTATGGTCAGTTTCTTTCTGCATCCTTGTCCAATCCAATCCAATCCAGTCCAGTCCAGTTCAGTCCAGTCCAGTCCAAACCAGAAGTCATTTACAGGCCATATATCTTATACCTGGAATAGTGCTAGGTGTTGGGAAGGCACTGTCTCGGTGTTCATGGTCAAGTATAAGCAACAGTCCATGCTCTAATGTCCCTCTTATCTATTCTTATTCATGAAAACATTTTTTTCTGAGTCTCAGTTCAAAGGTATGCAAAATTATTGAGACAAAAATAGCTTTGTGTGTTAATAATAACCCATCATTCATAAATCATTCATTCACTAGGTGCTTTGCCGTACACAGAGGAATCCCAATGATCAAGACGGGTATATTAGTCCATTCTCATGCTCCTATAAAGAAATACCCAAGACTGTGTAATTTATAAAGGAAAGAGGTTTAATTGACTCACAGCTATGCATGGCTGGGGAGGCCTCAGGAAACTTACAATCATGGTGGAAGGGGAAGCAGGCACCTTCTTCACAAGGCGGCAGGAGAGAGGAGAGTGTGTGAAGGAGGAACTGTCAAACATATAAAATCATCTGATCTCATGAGAACTTACTATCATGAGAACAGCATGGGGGAACTGCCCCCATGATCTAATCACCTCCCTTTCTTGACACGTGGGGTTTACAGGTCCCTCCCTTGACACGTGGGGATTACAAATTGAGATGAGATTTGGGTGGGGACACAGAACCAAACCATGTCAATAGGTGTGACTACAGTGCCTGAACCAGAGAGAAGCTGTTGCTGACTCTTGGCAGCTCCTGAGAGCTGACTGTATGCATCTCTTCTCAACTCTGCATTCAGTGACATCCCATTGGTAGCTTGAAGTTGACTGTAATGGAAGTGTTCACACCATGGAAATTGGCAGTCAGTACAAACCAGGGCTTCCTCCCCAAACAAATGATTTTTCAAAAACCCTTTTGTCAGCACACCACTGCCAGACACTCTAAATAATAATCACTCTAATAATTGTCAGCTATCATTTATTCTATGCTTCTACATACTAGATGCTTTACAGACTTCATCTCAAAATCTTTATAGCTACCTCTGAGATGGTGTCTACTAATTAGAAAAAGGTCACAAAACTAGTACATGTCAGAGCCAGAACCAGAACTAACTCTGAACTGAAGAAAGCTCATGATTCTACCCTTTTTGCTTTACTGCCTCCTTTACTTGAAGACTTTTTCAAAGCCCCATGCTTGCATTTTTTGAGATGCCTTCCCACCTTCACCTAAGGGAATGGGACTCAAGAAATTTTAGGCTCCATGACAAGTCAGTTCACATGACATTTTGTTCAGATAACCATTTTATTCAGTGAGGTAATTCCGCATCTCCCCATTTATTTTATATCATCTCATGTGACATTTTATCTATTGGTGAGGCAGCAGTGAGTTTTGAGGGCAGCACTGGTATTGCCAGTTTAATTCTAAAGGCAGTTTATTTGCTTTAGTAAGGTGAGGAATTAACTGGACATCCATGGTTTTATGGTGACTTTCTGATTCTTGTTGTACTGAATAATAGTGTCTCTAAGAATCAATTTGCACTGGCCTTTTCATAATAAGATTGTTATTATTATGAGATCAGTTGTTAGGAAATTGCTTGGGATGGGATTTGGGTATCTCAGGCAGTGATGTAATCTTTGCCTTAATAATAATTAAATACCTAAGACTTCTGATACTTCACCTCTGATACACACTTACACATTTGTGCTGAGTAGAGCCGGACAATCTTGGGCTTCCCCCAGAGGGAGAGCCTGTCCCAGGAATCTCATCCAATGGCCAACCAGAATAATACCTTGGCCTTGGGACAGGATATTTCCCCAAAGGAGGGACTCCCTGCTGAGGCCACGCTGACCATGCTGTGTCTTTTCTTCCCAACTCACCGATCAGATAAATTGGCCTTCCTCCCCACATGTGTGTTTGTCTTGCCTAAGGAGAGACCTGGACTTGAGCAATCATGGACCAGTCCAGGGCTCAAGGAAGCCGTTCGTCCCCAACCCAGTCCCCTTCTAGCCACTGCCTGCCACCTTTGCAGGTAGTTTCATCTGCATGGTCCCAGGGTGGCTGCTCAAGGAAGCCATTCATCCATCCCAGTCGCCTTCTAGCCACTGCCTGCCAACTTTGCAGGTGGTTTCATCTGCGTGGTCCCAAGGATGGAAGAGGTAGGAGGGTGTCCCTAAGAGGAAGAGCAGGGCAGGATTTCCCAGAAACCCAGAGTAGATGTCTACATACATCTCCTAGGCCACAACTCCCTCTCATGGCCACATCTTATAAGGAAGCCTGGGAATGTAATTTGTACCTGAAGATATTGTGGCCCTGAACAACATTGGGATTCATTGTAAGAACAAGGGGAGAATGTGTATTGACTAGACATTAATGCTATCCAACGTTCTCCCATACTTTGACATCACATTTCTTCTATGGGCTCATGGAAACAACTGTTTCTCCTACATATAAGTTATATGTAGGAGGAAGGTGCTAGAAAGGTCCCTGGTCTTTGGCTCTGAGTCAAAGCGCTTAGCTTTTAGCTGGTGCCCTTCCATTGCATATGAAGCCTGAGGGAAGAATCCCGTTTGCTGAACCTTGGCTTCCCCCACTGTTCAACGAGTGGAGTGGGATGATCTCCAGGGTTCCATGCAGCTCTAGAAGCCCATGGTGCTGTATTTCTGAAAGACTTTAACTCAGAAGGTGGGATGCAAGGGATGAGGCCACTGAAGTCCTGAACTGACCTTGTGTCCTGAGGAGGCTTGGTCAGCAGGACCTGGGCAGGGGCCGGCTGAAGAGGGGGGGCCCAGCCTGTGGTTGGTATTGGGGGGGTCCCCTTCTAGGTGGGAGATTTCCTTGTCTTTTGGAAGCTAACTGCACATGGACATGAAGTCCCTTCTTTACCCATCGTGATGAGGACGAATGGAGCAACTTCAGGCCCTCTGTCCCCCTCACTCTTACCCGGACAGCAGTCTGTCCACTGTCAGTGGTGTTGATTGGAATGGATCAGAGGAGAAAGGGGGAAAAAACTGAGGCAGAAGCCTGCTTGCCTTCACAGTGAGCGGCGAGCACCAGTCTGCAGGCGTTACCTGCTGTCATTTGCTGATGTCTGCATTTTGGGGACTGAGCTATTTGGGAGAGGGCCCTTATGTTCTCATGAAAACGATGAACAACCTACTGCAAACAAAGGAAAAGAACGTCATGATTTCTATAAGGACTGCTTTTCACAGTAGTTACGATGTGGTCAGGGGGCGTGCTTTAGTGACTAGCTCTGAATTAACTCTGATGAGAGTGTTAGAGGTTTCATAGTCTAGTCACTTAGAAGACACATGTCAACTGTAGACTGGAAAGGGGCCGCGTGTGCTAACTTTCGTTCAGAAAACTATGTCTGACTAAAGATCAGTGATTTCTTTTTTTAAACTCACAGCAGTGAAACTGCTTGGTCTATTTGTGATTTTACTAAACAGTCTTGACTAAGTTTATGATGTCCGTTCACTGCTTCCTCAGATGAACACCTTCTTCCTATGCGGTGCTTAAAATGTAGTTTAAGAGTGAACATTTTATTTAAACTGATAAGAATCAGCAAACAAATGGAGAAGAGTTAGGATTTCAATGGGCCCCGCCTGTTAGTAATATACATCTACAGATCGTTAACATGGTTTGCAAATATCTACTGCTTAGAAATGTCAAAGAAAGGGCCGGGCATGGTGGCTTGTGCCTGTAATCCCAGCACTTTGGGAGGCCAAGGTGGGTGGATCACGAGGTCAGGAGATCGAGACCATTCTGGCTAACACGGTGAAACCCCATCTCTACTAAAAATACAAAATTAGCCAGGCATGGTGGCAGGCGCCTGTAGTCCCAGCTACTTGGGAGGCTGAGGCAGGAGAATCGCCTGAACCCAGGAGGCGGAGGTTGCAGTGAGCCGAGATTGCACCACTGCACTCCAGCCTGCGTGACAGAGCGAGACTCTGTCTCCAAAAAAAAAAAAAAAAAGGAAATGTCAAAGAAAATAATTCTAATGGTTCCTAGTTAGTTACTGTGTTTCATTTTTTCCTCTGTTTTTCATGAAGACTTACAATGCTTCAGATAAAATGCAGGATAGAGAAAGGTGAGGGGGTATTTTTCAAGACACATTTAGGATTTAATATGTACAGATGCTCTTGATATAAAATAAATTTGTTGATCACACATAATTTCAGCCTTTCAAAACATAAACATGGCATACAGGACCCACTATAATGATGGAAACTGGAACATGTTTTGAAATCAAATAAAATGTCAAAATTTTATTAATATGCTTTAATCAAAAAGCTAATCCTATTACTTTATTTCTAAAATAAGAAAGAAAAAGGGGAAAAAAAGAAGAAAGGTAAAATTAATGTAAACCAGTAACAGTTTTAGAAAGCTATTTTTGAGGAAAATGTGAAGGTCCATTTCAATGGGATGGTAAAGGTTTGTAAACATTTTGTGACTCCTCTTTTGTGAACTGGAACGCGTCACATTCAGGACGTCGCTGGATCTTCAGGACATTCTGTGTGTTTTTCACTTGGCCGACATTTGCTGCAGTCTTGGGAATGTCACCCGCATTCTTCCTCCTATTTATGAGCTAGAGCACATATAACTGACTTGAGAAAAATGATTTAAAAGGTCTCCAACTAAATTTAGTTTATTTTAAATCACCATGTTGACTCAGGAAAGGAGCTTCACATGAACCCCCCGCTTTTTTTCCTCCTGCCCAGCACTAAGTTTATAAACCAGAAAACAAAGATCTGCCTTCACCTCCCTTCTCTTTTGTCATTTACTTTTAGAATTCCATTAACAAACACCTATTGCCTGCCCACTCCGTGCCCACCCCTGTCCTGGGTGCCGAGGATGCAGCGGGGAGCCAAACAGATGAATGTCCCCATCCTCAGGCAGGAGACAGACAGACAATAAGACAAATGAGCAAAGGCCTGCTGTGGTGGAAATAAATGCTAAGGAGAGAAAAATGAGGCAGAGGCAGCAAATGGAGAGTGTTGGGGGTTAGGATTTTATAGAGTGACAGTCATGGAAAGACTGACACTGGAGTGAGGGCCTGTGGGAGGCGAAGGGGGAGCCGGGAGCTATCTGGGGAAGAACATTCCAGACACATGGAACAGCCAGTTGCCTTGCCAGTTGCCTTCTGAGCTTGAGGAGCAGCAGGGAGGTCAGGGCGGCCAGATGGAGAGAGGGGAGGAGTGGAGATGAGGTCACAGAAAGAGGGGCCACGTGATGAAGGGGTGCTGCCAGGTTCCCTAAGGGCCGTGGGTCTGTGTGATGGGAAGCCCAGCATTGGCGGGTTGTGAGCAGCGGGAGTGATGTGATCTGATGGATGTTTTCGGGAGATCTTGCTGGTTGCCTTGTGGACAGTAGTTTCAAGGTTTGAAGCAGGGAACATGGGAAGCTAACATAATAATCCAGTTGAGGGGTGACAGTGGCCTGGACCAGGGACGTTGCAGTGGAGGTGGGGAGGTGGGCGGTGATGAGGGCATGCGTGTTATTCTGCATAGGGTTTGGATGCGTGGCACGAGGAGAAGAAGTGAGCCAAGGGTGAAGCCCTTGTGTTGGGTCTGAGCCCCTGGAAGGGATTACCTCTGTGTTCCACCTTCTGCCAGTCCTGCTGGTTTGTGGATAGCAGGGATTGCTTCCCTCCAAGGCAGTTATGGTGAGAGCACATGGGAAGTGATGAGGGCTCTTTTAATCTAAAACTTCTTTTCTCCTCTGTGTGAAACACTTTCTTCCTCTTTTTCAATCTCCCCTCAAGCCTATTCTTGTTGTCCTTGGCCAGTGCGGTGAAGCAGTTCCTTGCATTGTGTGTAGGACCTCGCCAAGGACAGAGAGAGACACAGCGTGGGTTGGTGTTGCATTGCATTAGAGGTGGCCAAGATGCACAGTCCAGCCCATGTGGTCACAGGAAGGAGGGGTATTACTCCGTAGGTTTCCTTTCTCACACCACAGCACAGAATGATTGCTCAGATCAAACATTCATTGTCTTTAAGCACTGGTACAATTGCAGTTCAATCTCCCCTGCTTCAGTCTACACTGAGTTTTCATTGAGACTTTGAGGAATTCAAGCCCCTCTTGCTAAACACACACACACACACACACACACGCGCGTGCGCGCACGTGGACTACTAGTATCAGGTTTACTAATGAAAGAGCTGAATGCAGAGAAGTGGATGGATTTGGGCCCAGTTGATCTGTGGAAGAGGGAGACTGAGTCTGGGCTCTTTACTTTCTTGGATGGTGAATGTTGCCGTTTGCATAGAAGCCCGCATGGCAGTGAACTAACAGTAACCTTGAAGATGTGTTTCATCCACCACCCTTGAACCCATTATGGCTCAAGCTTGGGTATTGCTTTTAGGAATCTAGCATTGTTTCAGGAAAACATTTTAGTTCTTATTGTTTTCTGGGAAGCCTTACTTTGCACAAGGGCAGTGGAAGAAACCGAAGTGCATATTAAGTGCCATCCATTACTTGCTGTGTGTTTGAATAGTGATCGCAGCGTTGCTATGTTAAATTGCAAAGAACCTGTGAACCTGAATCTCCCTCCATCCTTCCCTTGTGGCCTCTCATCTCTCGCCACTCTAAAGGCACCAGCCAGGTGCTCAGAGGAGCAGAAGCCGTGTTAAAAATGGCTTGGAGCATTTAAGTAACTTTTCTCCTTTAATTCTATTTATTTGAAATATACAAAAGTCCAGTCATAATAAAACGAAAAACGCCTTTGACCAAATTCAACACACGCTAATGCTTGGTTGTATTGTCTTCTGAGTCTTTTTGAAGAAACACAGCTTACAAACAGAGTGCATGATTCATTTGATCCTTTTCTTGCCCAGTCTCTTCCTCTTCCATTTGGTATCCAGAAATGGGTGTGTTTTCTTCCTGTTCACGTGACTCTGCTTTCTCTTTGCCTGTATACAGCACAGATTTCACACATATGCATGTGCACCTGCACACATGTGTATTCTATAAATGTGTTTATAATTTTGCACATATGGTGTTATTCTATACATATCCTTTTGCAAGTGGTTTTTTCATTCAAGGTTATGTTGTTGAGATTATCCATATGAATACAAGTAGATTGAGTTCACGTACTGATTTTTGTGGTGGTTTAGTTCTTTCATAATTTTCTTTGATTGCCTCATAATTGTTTTTATTTTTTTAAGTTTAAGTCTTTTTTTTTGAGATACCTTTGTTTTTTTCCAGTGTCGAGTTATTGTGGTGAGGGAGCGTGTTGTGTGGATCTTCATTCTTTGAAATTTGTGGATACTTTCTTTGGGATTTACTATGTCGTTTTTAGAAATCTTCCACATGGGCGTGAAAATAGTATGTATTTTCAGTTTGGTTCAGGTTCCCTTAATGCCTGCTAGATCTAGCTGGATTGTTGTGTTTTCAGATCTTTGTATAAGTGGTGCATTCAGCAAATTTTCTTCCCCTTTGCCTTCATCCACGTTTGGACAGATCTCTCTTTTACATCCCTTGTTACTGTCTGGAGTAGATTCAAGAGCTTTCCAGTCTCCTTTAATCACTTAAAAGTCTGATCTGGTCTAATAAAATCTCTTACATGGATTGTAGGTTCTTTTACCATCCCCTTGTCCCCAAGAAAGACACTGACAATGGGAGATGATGGGTATGTTAATCTGTTTGACTGTAGTATCACTGTGTAGTAATCATTGTGCTGTGTCTATGTATATCCAGATGAGTATTTCAAAACATCCTGTTGTATACTTTCAATAAATATATGCAATTTTAAAACCCATGGAAGATCTTACGTGATTCTACCCTTCTTCCTCCCTAAACCGCCTCCCAAGACATGGGGGATGGGCTGTGGGAATCTGGAGGGTGAGGTCTGTTCCATTGTTTGTACCCACCCCTTTGCTCCCACCCCACTGGTTCTGGTGCCCCTGTATGTGGGGTGCATAGAGGGTGAAAGAAATTGTCTGACTTTTCTTTCAGACAATTCAGAATGTGGGGTCCCAGACACCTCCAAACCCTCAGCTTTAGGTCCTGGCCACTAAATGTCAGGCAACAGGTGAAGTCTCACAAAGCATCCTCTGAGAATCATTGTACTAATTGCTTGTCTACTTAATCTAGCTGTTTAGGTGAGAGCGACAACCTCTCTCTATAATGAAGGATTTTCTATTTCTGTTTATAATTCTGTTGATTTTTGCATATGTATTTTGAGGCTGTGTTGTTTGGTGCCCACAGCTTCTGGAGTTTTATATCTTCTTGATGAATTATTGCTCCTTATTACCAAGCTTTGCTCATCTTTATCCCTAATAAATAATTTTATCCTAAAGTCTAACTTGTCCTGATAGTAAAGTGGCTATTCCAGCTTTCTTTTTGTTGATAGCTGAACTTCTTTTTTGGTATGTTATATCAGGTATATCTTTTTCAGTAAATGTATGTTAAACTTTTCTGTTTATTTATGGTTTAGATACATCTCTCATAAACAGAGTATAACTGGATTTTTAAAAATCATCCAGGCTGAGAATATTTATGTTTTGACAAGTGAGATTAATTTATATATTGTGTAAATTACAATATATACAAAATATATTTGTAGTTGTTACTGTCAACTTATTTTGTGACTTTCATTTTTCCTGACTTTATCAAATTTATTTATGCTGCCTATCCCAATCTCCTGTTTTGGGAATGTTATACACTCTAATTTTAGTCTGGTTAGACTCTTCTTACGATTGTCTAATTATCCCTCACCTAACAAAGTCTGACATCAAGCATTGTTTCTACCCACTTTCCAAACGATCCAAGGCCCTCTGACTCTGCTCCCCTACTTCCAGCTCTCAGGTTACTGTTACCTAGTTCTTTAGTTCTGCTTTGTTTTAGTAATGATTTCTAAAGTTAATCATTACTATTATCTCTTTAATTGTATCAATGCTTATCTTGATTTATCAACTCATAATTTTCTTTTAAAATTGAATTTAAGATGCATATATATCCACTCATAATTGTCTTTGTTTACCTTTGTATTTTTTTTTTGAGACGGAGTCTGGCTCTGTCGCCCAGGCTGGAGTGCAGTGGTGCAGCGCAATCTGGGCTCACTGCAAGCTCAGCCTCCCGGGTTCATGCCATTCTCCTGCCTCAGCCTCTCAGGAGTAGCTGGGACTACAGGTGCCCGCCACCATGCCCGGCTAATTTTTTGTATTTTTAGTAGAGACGGGGTTTCACCATGTTGGCCAGGATGGTCTCGATCTTCTGACCTCATGATCCGACTGCCTCAGGAGGCGCTGGGATTACAGGCGTGAGCCACCACGCCCAGCCTGTTTACCTTTGTATTTTGAATTTCATTTTTTTCCTTTCTGGGTTTAATTTTCTTCTTATTGAAGATATACTCTAATAGCTCTTTAATTAAGTGTCTGTAAGTAGTAAAATCTTTTGGTCTTTCCCTCAACATTTCTTCAATTTATACTCACTCTTGAATGTTAGTTTTGCCTGACGTAGAATTTTAGGTTGCCAGTTATTTTCCAGCAGCACTTTGAAGGCATTATTTTATTCCCTTCTGGCGTCTGTTGTTGCTGATGAGAAATCTTGTATCCATCAGGTTGTTTCCTTTGTAGATAATCTTTATTCTATTCTCTGGTCACTTTTAATACTTTGTCTTTGTCTTTGATGTTTTATCATGATATGACTAGATGTGGATTTAATTATGTTTATTTTGCTCAGGACTCCTTTTTTAAAAAAAAATCTGAAGTCTCATTTCTTTCTCTAAAATCTGGTTATTATTTATCTCCAAATATATCTTCTGAATAATTTTTATCCCTCATTTTCACTGTTCACTTGGACATCTCATGCTAGCCTCCACACTCCTTAACATCTCTGTTTTTCCTTCTTTCTAGGTAGTTCAGTAATTTCTCTTACCATTTTTGAATAACTAATTTTAAGATAGTCTATTAAATTTTTATTTCTGGAATTTGTCTTCAGTTATTTCAGCTCTGTCTGTTATTGATTTATACTCTGCTGCTTTTTATTATGGTTTAAATTTCTGTTTTTAAAAAGTCATTTTAAATTAACTTTATAGATGCTTTTGTTTGATCTTTTATCCATGCTGTTTGGGGTGCTAATCCTCAATCTTTTTGTATCTACTACATCTACTAAAATCTACTTATTTTGGTTTTTTTCTTCATGTACTTTACAAAATTTTCTTGTGAGCTTATCTTCAGTGAGGATTGTTCTTTCTTTGTGAATTCTCTATAATGTAAGCTATGAAAGTGTCTCTATAAAGTAGTTTTATTTTTGCTTCTGCCAGAGCCCTAGGGGTGTTGAATCAGTTGGTCATGAATCAGTTTATCTATCTATCTGTCTATCATCTTTCTATCAACCATCTATCTATACATCTAATCATCTATCAGTCACCTATCTACCTACCTATCTTCTATCAATTATCTATCTGCCTATCTTCTGTGTATCATCTATCTACCTATCTACTATCTATCAGTCATCAGTCTACTTACCTACCTACTTTCCTGTCTTCCATCAATCATTTATCTATCTATCTACCTATCTACCTATCTTCTATCAATCATTTATCTACCTAGCTATCATCTCTCTCTCTATCATTTATCAATCATTTATCATTTATCATCTATCAATCATCTGTCTAATGACCTACTTATCAATCATCTATGTATCTAGTACCTACCTACCTATCTACCTACCTACTTCTATCAATCATCTACCTATTTACCTACGTACCTATCTCCTATCTATCTATCTATTATTTATCTATTATCTATCTATCATTTATCTATCTAGCTATTATCTATCTATCTTTCTATCATCTATCTATCATCTATCTGGGCTGCAACACACCATACAAGTAACAGAAATGTGGTTTTTATTTCTCACAGATGACTGTTTTTGCTGCACGTAGCCTTAGGCACACAGCTACTTTTGCTAGGAAAGGTTCCAGTCTTTGCTCTCCTGCTTCTCTTGGGTCATAAGCTGTGTCCTTTGTCCCTGCTTGGGCCTTGGAACCCCACCCGCAGTGCTTAGGACTTGCACTTGTGACCCAAATCCCTATGGGTTCCTGTGGATTCAGCTAGCACTTGCTAACTGAATTTCTTTCTTTGACTCTGGACCTTGGGGCTTTCTGTTTTCTTTCTCTTGTTCTTGGCCATGTGTGTAATGTATGTAAATTCTTTCTTGGGGGCAGGGTGGATGTTGGTGGTGGTTAGATTTTCTCTAGCATTTCAACGTGCTTGTAATTGGAATAAGGCCTGATTGTCTCAGGCGAGTCTACCATGTGGTGATTTCAGACTGTTCTTTATGAAGATTATTTATTGTACTTCTAGTGAAGTCCAGGAACAGCATGGGCATTCAGTGAGGGAAACCATTTTTTAAAAACAGTGATTTTTGTGACCCCGTGACAATGGTTACTGTGCCACTCCAAGATCACATTTTTAATATAATTTTGTATTATTGGTGTTGAAAGCATTTGGGGTAGTATAGATAGCTTTTTGATGGTTTAAAAAGTGGACAGAAGTGGGGAAGGAGAGAACAAAAATAGCCGGTATTTTGGTAGGAAAAACTGAAAATTCAGCAAGAGAGTAAGTCTACAACTGTGTGGAAGCTGGAAGAGAGGACAGATGGAGAAAAATATTTCATCTAGGAAACACTGAAGATTGTTTTAAGGGGAACGAGAGCAGAATCTTCAGTTAGAAAGAAGCAAGCAAGAAAAGAAATAATACGCCCTATAATAAGTACACTTTCTGGTTAACATTTCACACTCCCAACAAGAGCAAATGGCTTGTAGATCTTGCAGCAGCATGAGTGAGGCTAATAGAAATTGCATGGAGATTTTTAAGTTGCTTCTATTCAAGCTGACATTATCAGAGAACGGTCCTTGAGTAAGGCTGAGGCCATTCTTCAGGACCTAATGTGGATATGCCAGTTGAGTTCGTACTTAGACAGGACACAATCAGTAATACTAACAATGTACACATTATACTGGTAATAGAAGAGCTAACATTTATTTGACTATTTTTGGAAAGGCATACTGTAATATCTGTAGAGATAAATGTTTATGCTTTGGTAGGTAATTTAAAAAGTCTATTATAAATCTGTTATAATAACATTCACATGAAATTTCTTTTAATTAAAAAGTAATGCTTTAAGGACATTAAACAATTATTTAAAAACTCAAAATTGCCTCAATTATACCACCCTTGTGTAACTATCTTCATTTTACATTTGTGTATTATTTTTTCTTATTGTAATCATACTGTACATAATATTTTACATTTTCTCCTATTTATTCCATAATAGATGTTTTCATGTATATAATAAAATTCTCATAATTTTGTAGACATTTTAGAATGGAGATTTGCTATTAAGACATAAAACTAGTACTTTTTTTTTTTTTTTTTTGACGGAGTCTCGCTCTGTCGCCCAGGCTGGAGTGCAGTGGTGCGATCTCGGCTCACTGCAAGCTCCGCCTCCCGGGTTCACGCCATTCTCCTGCCTCAGCCTCCCGAATAGCTGGGAACCACAGGCGCCCGCTACCATGCCCAGCTAATTTTTTTTTTTTTATTTTTAGTAGAGACGGGGTTTCAC